>NC_000006.12:20666060-20969090 GCF_000001405.40 Homo sapiens
TGGATGTGAAGGTATATATGACATTATGTTTATAAGTTTAAATAAATACTATTAAAGAGCTCCTTACATTAGGCAACATAATTAGAAAATATCCAAAGGGCATAAACAGGCAATTTATGAAAGAGGATGTGCAAATAAAAATGGAAAGATTTTCATTCTTACCAGTGCTCAGGGAAATACAGACCAAGTGAGATATTGGTTTTTGCCCACTAGATTTTTTTTTTTTCCCAGTAGGCCCAGTGCTCCTGAGAGTATGGGGAACTGTTGTTTACTCTGATACATTTCTGGTAGAAGTTTGAATTGCTATAATCTTCTGTGGAAGTTGTTTTTTGATAGGTATAAAATTTAAAAATATATCTGCCCCTTGATTTAGCAGTCCTGTGTTTTATGACCCTCTCCTACAGACATGAAATACCTGTTTGCTAGGATAGGAACATAAAGTTATTTATTGCATGATTATTTATAATGCAAAAAGTGTTATAACAAATCTTATGCCGTCTTAGGTATTCTTCTTTATGGGCACATATTAATACATTTTACAGCAGCTGATCCTGGAATCTACTTACATAGATTTGCCCGGCTGAGAAGCAACTTGAGGGCTGATCGCCCGCTGCATTCCAAAGAATCCTTTTTTTTTTTTTTTTTGACTTATTAGTGATTATGATGACATTACCTTTTATTGAACTGTTTCAAAATACATGAAACCATGCTCTGATGACATTTTTGAAGTGTCTGGATTCTGTTTGCCACTGTTTAAAGATTTAACTAGTTCTTTCTTTAATTAATATTTAGCTCTTCTAGTATCATCTTACCACTGGAACAGCATGTACCATTTGCCTCATCTTTCCATTTCAGGGCTGGTCAAAAGAGACAAATTTCAGACATTAACTAACTGAACATTCTTTACTATAATAGATTTGGAACTTTTATCTAAAACAAATGTCTATGTTCTCTGGCCACTGTGTTAAATATGTATGGTGTGTCTCTTCCATTTGGCAGCAAATATCCATTGCATTTGATTCAGTTTTCACTGCCCTTGAAATAAATATACTTGTCCTGAATGGCAGGCTTAAGGATTTTCCAAAGTAAATGATGTTTGCACCACATCTGGCCAGCCATTTTTATGTGATACATTAAAGAGAGTCAGTGTTCATTAATTTGACAAATATTTCTTGAATGCCTACTATGTGTTACAGGCTTTGGCAATTCAAAGATTAATGACACAGTCACTGCTCTTAGGAGATGACAGTTTAGCAAAAAGGGCAGAGTCTTAGCCAGATAATTATAATACAGTGAGGGAAGTGTGGTAATGCTTCTTTGTTGACAATGATACCTGAATGGGTGCGAATGTACCTCAGTTTTTAAAATCCTGGGTCTTTTTCAAGTCTATACTCATCCTGGGTCTCTGTATCTTATTTTACACCCCC
The DNA here is from genome assembly GCF_000001405.40 of Homo sapiens. Classification (NCBI taxonomy): domain Eukaryota; kingdom Metazoa; phylum Chordata; class Mammalia; order Primates; family Hominidae; genus Homo; species Homo sapiens. The sequence continues at coordinate 20,667,488 of NC_000006.12, forward strand.
CTTCCCTCAACAATAAGCAAACTTTGCTATCTGAGGTAACAAGAAATCTTGAGGAAGGGCAGCTCCGACTTTATTAATTCAGTTGTTCAAAGATACTATCAAAGACCCTAGGCACTAAGTACTTCGTATTTTTTCCTTATTTTTTCTCTTCTGCCACGTTCAATGTGATGGCTTGGTCTTCAGTGAAGTTAAAAAGTTACTTTCATAAGGTGGCTGCCTGGGTTTTGGGGACCATGTGTAGAGGAACAATTTCTTTCCTGTGTGTACTTTTCTGGGGTAAATTTTAAATCATTTTAGACTAATAGCAAAATTGTAAAAATAGTACACTGAATTTTTGTATACTCATTACCTAGATTTAACAAATGCTAATATTTTACCATATTATTTTACTTTTTTGGTGTATGTGATTTTCATGGCTAAAATTTTAAAACAAAAGGGTGTGCAATGGAAACTTCATTACAGCTCTGATGTTAGCCACCTTATGCCCTTTACCATAATGTATACAAATGACTATGTCAATACCTTTCCTCCCTTTCTCCTTTGTCTCTCTTTCGCTTCTTCTCTCTCCTCCCTTTGTGTTTTTCCCTCCCCCTCTCTTTCTTCCCTCCCTGCCTCCCTTCCTTCCTCCAATTGTGTATCCTGGAATAATTCCATATGGATATATACAAAGGTTCCTCATTCTTTATAGATTCATAGAATATTTGTTTGTTCTCTTATTTATGGATTTTTAGTGTTCCAGTTTATGTGCATGAAATTTTATTAACCAGTCACCTCTCGACTTTTTTGGTAATAATTGGCATTATAAATACTGCTTAGAAGAATGTTTTTTTAAGTATTTATTTATATTTTTAGAGATGGAGTCTCTGTCTGTTGCCCAAGCTGGAGTGGAGTGGCTATTTACAGGTGCAGCCATAGCATATTGCAGCCTTGAAATCCTGGGCTAAAGCCATCTTTCTGCCTCAGCCTCCTGAGTAGCTGGGACTACAGGCATGTGCTACTGCGCCAGCTTATAAACATGTTTTGACTGGAAACCTTAGTTGTTGACTATGTAGAGTATGTAAACAGTTTTTAACTTGTGTCTTGAAATAATAACATAATTACTGAAAAGTTACAAAAATAGTGCAAAGACTTCCCATGGACCTTTCACCCAGCTTCCTTTAATGTTTAAATATTTTACATAGCCATGATGCAGTGATCAAACCAGAGAATTAATATTGATACAGACTTAATTCACATTTTGTCTTTTTTCCAGTTCAGGATCCAGTTTAGGATTCTCCATTGCATTTAGTTGTCATTCACTGTCACCTCCAATCTGGAACAGATCCTCATTTTTTTCTTCTTCTTTTATGACATTGACGCTGTTGAAGAATACTTGTCAGTTGTGTTATAGAACATTGGTCAGTTTGCATTTGCTTGATATTTCTTCATGGTTAGATTCAGATGCTATGCATTTTATCAAGAATATAGGAGTGGTCGATATTGCACTTGAGATTGACAAATATCAGTGTGTCATACCAAGAAGATTCAGGCTGTTGATATATCTCTGTACCAGTTAACTTTAACATCTAGTAACCAGGTGTAAACTTTATTTAAGGTGGTAGCTGTCAGTTTTCTCCACTGTAAAGTTACTGTCTTCTTCTTTGGAATTAATAGATATTTTGGGATTCTTTGGTACTGTGCACATATCCTATTTCTCATCATGCTCTCACCATTATAATTTTAGCATCCCTTGGTTATTCTTACCTGTAACAATCAATACAATTGTATTATCAAGTGGTGATTTTTCTCTTTCCATCATGTCTTCTCCACTTATTAATTTGAATTTTTGAGTGTAAAGAAGAGCTACAGAATGAGTCTCTTTTCTCTCATTTATTTATGTATTCAATTATTTATATCAGTGTAGCCTCATGGTTCTTTATTTTTTGAGACATAATCCGTAACTATCATTATCACCCATGTTGTTCTGGACTTGGCCAATGGAAATGTCTTCAGGTTGTCTCCTTTATCTTTTTGTTGTTGTCGTTTGTTTTCTTATTGAGTGAGGATTTTAATGACAAGCTATGGAACTCAGCTTATACTAATGAGAATGGTACAAGGCTTGACTTTCCCTCCGCGCATCTTAACCATTTTTAAATGCAGAGTTCAGCAGTATTAACTCCATTCACACTGTTACCCAGTGCTCCTGTATCCTTTTAATATGCTTCTGTTTTGAGCACTTCCTTATTTCCCGGCACCATAAGTTCAGGCTTATCGTGTACTTTCCTTGCCTCAAGTCCTGGTTTGAGTCATTTCTTGAAGAAGCCCTGGTTCCTTTCACTGGTGAACTGTGTGAAGAAACCGCAATCTGGGCACTAGATATGCTCATTGCTACTAGGATGTCATTGCTTCCAGGCACTCTTAGTAGACTTAAATCTACTAAGACTTAGGAAATGTATGTATTTACACAAACACCTATAACTATTTCTACTTATCTGTATATGTATTAAAAAAACACGAGGTTGTACTCTTCCCTTTGATTTTACTTCAACTGGATAGGATTTGATTTTAGCATCTCCCTTTTCTTATAAGTAACTCTGCTCTTTAACAGTGAAAAACAGAAAGTCTCATAGTCTACAATATATTTACATTATTTGTTCAATCCTATTAATCATATACAGTGGTTTCAGAATTACTAACCCATCTCTGTGAAAAAGAAATTTTACTAACACAAATATAATATTTATGTTTAGTCCTTTTTGTGAAGTTCACTTGGGTTAGTTCTTTCCTTTGCCACTCAAATCAAATTCTGTTTTTAATTTGTAATACAATTAGATTAATTTGTTACCACTTGTATTCCATTGTGGATTCTCCCCACTTCCTGGATGGTTTTAATTTTTTGAGTTTGTGAAATATGAGCATGGCCCTCAAAGTCAGAATGATATTAAATCTTTTACTCAGAGAATGATCACTGCCCACTCGTCCTTTTTGCCATCCCCATTACTCCATTCTTTCCATCTTGAGCCCACCCGTCTCCCATTAGCTTTTGACTTCTCCTTCCATTTATTTATTTATTTTTTGTACAAACAGGCAGAAGTCAGCAGTGATTTTTCGTATTTTGATCATGCCTTCTACATTTGTTAATTGGAATTTCACTGTAAGGAAGAGTGGTCTCTTATTCCCCATTTATTCAATTATTTATGTCAGTGTAGACTCTGATTATTTATTCTGTAGGTCATAATGTCATAGAATAAATATACAGAATTCTCTGTATGAAACCCATGGAAATTTTTAAATTTCCTTTTGTTTTTTACTTAAATGATAGCATACTATAGATACTATTTTACTTTTTGTAATGTAACCTGGGAACTCTGCATCAGTTGATAGAAATCTTCGTCATTCTTTCTTATGGCTGCTTAGTTTTCCATGCAGTGAGTGTATAGTGGTTTATTCAACTACTTTCCCATGTGTGGGTGTTGAGGTTGTCTGATATTTCACAATTCCAAACTGTGTGGCAGTGAGTGAACTTTTGCTTATTGATTTTTATATTATTGGAGGTATATCTTTGGGATGAATTTCTAGAGTGCAGACTGCTGGATTGAAAGGTAGGTACGATTATAGATACTGCCTAGTTACCCTCCAAAAGGGTTGTAACACTTTATATCCTTACCACCAAGTGTGAAAATTGTGTGTTCCTTGCAACCCCTCAAATGGAATTTTATTGTTGTCATTCTTTATAATTTTCACCATTCAGTAGGGAAGAAATGGTATTTCAGGGTTTTCATTTTTCATTTCTGTAATTGTGAGTGGGTTTGAGCATCTTTTATAGTTTGGCCATTTAGATATACTTTTGTCAATCATTCATGTCTCTTATTGTTTATCTATTGTCTCTCAATTTGTGTGAGTTTTTCTGTTTGTCTGTGGCATATGTCACAGGCATATTCTCCCCTTTTGTCTGCTGTCCTTTTACTTTGTTGTGCAGAATATTTTATTCTTTGCCATTAAATTTATGAATCTTTTTCAAGTTCTTTTGGATTTTGAGTCATGGCTAAGTTATCACCTTTGTGTAAAAAGAGGCTAAAGAGACATTTACTTTTTTCTAGTACTTGTCACTTACATAGTGACATTTATATCTCCAATCCTTTTGGAGTTTATTCTTATCTACGGTGTGAAGTATGAATCTACTTTTTTCTTTGTGTAACCTAATTGTTCTAGAGCTCTTTTTATCTCTAGAAATGTTCTAGTGCTCTTTTATTTTTTTTAAATCTCTAAATTTTTTTTAGTGATGGGGTCTCGTTATATTGCTCAAGCTGGATTGCAGTGGCTGTTCACAGGTGCAATAATGGCTTACTACAGCCTTGAGATCATGGACCAACATGATTCTCCTGCCTCTGCCTCCCTAGTAGCTGGGACTCTAGGCACACACCACCACACCTGGTGCTTACACTAGCACTATTTACTAAAAATTTAGTCTTTACCACCAGTGTTTTGGGATGCCATTTTTGTCAAAACGAATTTCCAAATTTACGTAGGTCTATTTTGGGCTTTCTGTTCTGCTCCACGGTTCTGTTTATTTGTATTCCATCTACGCTGTTTGCAAAGGAAGTTTTATTTATATTATAGTTTGACATCTGCTAGGGCTAGTCCTTTCTTGTAGTCTGTCTCCCTTCCCTTCCCTCTCCCTCTCCCTCTCCTTCTGCCTCTCCCTCTCTTTCTCTTTCTCTCTCTCTCTTTCTTTCCTTCCTTTCTTTCTTCCTTTCTTTCTTTTCTTTCTCTTTCTTTCTTTCTTTCTTTCTTTCTTTTTCTTTTTCTTTCTTTCTCTCTCTCTCTCTCTCCCTCTCCCTCTCCCTCTCCGTCTCTTTCTCTCTCTGTCTCTCTCTCTCTCTTTCCTTTCTTTCTTTTCTTTCTTTTTTGAGAATCTCACTCTGTCACCCAGGCTGTAGTGCAGTGGTGCAATCTTGACTCACTGCAACCTCCACCTCCCAGATTCAAGCGATTCATGTGCCTCAGCCTCCCGAGTAGCTGGGATTACTATTAGCCACCATGCCTGGCTAATTTCTGTATTTTTAATAGAGACAGGATTTCACCATATTGGCCAGGTGGCTGGTCTCGAACTCCTGGCCTCAAGTGATCTGCCCACCTGGGCCTCCCGCAGTGCTGGGATTACAGGTGTGAGCTACCGTGTCTGGCCTAGTTTTTCTTTTTAAAGTGTTTTTCTGAGTATTCTTTCATGTGAATTTTTTCAAATTAACTTTAGTATCATCTGTGTAACTCCATGAAAAATTGACTTGGTATTTGTATTGGTAAATTAGAAATTAATTTTTTTCTTTTGAGACAGAGTTTCACTCTGTTGCCCAGGCTGGACTGCAATGGCACGATCTTGGCTCACTGCAGCCTCTGCCCCCCGGGTTCAAGTGATTCTCCTGCCTCAGCCTCCCGAGTAGCTGGGATTACAGGCGCGAGCTACCATGCCCAGCTAATTTTTGTGTTTTTAATGGAGATGGGGTTTCACCATGTTGGCCAGGCTGGTCTTGAACTCCTGACCTCAAGTGATCCACCCGCCTTGGCCTCCCAGAGTGCTGGGATTACAGGCCTGAGCCACAGCGCCTGGCTGGAAATTAATTTTTAATAAATTAATTTAGGGAGAACTGATAGTTTTAGGAGGTGAAGTCCTTCTGTTTAAGAATAGATGATGGCTTCACATTTATTCAGCTCTACTTCTGTGTCTTTTAGCAGTGTCTTCATGTTTTCCCAGTGTAGGCTTTGGATATACAGATGTCATTCCAGATCTGTGGGGGATTGGTCCAGGATTCCCCAAAGATACCAAGATCTGCCATTGCTCAAGTGCCTGATATTAAATGGGCGTAGTACTTGCACATAACCTATGCATATTCTCCTGTATACTTTAAATCATCTCTGGATTACTTGTAATCCCTAATAGTATAAATGCTAGATAATACTTGTTTTAGTGTATTGCTTAGGGAATAATGAAAATGAAAAGATCTGTACATGTTTAGTACGGACACAGTTGTTTTCCCCTGAGTATTTTTGATCCATGGTTGGTTGAATCCATGGATACAGAACACATGTGATATGGTCTGGCTCTGTGTCCCCACCCAAATCTGATCTTGTAACTCCCATAATTCCCATGTGTTGTGGGAGGAACCCAGTGGGAGATGATTGAGTCATGGGGGTGGGTCTTTACCCTGCTGTTCTCATGATAGTGCATGAGTCTCATGAGATCTGATGGTTTTAAAAAACAGGAGTTGCCCTGAACAAGCTCTCTTTTTTCCTGCCGTCATCCATTTAAGATGTGACTTACTCCTCCTTACCGTCCGCCATGACTGTGAGGTCTCCCCAGCCACATGGAACTGTAAGTCCAATAAACCTCTTTCTTTTGTAAATTGCCCAGTCTTGGGTATGTCTTTATCAGCAGTGTGAAAACAGACTAATACACGATGGATACAGATACCTTGTTGTAGTTATTCCTTTATGTTTTATGTTCTTTGTTGCCTTTGTAAATATTTTTTTTTCTGCCTTTCATAGAGGATTTCTCTCTCATTTTGACCTCTAACTGGTTATTACTTGTATATATAAAGGCTATTATTCCTATATGTTCATTTTATATTGTCTTACTGAACTTTTTTATAGTTTGAGTTAATTTTTATCATTCATTTTTTTCTAGAATTATTTATGGTACTCTCATTTCATTTGGAAACAAGAGTTTTAATTCTTTGCTTTCAAATTCTTATTCTGTTATTTCTTTTGTCTAATAGCAGTTTCTTTTGTCCAGTTTGTCTTTTGTCTAATTACAGTGTTGAGCAGTAGTGGAGATAGTGGATAATCTTGGCTTGTTCCTTGTGTTAGTGGAATTGACTTTAGTACGTCCCCCATTAAGTAAGATACTGGCTTTTGCACTATATCTATTTTGTCATGTTAAGAAACTATCCATACATTTCTATTTTTTTAGAGTTTTTTCTTTTTAAAAAATGGATACGCAGTAACCATACATATTTATGGAGTACATATAGATATTTTAGTACATGCATACAATGTGTAATGATCAAATCAGGATAATTAGTTTATTCATCACCTCAAACATTTATCATTTCTTTGGGTTGGGAACATTAAAAATCCTCTCTTCTAGCTATTTTAAAATATACAATAGATTAGTGTTAGCTATAGTCACCCTACTGTGCTGTAGAACACTAGAACTTATTCCTCCTGTCTAACTCTGCAGCCTCTTTCTATCTTCTTTTCCCCTGCTCCTTCCTAGCCTCTGGTAACCATGATTCTACTCTTCTTCCATTAGATCAACTTATTTAGCTCTCACACATGAGTGAGAAGATGCAGCATTTGTCTTTCTGTGCCTGGATTATTTCACTTAACATAATGTTCTCCAGACTCATCCATGTATGCCTAATTGCTCTGATTAGGACTTCCTCTTAGAGTTTTATCAGGTGTGAGTGGGGAGTTTTGTTGAAAGCATTTCAGAAGATTGATGGAGTGATTATTTTTCCTCTTACATCTATTAATATGACATATAGTGTTAGTAGATTTTCTAATATTGAATTTACCTCGTGTTTCTGGAGTAAATTTCATATGGTTTTTTTTTTAAATTGTTGTATTCTTGGCAAAAAATAATAAAATATTATCATTTGGGGTCCATTTGTGATATTTGTCTGTAGTTATATTTTTTTGAACTGTCTTTTTCTACTTTGGGCATCAGTGTTATACTTGCTTCATTTAAAGAATTAGAACATTTTTATTCATTTTCAGCACTCTGGAACAATTCACAGATAATTGGAACTATCTGGTTTTTGAAGACTTAGAATTTCCCTGAGAACACATCTGGTCCTTTTGCTTTTTTGTGGGATGGTTCCTATATAAATTTCTGTATATGTTCTTTAGAAATTGGTCTGTTTAAGCTTTCTATCTCTAATTGGGGCAATTTTGGTAATCTGTATTTCTGTATGAAATTACCCATATCATCTTGGTTTTAAATATACAGTCATGCGTTGCATTTTCAGTCAGTGATGGACTGCATATATGATGGTGGTTTCATAAGATTATAATGGAGCTGAAAAATTGTTATCACCTGGTTATATCATAGCAATTGTAATGTTGTCACACAATGCATTACTGAAGTGTTTCCGGTGTTGCTGGTGTAAACAAACCTACTGTGCTGCCAATTGTGTAAAAGTATAGCACGTACAATCGTGTACATACATAATACTTGATGATGATAACAAATGACTATTTTACTGGTTTATGCACTTAATATGCTAAACTTTTATTATTATTTTAGAGTGAACTGTTTCTACTGATTAAAAAAAAAAAGTTAACTGTAAAACAGCCTCAGGCAGGTACTTCAGGAGGGATTCCAGAGGAAGTCATTGTTATCACAGGAAATCACAGCTCCAAGTGTATTATTGCCCCTGAAAGTCTTCTAGTGGAGCAAGATGTGGAGGTGGAAGACAGGGATAGTGATGATCCTGACCCTGTTCAGACCTAGGCTAATGTGTGTGTTTGTGTCTTCATTCTTAAGAAAAATGTTCAAAAGGTAAATTAAACGTTTTTTAAATAAAAAAAGGTTATGGAATAAAGATAAAATAAAATATTTTTGTACACCTGAACAATTTGTGTTTTAAGGTAATCGTTATTATGAGTCAAAACGTTAAAAAGAAAAAGTTTACAAAGTAAAAAAGTTATAGTAAGCTGTTTAGTTTATTATTGAAATATATAATTTTTAATAATTTTAGTGTAGTCTAAATGTACAGTGTTTATTGTACATTTTAGTGTTATGTCCTAGGCCTTCACATTCACTCAACACTCACCCACTGACTCACGCAGAGCAACTTTTAGTCCTGCAAACTCCGTTCTTGGTAAGTGCCCTAGACAGGTGTACCATTTTAAAAAAGTCGGCCGGCACAATGGCTCATGCCTGTAATCCCAACACTTTGGGAGGCCGATGCGTGCGGGTCATGAGGTCAGGAGATCGAGACCATCCTGGCTAACATGGTGAAACCCCATCTCTACTAAAAATACAAAAAGTTAGCCAGGTGTGGTGGCAGGCGCCTGTGGTCCCAGCTACTCAGGAGGCTGAGACAGGAGAATGGTATGAACCCGGGAGGTGGAGCTTGCAGTGACCCAAGATTGCGCCACTGCACTCCAGCCTGGGTGACAGAGCGAGACTCTGTCTTAAATAAATAAATAAATAAATAAATAAATAAATAAATAAAATAAAATAAAATAAAAAAGTCTTTTATGCTGTATTTTTGTATGTTTGGATATACAATACTTACTACTGTGTTACAGTTATCCACAGCATCTAGTGTAGTAACATGCTGTATGGGTTTGTAGCCTAGGAGCAATAGTCTGCAACATATAATGGCCTAGGTATATAGTAGGTTATACCATCTAGGTTTGTGTAAGTACACTTGAGGAATGATGAAATTGCCTAATGACGTATTTCTTGGAAAGTATCTCCATCATTAAGTGACACATGACTGTATTTGCATAGAAGTCTGCAAAAGTGACCTCTTATGACTTTAAAATAATTTCTTCTGTTTTTATTATTATTTATGCCTTGTTTTTTATTTGATAATTTTTTTTGTGTGTGTGTGTGATAGAGTCTTGCTCTGTTGCCCAAGCTGGAGTGCAGTGGCGCGATTTTGGCTCACTGCAACCTCTGCCTCCCAGGTTCAAGCGATTCTCCTGCCTCAGCCTCCCTAGTAGTTGGGATTACAGACACCTGCCACCAGGCCTGGCTAATTTTTGTATTATTAGTAGAGATGGGCTTTCACCTGTTGTCCCGGCTGGTCTTGAACTCCCGGCCTCAGGTGATCCACCTGCCTCAGCCTCTCAAAGTGTTGGGATTACAGGCGTGAGCCATCGTGCCTGGCTAAATTTGTTTTGTTTTGTTTGTTTACTTTGCTTTTTTCATTTTTCAACGAAGGCTTTATTTTTTTTTAGATGGAGTTTTACTCTTGTCGCCCAGGCTGGAGTGCAATGGCACGATCTTGCCTCATTGCTGCCTCCACCTCCCAGGTTCAAGCGATTCTCCTGCGTCAGCCTCCCTAGTAGCTGGGATTACAGTCATACCCCACACCAGGGTAATTTTTGTATTTTTAGTAGAGACAGAGTTTCTCCATGTTGGCTAGCCTGGTCTCAAACTCCTGACCTCAGGTGATCTGCCCACTTCGGCCTCCCAAAGTGCTGGGATTACAGGTGTGAGCCCCCATGCATGGCGAGAGCTAAGTCTCTAATTTATCTTTTATTCTTGCATTTTTACTGCTAAGTTTTAGTAATATGAATTTTTCTCTGTTTACTGTTTTAAATCCTAGAGATGCTGATGCATAGTGTGCTCAATATCACTAGTTTTTAGAAATCTTCTAATTTAGGTTTTTATTTCTCCTTTCACCCAAAAGCTGCTTAAATTTTTTTATTTCTAATTTTATTGCAATGTGATCAGAGTTATTTTTAATTTTTCTGCTTTAAAGAGCTTCCTGATGTCCTTTATTTGTGATTTATCATTTTGTGAATGTTCAATGGGTGCTTGAAAAGAAGGTGTATTCTCTTCTCTGTTATTAGGTAGTAACACTGAATCTAGATTAAGATCTGTGTTGTTTTTTTTTTTTGACTCTATTTAAGTCTTTGTACTATCATTGCTTGAGTCTTGTATGGAGAATGTATAGGTCTGTTATTGTGAATGCATTTCTTCTTGCAGCCTCAGGTTGGTTTTATGTTATTTGGTGCATAGGTATCTATAGATGTTCTAATTTTATTGTCAGTTGTGTCTCTAAAGTGTTCTTCTTGGGCTGGGCATGGAAAAAACAAAAGTGCTTTTCTTTTCATATTTATTCAATTTTGGCTTGGATTATTCTTTGTATGTTACTCCTTTGTCTCTTTTTAATTTTAGTCATTCTGAATTATTTAGCTTTAGGCATGTTTCTGGTATGTGGAATAGAATTGGGTGTTGCTTTGTGAACCACATTTAAAATCTTTTTCTTTTAATAGGTGAGTTAAGCTTCTTTACAGTCAGTAAGGCTTCACTTAATGTCCTGGATAGATTCTTGGAAACACAGTTTTAAGTGAAATGAATTACTATATGTTGTAGGAACTTAACTCTTGCTCATATCAATTAACCTATGGTAAATTGTTTCTTTATACTACAGTTGTTTCGCTTAAACTTGTGGTTTCCAAGAACCTATTGATGGCATTAAGTGAGGACTTACTGTTTGATGTGACTACATTGTTTGGTCTCTGCTCTGTTGTGATGTTTTAAAATTATATATATTATTTTTTATTTACTATGTTTCTTTGTGACATGTGTTTTTTTCTTTAAATAAATAAAGTGTTATTTAGGAAGTTGCATATTTTGAGTGGTTAACTTTTCATTTATAACTTCTAAATGCCTGTAGTTTCATTGCCTATGTTTTTGTTTTTGTTTTTGAGACAGGGTCTTCCTCATACCCAGTCTGGAGTGCAGTGTCATGAGGCATGGTTGTAGTTCATTGTAACCTGAAACTCCTGGGCTCAAGGGATCTTCCCACTTCAGCCTCCCTAGTATCTATGACTACGGGAGTGTGTCACCACACATGGCTAGATTTATTTATTGATTGATTGATTGTAAAGACTGGGTCTCACTATGTTGCCAAGGCTGGCCTCAAACTCCTGGCCTCAAGCAACCCTCCTCCTGCCCTGGCCTCCCAAAGTGTTGGGATTATAGGCATGAGCCACTGTATCCGGTTTCCATTGCCTGTTTAAACATTTACCATCTACTTTGTCAGTGTTCAATAGTATCCTTTTATTCCTGACTTTTGCCAACCAAAGAATGTGTTTTACTTTCTGATTTTCTCACCCTACACATTTTTCTGCATTATTTCTATTTATTATAACATTTGTACATTGACCTACTTTTTTCCTACTTTTGTGCATTGCTACAATGCATAGCATTTGTACATTCATCTTTGGCTTTTGACAATTAATATTCCCCCCTGTATTTTAGTTTTAGATCTACAGTTATGTAGCAATGAGCTCATTATCAGTCCTTTTGCTGAAATTTCCCCAGACCTCTCTTGGTTGCATGAAGCTCATCCTGTTTTATTTAGATTCTTCAAGAGGGGATTATGGATTCTTGTGTGTTAAAAACTTTTTATATAGCCTTGAAACTTGAAGGATACCTTGGTTGTTTTTAAAATTCATTATTCATACTTTTATTGAATTTCTAAAAAATGCTTTTCCATTGTTGCATTATATTTTGTTTTAGACAACTCTGATGCCAGTTGAATTTATTTGCCTTCGTTCATTATTTTATCTTTTATGCCTAGTAGCCTTGGACACTTTTTCTTTGTTTTTGAAGCCTAAGGGTTTATTAGGATGTGTCTTGGAGTTGACTGTTCCAAGTAAATTCTCCCAGGTACTGGTTGACCCTTTTAATATGCAGATTCAAGTTTTCTTGAATTACAATCTTAAATATTGTTTCTATTTATTTTTATTTCTTTTTTAAAATTTTTTTGCTGGGACTCTAGTTTTATCAACGTTATTTTTTTCTTTTTTGCTTTCTGATTCCATCACTTTCTCTTTGACTTTTAATTTTTTTTAATTTTTATTTTTTTCTGAGACAAGCTCTTGCTCTGTTGCCCAGGTTGAAGTGTAGTGGCGTAATCTTGGTTTACTACAGCCTCCACCTCCCAGGTCAAGTGTTTCTTGTGCCTCAGCCTCCTGAATAGCTAGGATTACAGGTGCCCACCACCATGCCTGGCTAATTTTTGTGTTTTTAGTAGAGACGGGGTTTTGCCATGTTGGCCAGGCTGGTCTCGAACTCCTGGCCTCAAGTGATCTGCATGCTTCAGCCTCCCAAAGTCCTGGGATTCCAGGCGTGAGCCACCACACCCGGTCTAATTTTGTTGAGTTTTAAAATAATTTTTATTTAGAATTTTATGTAGGTGTTTTTAAACATATGACATTATATTTGAAATTTCTTACAAATATTTAGTAAAGGAAGGAAAACTAAAGAAGAATTTCCTGACAATAAAGCGCTGTTAGCAATGTTTGATTCCTTACATTCGGTGCTCAAACCATTACTATTCTAGGACTGGTCCTTTTTAAGGATGGTTGAAACTAGGACAGATTGTCACTTGTCTGGAATTGTTCTTTCTATAAGCAAGACTTTATTAATACTGAATGTTATCTCCCTCTGTCTCTGTCTGTGATTCTCTTGAAAGTGCTTCATTCTGACTGAAGGAAAACTTTTGCTTTCTGCATGGAGCTTTGTATAGAAACCCGGCACGACAGGGCACTTTCGGGTCATGCCTTGAGTCTTAAGAAATATTGAAAAATATAATCTAACAATGATGCTTCTGTTCAGCAAGGCAAGGAATTTATAACAGGGCAAAACTGAAACCTGTTTCTTGTTTGCTAGCCCATAAGGAGGCAGCTTGTTTTTATCATCAGTTTCCTGACATCAGGATGTGACTTCGAGAAGAGGAAAATAACACTTATTGGCATCAAAGATACTAAAGTATTTAATGCCTTAAATGAATAATCAGTATATGTGAACAATGAAAACACAGATGAGGAAGGATACCCAGTTTCAGTTTCATCTGTTGTATCATGTTAGTTGGAGATATTTAGCTTAAGCCTCTTCCCTGTTGGTCCACTTTACCCTAGTTGTTTCACTGTTGTGAATGCATTTACAATTATTTTAAAAGATGGCCTCATTCTGTAGGTGAATCCCTGTAAAGAACATTGTAGAAGGTTATTATAACAACTCCTAAGCATAAGCTGGAGTCTAAAATGTTTCTAGGCAGCAACAGTCATATGTATGCTTGACCTTTGGGAGATCTGGTTCTTTCCTGTTGCTTGTTTTTACCCTGGCACTGTCACCCACTTGTGCCCAGGCTAGTTTCAACCACTGTTTGCCTGAGCCTACATTTTGTGTTTTTTTCCATTTTAGCATGTTTTACAAATTTATTGAATTACACTTTGTACCAGGTATTGTGTTAGGGGGCAGGTATAAAAGCAGAGTTCTCATCTGTTATTTGATAGGAAAGACAGTGTGACTGTTATCAGTTTACTTATTCTCAGCCTGCAGCCCAGCCTTGTTTGCCTTGCCTTGGGTGACATAACTGGACTCTGTAATAGCTGTTCTTTGTCAGCTGCTATAATGTTAGTAGATGGTCTTGGTGGGGAATTGCAAAGTGGTGGCAGCAGGAAAGCACTTGTCTTCTGGGTTCCAGTTTTCCTCCATTTTTAATTCACTCCAGAAGCGAGAGATGGGTGCATGGAAGGCCTGGTGGAGCTCATAGGATAGTATCGATACTGCCTCCTTTCCCATGACATTACAGACTGTCTTAGTTTGCTCAGGCTGCTCTTACAAAATACCATAGAGCAGGTGGGTTATAAACGACAGAAATTTAATTCTCACAATACTGGAGGCTGGGAATTCCAAGAATAAGACGCCAGCAGATTTGATGTCTAGTGAGAACTCACTTCATGGTTCATAGATGGCAAGTTATAGCTGTGTCCTCACACAGTGGAAGGGGCAAGGCAGCTAGCTTTATGGGGTCTCATTTATAAGGGCACTATCTCATTAATGAGGGTCCCACCCTCATGACCTAATCACCTCTCAGGAGCTCCATGTCCTAATATCACATTGGTGATTATATTGTAGCATATGAATTTGGGGGGGACACAAGCATTCAGACAGTAACACAGGCCATCTCCCTCAAGAAACCCTGGTTCTAGCTGTAATAGTCTGTACTTATCTGATCTGCCGTTCCTTCTCTGCCTAGATGACATTTATTAAAATATCTTTTATTATCTAACAGCACTTCCCTCTTGCAGTCTTCCTTAAACATCAGCCTGTATTAGTCTGTTCTCACACTGCTATAAAGACATACCTGAGACTGGATAATTTATGGTGAAACGAGGTTTAATTGACCCAGGGTTCCACAGCTGGTATAGGAAGCATGGCTGGAGAGGCCTTAGGAAACTTACAATCATGGCAGAAGGTGAAGAGGAAGCAGGCACAATCTTCACATGGCAGGGCAGGAGGAGATGGGAGTGCTACACACTTTTAAACAATGAGATCTCGTGATAACTCTATCAGGAGAACAGCAAGGGGGATGTCTGCCCCCATGATTCGATCACCTCCCATCAGGCCCCTCCTCCAACAACGGGAATTACAATTTGACATGAGATTTTGGTGGGGACACAGAGTCAAATCATATCACAACCCAAGTTAGATTTCCCAACTTGAATTCCTTTAAAGCATCTGAGATTTACTATAGCTGTGCTATTCTATTAGACTGCATTATAATTTTTAGTTGGCTTGTGTTTTTCCTTCTGAACTGTGAGCTCTTTTTAATTTCAATATCACTAGTGCTAAGTAACATAACCTCTCAGATGCTTACTGAATTGATTTAAATCTTCTATTTACTTTTTCCTTCCACTTAAAATAGTAGCTCTTTTCTTTTTCTTTCTTTTTTTTTTTTTTTTTTAGAGACAGGGTCTTGCTATGTTGCCTAGGCAGGAGTGCAGTGACTTTCACAGGTGCAAGCATAGCACCCTGTAGCCTTGAACTCCTGGGCTCAAGAAGTCCTCCAGCCTCAGCCTCCTGAGTAGCTGGAACTACAGGTGCACACACTGTGCCTGTCTTATATTTTATTGAGTAATGTGTTAGGTACTTTTATATACTTTGTCTAGTTTAATCCCACTGGAGCTTAGGAAACAAGTTTAGAGGAGTTAAGTATCTTGCCCCCATGTTTATATAGCTAGGAAGTTAACATAGTTCATTTTAAAACCTGGGTCATTCCTGCTCCTATTTATCTTCTCAAATATTCAGAAGATGTTAAAAAGTAACCAGGTTTTTGGAAGATAGCTATTTTGTTTCTTATTTTTATTGTGTTAATATAGATCCATTAGAGTACCAGAGTAATTCAGCATTTGGTTTAAAAGTCTTGGCTTTACTTATATTGAGAGATTCATTAGCAGAAAATTACTTATTGATAGTGTCTTATCCTCTTCAAAATCGGAATTAACAAAATGATTCTTTTATTTCTCTCACAGTGATTTTTTAAAATAGATTTTATTTTTTAGAGCAGGTTTAGATTCACAGCAAAATTGAGAGGAAGGTACAGAGATGTTCCATATATCCCCTGCCCCCACATATCTGCAGCCTCTCCCATGATCAGTATCCCCCATCAGAATGGTACATTTGTTACAACTGATGAACCTACGTTGACACATCATTATCAATCACCCAGAGAATGTAGTTTACATTAAAGTTGACTTTTGGTATGGTATTTTCTATGGATTTTGACAAATGAATAATGACATGTATCCACCATTATTGTATCATACAGAGTAATTTCACTGCCCTTAAAATCTTTGCCCTGCTTATTCATCCCAAACTCTTAGCATCCACTGATGTTTTGATTGTCTCCACTGTTTTATATTTCCCCAGATATCAGATAGTGGGAGTCATATAATTTGTAGCTTTTTTGGATGGGTTCCTTTCACTTAGTAATATGCACTTAAGTTTCCTCTATATCTTTTCGCGTCTTGATGGCCCATTTTTTAGTGCTGAATAATATTTCATTGTCAGAATGTACAACAGTTTATCCATTCACTTACTGAAGGACATCTTGGTTGTTTCTAAGTTTTGGCAATTATGAATAAAGCTGCTTTAGGCCAGGTGTGTTGGCTCATGCCTGTAATCCCCGCACTTTGGGAGGCCAAGGTGGGTGGGTCGCTTGAGGTCAGGAGTTTGAGACCAGCCTGGCCAACATGGCAAAACCCTGTCTCTACTAAAAATACAAAAATTAGCTGGGCGTGGTGGCATGTGCCTGTATTCCCAGCTACTTAGGAGGCTGAGGCATGAGAATCACTTGAGTCCAGGAGGCGGAGGTTGCAGTGAGCCAAGATCGTGTCACTGCACTCCAGCCTTGGTGTCAGAGTGAGTCTCTGTCTCAAACAAAGAAAAAATGAATAAAGCTGCTATAAACATTGTGTGCAGTTTTTATATGGACATAAGTTGTCAACTCTTCTGGGAGGGCAAAAGGAAGGTAATTGCTAGATCTTTTGATAAGATATGTTTAGTTTCAGAGTATGTTCAGATTCTGTCAAACTGTCTTCCAAGTGACTGTATCATTTTGCATTTGTATCCACAATGAATGAGAGTTCCTGTTGCTCCGCATCCTTGCCAACATTTGGTGTTAGCAGTGTTCTGGATTTGGCCATTGTAAGAGGTTCGTAGTGGTATCTCATTGCTTTAATTTGCATTTTCCTGATGACATATGATGTGGAGCATATTTTTATATGCTTATTTACCGTTTGCATGTCTTCTTTGGAGAGGTGTCTGTCAAGGGCTTTACCCCATTTTTTAATCAGATTGTTTTCTTATTGTTGAGTTTTAATATTTCTTCATGTATTTTGGATTATAGATCTTTATCAGACATATCTTTTGCAAGTATTTTCTTTATTGCTTTTTATTTTCTTGACAATATCTTTTGCAGAGCAAAATTTTATAATTTTAATGAAATCCAGTTTATTGATTCTTGTGTTCATGGAGTGTGCCTTTTGTGTAATATCTAAAAAGTCATTGTCAAACCTAAGGGCATCTAGATTTTCTCCTATGTTATCTCCCAGGAGTTCTGTAGTTTTATGTTTTACATTGAGGTCTGAGCCATTTCGATCTAATTTTTGTCAAGAATGTAAGGTCTGTGTTTAGATTTGTTTTTTTAGCATGTGGATGTCCAGTTGTTCTACCACCGTTTTTTGAAGATGGTCTTTGTACCATCATATTGCTTTCGCTCCTTGGTCAAAGATCCGATGATTGTATTTTTGTGGGTCTATTTCTGGGCTCTTTGTTCTGTTCCATTGATCTGTTTGTCTGTTCTTTCATCAGTAGTACATTGTCTTGATTATTGTTGCTTTGCAGAAAGCCTTAAAGTTGAGTAGTGTCATCCTTCTGACTTTATTCTTCTCTTTTAATATTATGTTGGCTATTCTAGGTCTTTTGCCTTGCCATGTAAGCTTTCTAATCACTTTGTTGATATCCACAAAATAACTTGCTGGGATTTTGATAGGGATTGCATTGAATCTATAGATCAAGTTGGAAAGAACTGACATTTTTACAATATTGAGGCTTCCTATCCTAAATATGGAATATCTCTTCATTTATTTAGTTCTTTGATTTCATTCATTAGAGTTTTTTTAGTTTTTTAAAAAATTTTATTTTATTTTTGCTAGAACCATAGGCACACACCATCACAGTCTGCTAGTTCTTAAAACGTTTTTATAGAGATGAGGTCTCCCTTTGTTGCTCAGTCTGCTCTTGAACTTCTGAGTTCAAGTGATCCTCTCACCTTGGCCTCCCAAAGTTCTAGGATTACAGGCATGAGCCATCAAGCCTGGCTCTTGTAGTTTATTTTCTATAGATCATGTACCTATTTTGTTAGGGTTATTCCTTCATTTTGGGAGGTGCTAATGTAAATGGTATTGTTGTAAATTTCAAATTCCTCTTGTTCATTGCTGGTATTTGGAAAAGCAGTTGACTTTTATATATTAATTATGTATCCTGAAACCTTGCTAAATAGCTTATTTGTTTTAAGGTTTTTTTTTTTTTTGCCAATACTCTTGAGTGTTTTATGCAGACATTTATTTCATCTGCGAACAAAGACAGTTTTGTTTCTTCCTTCCCAATCAATATACCTATTATTTCTTTTTCTTGTCTTGTATTAACTAGGACAGGGTCCCCAACCCCTGGGCCATGAACTGGTACTGGTCTGTGGCTTGTTAGGAACCAGGCCGCATAGCAGGAGGTGAGCGGTGGGTGAGTGAGCCAAGCTTCATCTGTGTTTACAGCTGCTCCCCCTTGCTTGCATTACCACCTGAGCTCCGCCTCCTGTCAGATCAGGGGCAGCATTAGATTCTCACAGGAGCACGAACCCTATTGGGAACTGTGCATGTGAGGTATCCAGGTTGCCTGATGATCTGTCACTGTCTCCCATCACCCCCAGATGGGACCTTGTAGTTGCAAGAAAACAAGCTCAGGGCTCGCACTGATTTTATATTATGGTGAGTTGTGTAACTATTTCATTATATATTACAATGTAATAATAGAAATAAAGTGCACAATAAATGTAATGCGCTTGAATCATTCTGAAACCATCTCCCACCCAATCTGTGGAAAAATTACCTTTCCCTCGTGCCAAAACGGTTGGGGGCCACTGAACTAGGACATCCAGTATGATATTGAAAAGGAGTGGTGAGGGGACATTTTTGTCTTTGTTCGTGATTTTAGTGGGAAAGCTTCGAGTTTCTCACCGTTAAGTATGATGTTAGCTATAGATTTTTGTAGTCTTTTTAACTAGTTGAAGTTACTCTATATCTCGTTCACTGAGATCTTTTATCATGAATGGGTTTTGGATTTTGTCAAGTGTGTCTGTCAATAGATGCAGAAAAATCTATTGCTATGATTATGTGATTTTTCTTCTTTAGCCTGTTGATGTGATGAATTACATTAATTGATTTTCAAATGTTGAACCAGCCATGCAATCAGAGGTAAATCCCAGTTAGTCATGGTGTATAATTCTTTTTATACATTGTTATATTTGATTTTCTATGGATGATTTTATATCTATGTTCATGATAAATATTGGTCAATAGTTTTCTTGTGTTGTCTTTGTGTGGTTTTGGTATTAGGATAATGCTGACCTCAGAATGAGTTAGGAAGTATTTCCTCTTGATTCTAATTTCTGAAAAAGTTATGGAAAATTGTCATAATTAAAAAAAATATGGTAACATTCACCAGTGAACCAATCTGGGCCTGGTGCTTTCTGTTTTAGAATGTTGCTAATTATTGATTCAATTTATTTAATAGATATAGGCCTATTCACATCGTCTTTTTCTTCTTACATGAGTTTTGTAGATTGTTTTTCAAGATTTGGTTCATTTCATCTGGGTTATGAAATTTGTGATTTGTTAGATCAATCAGGGATAAGAAAATTAAAAAGTTATTTTACTTTTATTCTTTTATCAATCTTTTTTTCTTTTCTTTGTTTTTCATATTTTATTTTATTTTGTTTTTTGAGGTGGGGTCTTACTCTGTCACACAGGCTGGAGTGCATGGTCACAGCTCACTGCAGCCTCGACCTCCTAGGCACGGGTGATCCTCCTGAGTAACTGGGACTGTAGGCACTCACCACCACATGCAGCTAATTTTTCTATTTTTGGTAGAGAGGGGATTTTGCCATGTTGCCCAGGCTGGTCTTGAGCTCCTGGGCTCAAGTGATCTGTCTGCCTCTGCCTACCATAGTGCTAGGATTATAGGCATGAGCCACCTTGCCCTGCTTCTTTCTCTAGATCCAAATTTCTGACCTACATCATTTTTATCCTATGTAAAGGATTTTTTTTTTTAATTTCTTGCAAGGTAGATCTACTGGCAAAAAAATCTCTCAATTTTTGTTTGTTTGAGAAAGTATTTTTCCTTCACTTTTGAAGAATGATTTTGCGGGTTACAGAATTCTATGTTGTTGTTTTTTCTTTTTTTTTATCAACACTTTATTTTACTTTACCACTCGCTTGTATGGTTTCTAGCAGAAGTAAAATGTAATTCTTATCTTTGCTTCTGTCTAGCTAAGGGTTATTCCCCCCTCACCCCCCACCTCTGGCTTCTTTCAGGTTTTTTTCTTTATCTTTGACTTTCTGTAGTTTGCATATGTCATGCATAGGTATAGTTTTTTTGGTTTTTATCCTGCTTGGCATTCACAGTCTCCTGAATCTTTTGATTGGTATGTGGCATAAAGTTAGGGAAATTTTCAGTGATTACTGCTCTGTATATTTCTGCTGTTCCTTTATCTTCTACTTCCGCTTCTAGTATTCTATCACATGTATGTTACACCTTTTGTAATCATCTCATTGTTCTTGAATATTCTGTTGAGAGGTTTCTTTCGTTTTTTTTTTGTTTTTAGTCTTTTTTCTTTGTGCTTTTCAGTTTTGTACATTTCTATTGTGATATCTTCAAGCTCAGAGAGAGTCTTTGCTCAGCCATGTCTAGTCTACTAGTAAGCTTGTCTAAGTCATTCTTCATTTCCGTTAGTGTTTTTGATTTCTCTTATATGTTTTTTGTTCTGTTTTAGAATTTCTTTTTGTCTGTTTACATTGCCCTTCTTTTCTTACATGCTGTCCATTTTTTCCATTGGCACCCATAGCATGTTAATCATTGTTGTTTTAAATTCCCAGTCTGATAATTCCCACATTCTGCCATATCTGAGTCTGGTTCTGATTCTTGCTGTCTCTTCAAATTGTCTTTGATGCTTTTAGTACACCTTGCACTTTTTTCTTGCTATCTAGACACGAAGTACTGAGAAACAGAAACTGGTATAAATAGGTCTTCAGTGATGTGGTATTAAGGTGTTGGGGGAGAGGGAGTGTTCTGTAATCCACTGATTAGGTCTCAGTCCTTTAGTAAGCCTGTGCTTACTGTGATCCTCACAAGTTCTTCTTAGTCCTCTCCCCTTCAGGAGGGACTAGAAAGCTAGACTTGGCTGGAGCTGGGCATTTGTTTTCACCCAGGTCATTTAGGCTCTGGTGACACCCCAGCAGGTTAGGCTGTAGTTAACTAGTTTTTCCTGAGAGCAGACTTTAAGAACAGAGTACTCTGGTGAGTTTCCATATAGTTTCTTTTACCTTTCCCCTACTGGAAGCATGAGGGGATTTTGCTCCAGTATTCACTGTGAGAACCAGGTCAAGCTCCTGGAGGTAAAAATTCACGCAAGTATGGGGCCCCAGTGACTGAGTCATCCTGGAGTTTTTAACTTTACTCTAAAAGTTGTCCACACTGAGCCTCCAGCAATACATAAATTACAGTTTAGATTTTCCTACCCTAACACTCGTTCCCGTGGAGGTTTGTGGTTTTCTGCTCAGGCAAATTGTGATTTTTGGTATCTGCCAGTTGGTGTCTCCAATATTAGGGGCAGTGATTTGCCTGGTGACCTCAATTCTCTTACATATCTAAAAAGAATGATTTGTTAGTTTGTTTAGTTTTTTCACTTGTTGGTAGGATGGAATAGCAACTTCCAAGCTTCTCAGATGCTGAACTGGAAACCTGAAGTCCCCACAACCATTTTTAGGGGCAAAACTGTAATGTTCATTTCATGAGTATTATATATAATTTCCACCTAGAGGTAAATGGTGTTTTTGTTATTACTGGTTGTTACTTGTTAAAGGTTTATGTTGTGGTTTTCAAAGAAATTTCATGTATCTGTGCTCTAATTTTCTTTATGGAAAAATGGACCAAAAAAATAGAGAGGTATTTAATTGCAATGAATGGGTGCCATTTACCCCTCCCTGCAAAAAGAACATTTCAGAATCATTCAGAATTGAATGATAAGAAATTCTGTTTTTATTGTATAAGGCTTATGGTGGTCTTAGTGTTACAGAATAGCTAACTTTTTGAAATTTCATTGTTTGTTAATCCATGGATTTTTAAAATCATTTTGCCTCCCAATTATGAAAAATAACTTTCACATTGTAGACCATTTGGAAAATACAATTTAAAAGTCACCTGTATCTCCTTGTGTAATGGTTACCATAGTTAACATGCTAGCATATGACTTGCCAATCTTTTTTCTGTATTGGATTCTCTTTTACTTACATGAAATTATATCGTACATATTTTTGTATCCTACTTTTTAAAAAACACATGTGTTTAATGAGGTAATTTTTTAAATGGCTATGTAATATTTCATTTTATGGATATACTATAAGTTGTATATATTTTTTGGCTGAGTACTTAGATTTTATCCAATTTTTTATTCAGTAGTATAAATGTATTATAACTGTCAAATAAATGAACATCTTTGGGTGTAAGTCTTTACCTTCTTTTTTGGTATTGCATTTTAAAAAATGTAGATCTAGTTGATGAAGGTGGAATTTTCGGTCACAGAATGAGCATTTTACGAACTCCAGACATATTTTTCAACACTGTTCTCTAGAGAAGAGATATCCATTAGCCTTACTACCGCAGTGTGTGAGAATGAGGGAGACACACCCCTGCCACTTGTGCTTTTAGTATTTCCAATTTTAGTTTTGCTAATTTAATGGAGATTGGGATGACAGCTCATTGTTTTAATATATTTTCTTTGATTATAAACAAAATAGAATTTTTTTTATATTTTTTTGATTATTTACTATTTATATTGTCTTTATTATAGACTTCATGTTTTTCACGTATACTTATATGAGTTTCTTGTATATTAAGAATTAGCTATAAGGGAACTGTGGAAGTCAAGACTACTTTACCATGTTCATAAAAACTGATAAAAAATGAATATAACTTTCAGATCTTGAGAGCGGATTTTACAGATGTCATGTGAGTTCATTGAGTAATATTCTTATGTACCACTACTGACTGCTTGGGACTTTATTACTGTAAATAGGAAAAACAAAAAATTAAGATTCTGATATGCTAATTATTTTGCTTATATGGTGGTGAATATACTTTTAAAATGAAACATGTATTGCATGCAACAATACTATTTTGGTAGATTTTTAGAAAAGCAGGTATTATTACAGGTAATAGGCAATAATGACTTCGAAGGTCTTAGGGACTATGAGTAGGTAAACACTTTATGACCACGACCCCACAAACACCCCGCAGGAGATTATGTGGCTGCCATTTGTAAACGGCCATTCATTGTCCTGTCTCTTGCCTTTGGCTCTTTCCAGTTTTTCTTCCCAAATCTTTGGACTAGTTCCTGCAGAAAATATGAATTCACAGTGGTGCCCTCTGGGCCTGGGCATCTCTGGGCCGGCAGACCCTGAGCAGCGACTGCTGCTGAGAGCAGGTGTGTGTACAGATGGCATGGTGGGGCCAGCCTGCCTTCTGCTTGGTGATGTTGGAGAGGGTGATTGATAATAGAGCTTACACCGAGTAATGGTCTGAGGCAAGGCGAGCATGAGTGCCTGGCTAAGTGAAAGTCATCGCTGGCAGAGTGGATATGTACACTTAATTTAGTCTGTAGTTTTATTAAACTTCCTTATTAGAGGAGGCCTTATTTTCTTATTAACCAGAGGTCTCCATGCTGGCTGTTTCATCTTGTTGCCTCCTCTCTTACCGTGTATCCTCTCAGGGAGGTGAGGATAATTGAGAAAGGGCTAAAAACAGCTCTCCCGAGTTTGAGAAGGTTTTCAGTTGTCAATGCTTACATAATTTAGAGAGGACTCCAAAGCATTGTGAAAGAAAGCTCATTATGCGTCTCAGTCTCCTTCCTTGTCTTTTCTTGTAGTTGTCTCCATAGTGGGATGTACATATCCCTAGGCTAGATTTGGAGTTGGGTGAGAAGAAAATATTAAAAACTTCATTTTTATTTCATTCTTTTTTATTTCCCATTCTTTTTCATTTCTATTTTATATATGTTATGTAATATACACAACCAATTTTTCTACAGTAAAGTATGTATATAATTTATAAGCAAATATACATAAATTTGGTGGTATGCACAAAAGTTTTTAATTTTTAAGTTTTCGCAGTGTGCAGTTTAAAAATTTTGTAGAACTTTTGTCTTATAGGATTTGTTGTATAGGCATGGCAGCTTTTGCTTACCCTGAATACTAAGACATTTTGACATTTACATAAGATTACTATCTACCAATTGGAGTGTTTTTCTCCCCCCTCTGAGTAAATCAGGCTTAATAGAGTACATATGAAGGGCATAAAGTCAAGGGCAATTCTCACTATTTCTTTGCCAGGATTTTAAACTGAAGTTAAACATGTCAAAATGACTAAAGATTTAGAGATGATTGGTAGAGAAGTGTTCTCAGTTTGTTACTCAACCTCCAAGTTAATGTGGAATTTTATAACTGTTTTAGTCAGCTTTCTGTTGGGAGCTCCAAACATCATAAAATCTTGTGAATTCTGCCTACTACTAATCAATAAGTGAAATGATAGTAATTATCTCTGGTTTTCTTCATTTTTATATGCTTTGACAATAATGTTTAAAACCATTCTGGGCTTTGATTTGGGATTCCACAGAATTTTCTTCTGGGTCACAGAGGGGGTTAATTATTTCTAGAACTCTGAAATTTTGTGATTCTTGTGGTTCAAAATCACAAAAACCAAAGTGAAATCATGGTAGAAAGCTTGATGGTGGGGAATATCAGCTATGGAAAGTAACAGTAATTATCAGTTTTGTACTTTTTTTCTGGAAAATATTATCTTTTGAGGCTTCATTTAATATTTTTCTTTATCAGCCCAGAACATTAAAAAAAAACCCTAACCTACTGGAAAAATTTGGTAAGCCAGTGCTTTGAGTGGTCACAATGTAGAGAAAATGAGCATTGTCATGTAGTAAAGTTAAAAGACAGTTGTGGCCGGGTGCGGTGGCTCACACTTGTAATCCCAGCACTTTGGGAGGCCGAGGTGGGTGGATCACGACGTGAGGAGATCGAGACCATCCTGGCTAACACGGTGAAACCCAATCTCTACTAAAAAAAAATACAAAAAATTAGCCGGGCATGGTGGCAGGTGCCAATAGTCCCAGCTACTCGGGAGGCTGAGGCAGGAGAATGGCGTGAACCTGGGAGGCAGAGCTTGCAGTGAGCCGAGGTTGCGCCACTGCACTCCAGCCTGGGCAACAAAGCGAGACTCTGTCTCAAAAAAAAAAAAAAAAAAAAAAAAAAAAGACAGTTGGGGCTTGCACATGAGTAAGGGACAGGATCTCAGCTCTCTCTGTGGTGGGTGGTTCTTCACAGTCTAAGAAGGCCTCTCACTTTTTTCTTCCATCTTTGTTTCCTTTTCAAATATTTAATGTGTAGAAATTTTTATTGCCCTTTCTGCTTAGTCAGAAATACTAACCATTGTTGAAACTTGTAACCATTTCTGATAATTTGCCCAGTTGAAATAAGATAATTCTTTTATTCAATTCCAGGACTCTGAAATCCTCTGAGACCAAACTTATAGAACTGTCAGTTGTCTGGACTTTTTGTGTGCATTTTATCAAGAGGGAGAAGAACAGTTACTTTCTCCCTTCCCTCAAAACAGGGCAAATGACAGAATTCTATTTCCAGATAGATATGTTTCTTTCAGGGACAAATGTCCTATATTTAGTTCTTTTTAGTTAATATACTTTATATTAGCCAATGCCTAGCACTGCACACAGCAGCAGCCTTGCTTTCTCGCCTATGGCTTTCTGAAAGTTGAGACCACAGAAATACTTTTGCCTTTCCTTGTCATGTCTTATCCACTTAATGAGAATAACTGAAGTAATACTAAAAGCTTTCATAAGACCTGGTTAAACTTGACCTTGAGATTGCTTCACTCAGAAAAGTTCTTAGTTTAATTAACAAGTAACTGATAGGAGTCATGCTTGGCATGGGTCTTCTTGAGAACTTGCCAGCTACTTTTTTTTTTTTTTTAAGACAAGATCTCTCTGTGTCACCCAAGCTGGAGTGCAGTGACATGATCATGGCTCACTGCAACCTCGATCTCCCAGGCTCAGAGGATCCTCCCACTTCAGCCTCCCGAGGAGCTGGGACCACTGGCACACACTAACACACCCGGCTAACTTTGTGTGTGTGTGTGTGTGTATGTGTGTGTGTGTGTGTGTGTGTGTGTGTGTATGTAGGTGGTTGGTATAGAAGTGTTCTCAGTTTGTTACTTAACCTCCAAGTTTATGTGGAGTTTTATAACTATCTTTATAAACAAACAAACAAACAAACAAACAAGCAAACAAACAAACGTATTTTTTGTAGAGACAGGGTTTCACTATGTTGCCCAGGCTGGATCTCAAACTCCTGGGCTCAAGCAGTCCTCCTGCCTCGGCCTCCCAAAGTGCTGAGATTACAGGCATGAGCCACTGTGCCTGGCCCCTGCCAGTTACTTTTATTAAAGTCACAGTGTTCTACTCTGGATCTAGGGAGACCCCCTTTGGTTCCACAGAAGGAGAAGAATGGGCATCTCTACCTGTGCATCAGGATGTCATTTTTTTGAGTTGCGTAGAGAAGGTTCTACTCCCACAGCTTGCATATTGTCCATGTCTGTATTAATCTTGTTATGAGGCATCAACTCAGCATGGGTAATAGGTAGTTACATTAATGCCAGGGCTCAAGGAGTCCCACCCATTTCTTTCACCAAATAGCCCACGAAAGTGATGAGAGATAGGATGACCACATATATACCGTAAACACCAGAATGAAGGCCTTTGTCACTGCTTTCCCCCTCAGTGAAAAAGTAGGAAATGTTTTTAAGTCCCTGCTGTTGTTTGAATATTTGATTCTCCAAACCTCATGTTGAAATTTGGTTCCTAATGTTGGAGGAGGGGCCAAATGGAGGTGTTTGGGTCATGGTCAGTAGCTCCCTACAGTCCTCACAGTAATGAGTGGGTTCTTGCTGTCTTAGTTCTGGAGAGAGCTAGTGGTTAAAAACAGCCTGGTACCCCCACATCTCTCTTGCCCTGTGACCCCTGCACACACTGACTCCCCTTCCCCTTCCACCATGAGTGCAGATTCTGGTGCCATGGGCCTTGTACAGCCTGCAGAACTATGAACCAAACAAACCTCTTTTCTTTATAAACTACCCACATTCAACTATTCCTTTATAGTGACACAGACTGACTGAGACAGTCCCTATTTAATGCAGTGCTGCTGCTTTTCCAGCCAGCAATTCTGAAAGATGTAGATCTAGTATACATATTTTAAGACTGTGTTTTTCTGGGAAAAACAAGTTGTCTATGGCCTTATGAACTGGATTTTCTCATGCTTCTAAACAAACTTTAGCGCTGATGGGAGTATCCAGAATTATTTCCTAAAAAATATCTAGGGCTTTTGGTCCATCAGCCACTGATAGTTTATTATTTGTTGGATGTCTGCCATATGTAGCCTCTCTTTTTGTTACACTCAGGGGAAGGTCTCACCATCAAAATCATTCTTTAGGACTGCTTAGGTTAGAGATCCAGCTAGATGCTCTGGATGGACATCATTTTCTCATATCATTTTATCTTTTAGAGAAATACACATCATTTTCTCCAGATATCAAGTTATAACAGGAAGAAGTGATATTTATACATTACTAGAGAGCTTCTGCTTGTTCATGTCTGGTAATTCATTTGCACCACTAGTTTCTTCATGCTTGGCATGGATCTGTTCCTGCTACTTCCATCATTCTTTTGTTTTATTCCTTTTTTTCTTTGGCCAGGCAGATATACTCTGGATTGTCAGCCATTCTGCAGAATGTTGAAGGCAGCCATTCTGGTTTTTATTGATTTTTTTGTTAATTGTAGTAAAATATACATAATATAAAATTTAACATTTTATCCATTTTTACCATTTAATCATTATTTAAGCGTATAGTTCAGTGTCAATAAGTATATTCACATTGTTATGTAACCATTACCATGATTTGTCTGCAGAGTTTTTTCATTATCCAAACTAAAACTCTGTACCCATGAAACAGTAACTCCCCATTCCTCCTTTCTTCCAATCCCTGGTAACGACGATTCTACTTTCTGCCTCTCTGAATTTGACTGTTCCAGATTCCTTTATATCAGTCGCCTTTCTATTTCACTGATATTTAAAAAATAGATTTGTAAAAGCCATTGCCACATTTCTTGAATGCATGGCTTAAGTTACCAGTTACATTTGCATTTCTTCTCTTAGCTGTTGTCCCAAAGGCATTCCACATTGGCCTGCTAGGCATAGGAGAGCAAAGCATGGGGAGACCCCAGAAATATGAGCCCTCATCCTTTTAATAAAGACTGATTTTAAGAAGTCGTCTAAAAACCAAGTCAACTTTCCCACCACATTTTTATATTGCTCAGTGGCAGTTACCAAATAGAATTTCGTGTTACTGGGCACTCCTAAGGTTCCAGGGCTCCAGAGCTTTTAGGGTTAGACTGTGAACTTTTGAAGAAATTAGGTAGCTAAGAGCACCTGAAAATATTTAGTGAAGGAAATGAAATCCATTCTTTAGAAAAAAATTAGAAGTTAGCCTAACAGTTAGCAAAGACAATTTCCTTTGGTTGTGTAAAACTAGAATACAGACTTTTTATTTTGAATTTCTTTTTATCTCTGTCCATGGGTTTATGCTTGGATTTGCAACAAACAACAACAAAAAACTGTTTGTATTTTTAATAGCTTTTAAAAAGTATTTTAACAAAAATATTTAAAATTTTACCAGGTATTGCTAAAAATTAATTCTTTGTAAGTTGTGTTAAATTGGAAGGTAGTATGGTAGAATAAGAATCACAGCTTGTAATTATATAGAATTTGAAGTAAAGCTGAGTAAATCTTTCATTAACTTTTTACAAGTAGCCTATGACCCTGTTTGCTGCTCATTTCTTTCCAGCTTTCCCCAGTTAGGACTTGATGCAAACAGTATGTGTTGAAGAATGTTTTGTATGACGTGTTCGGTAGTCATTTTTCATCATGTTCACTTGTAATGAATTTCAGCATTTTCCACATTGGCTCACGAAGATTAAAAAAAATCCTATGTGTTGCTTTACCACATACTTCACTACTGAGTGATAATCTGACCTTTGGGAGCATTGCTGGTCACTATATAGAATGATATTTCCTTGTTCTATTTCATTCAAAATGAAAAAAATCATTAGAGAGATGCAAAAGGAAGAAAATTGGCTGTTCTTTTCTAGGGCTGGATGTACTGGAAACTACAAGATGTCATGCAAAAACTAGTGTGAAGATCCTGTAAAACATGACTGAAATAAACTGATTTTTTAAAACAAACTTTATTGAGATGAGCAAACCATTAGTATTTCTAGGTAAAATGGTTTCAAATTAAAAAATGCATAGAGCATCATTGTTGGAAAATAATGGCTTCTTAAAGTTTTGGTTTCTGCTTTTGGTGAGATGTTTGAAATGTCAAGGAAATTGTATCTCCTACTAGTTAAGATTTTATCTGTTTTTGAAAGATAATGTGATAATAATGTGATAATTTAGATCAAAAGAGAAGGCCACTTTTTTTGGGAACATATACATTGTATAATTTAAGCAAAAACTTAATTAAGAAAAAAATCATTGGTGGACTTGATTTTTTCAGGACTCTGGTTCTTGATTATTTTTGAGGTACAGACCATTTTAATAATCTGATAAAAGCCATATACATCCTGTCCACCAAAAGGAAGCACATTCATAAACATGGCAAAAGTTTTCATACCGTTTCAATTGGATTTCTGGAAGGCCACCCATGGATGCAAAATTAGAAAATGTTTCTGTAGGGACTGTCATGAAATGACATAGGTAACTTTTGTCATTCATAATGGTTAGTTTCTGCCAAACAAGTTTCAGACGAGTGAGCTACTTTTCTACAAGACTCAGGCCCCATTCTGCTACACAAAGATGCCTAGTAATCATTGCTATCTCCTGGTATGGGTTTCTGATGAGAGTGTCCTGGGCTTTGTCTTTTTGACTGAAGTAATTGATTGCCCCTAGATCTGAAGTTTGAGTTACGTGCATCTCATTCTTTATGCACAAGTATTTTAAAGTAACTACAGACATTGTAACAGGAGATAATTTATATGCTTTATATCAGTGAGGCACCTTGTTTTATACGCAAATCCTTTTAATTATTTTCCTACCAATGGTGGGTTTTAGTCAGTTTTGTGATGTTCCAATGTATTCACATTGACTTTGTCTTATGGTAAGGTTTCCTGTGTATTGCAGTGTGTCTGTCTGTAACATAGTGGCTAGTCAATGAATTTTGGTTGAATGAACATTCAAAATCCCCACTGAACAAAATTTTAGACAACGTTTTGATTTTAGAATAATCTTCAACTTACAGAAAAGTTGCAAAAAAGTTGCAAAGAAACCTCTTACCCAGTTTCTCACTGTTGTTAAATAACATCCTACATTATTATGCTACATTTCTCACAACCAAGAAATTAACATTGGTACATTCCCGTTAACTCAATGCCACATTTTATTCAGATTTCACTAGTTTTCCCCTAAAGTCCTTTTTCTGTTCCAGTATTTCATCCAGGGTACTATGTTGCGCTTATCATGTCTTAGTCTTCTCTAGTCTGTGACAGTTTCTCAGATTATCTTTGTTTTTGATCCTTGGCAGTTTTGGGCTGGTCAGCTGTTTTGTAGAATGCCCCTCAGTTTGGGTTTGTTTGATAATTTTCTCATGTTGAGAGTTATGGACTTTTGGGGGAAGGCCACGGTGGTGAAGTGCCATTCTCATCACAGCATATCAGGGATACCTACTAAACAACTTTATTTTTAATATTTCAGTATCACAATGGAGAGACGGGAAGAGTAAGAAGGTAAAATTTAAAGGAGTCAGTCTTGTCATGGTAAAAATTGTGGTAAAGATAAGGTGAGGGAACTGAATCTAAAAGAATCATTTATATTTATCTGGGGGAATTCAGCCCTTGGTGTTCCTGTCAGTGACTCACTTTGGGTGTTTAAGAGTTGGTAGAATTTATTCTATTTAAATGATACAAATCAGACCAATGAAAAGGTCAGTGGTTCATAGATACACATCAAGGCAGAATTTACAATGATAAGTTTTAAAAACTCTCTTGTATAACCATTTTTTTAAAGTCAGAAAATTCTTAATTGTATTTTTCCCCTTTTCCTCTGTTTCTATATATTTTTCTTGACCTGTGTTCTTTTGCATTAGGATTTATGTTTTTCAAGTCCAGTTAAGGATATTGAGCAATATGTCAAAACATTTGTCACCTGAATGGTTTATCCCTTAATAAATGGCGAGGTGGTTTTGCAGACAGGTGACACACTTTAATGTATTACAGAGACCAGACTTGTTAGTTATTGATTCGTGATGAATAAATTACTGCCATTCTAATCATAAGAAAATTTCTTTTGGGGATAATTAATCAGATTCATGTGCTTCTTAAGCAGTGTAGCATTATCATCTTTTTTAGTTACAAGAATGAACCTGTCTGCCTCTGCCCTTGGTAAATTTAGGGCAGAGGCAGACAGGTTTCTAGGTTTGTATTTTGATCTTTATTTTTATTAAGCAGATGAGAAGCATACTCGCTTAAAAATTACTTCAAACTGCCTTTCCTGTTGAGTAGGTTTTGAACTACCTGCTTGACAGATGGTGTTAGAAGTAATTACTGAAATCATGTGTTTACCTGCTCATGGACATGTGTTCACCAGATGCACCCTGTTTACCCAGGGCTGCTGATTTCTTAAAGAAATATGCACCTTCTGGATAGAGTTGCATAACTTAGGAGAATAAAAGCTCGTCAAGCCGGAGCTCTCAATCTCTGCATGGCAGAATCAGCTGTAGCGAGAAGACCATTTACATTTCTTAATGAGTGGTCAATTTAGATCACAGAACCATGTACAGCATTATTTACCTTTCTTCTTTTGATTTACTTAGTAGTTTAATTTTACCTGTCTACTGAGTTATTTAACAGATAGCCTCCCAAATTGTTGACTAAATTGTAGCAGTAGTGACTAACCAGTCTTTTAAGATGATGGTGTTTTGGTTTATTATGTTATTTTTGAAAACATGTTTTTCAGAAGACATATTAAAAATGTACCCATCCCTCCCCGTTTCTAAATTCTGATTGTGGAGGTCCGGCTTTTGGATTAGGCATTTTTTTTTTTTAACACCTCATGAGTAATTCTTATGTTCATTAAGATGGAGAGTAGTTACTTTAATATTTTATTTACTAACTATCAAAACTGAATTTATTTTTTCCACCTTGCTTCTGTTTTATTCTGTTTTTTAAAAAGTTAAACTGATGAGCCAGGCATGGTGGCACATGCCTGTAATCCCAGCTACTCAGGAGGCTGAGGCAGGAGAATCACTTGAACCTGGGAGCCGGAGGTTGCGGTGAGCTGAGATTGCACCATTGCACTCCAGCCTGGGCAACAAGAGTGAAACTCCATCTCAAAAAAAAAAAAAAAAATAAATAAAAGTTAAACTGAATGATAGTGACTCCCCTAACATGTGTGCCTTAAATGTTCAATTTTGAAAAGGAGTACATTTAACTCTCTATAAACCTAGAGAAACAAGGAAAGTCATTGTTTCAGGATTTTGACAGGTGCAAAACTGTAAATAATTACAGGCCTGGGCAGAAACTAGAACAGAAGTTGCACAGCAGCTGGCAGGCCTGACCTGTGACAGGTCTGACCTGAGTTAAGTAGCCTAAATTTCATGGCAAGCTCAGATTTGTTTTATGGTATGAAATTCACCTTCTGCTACAGAAAGATTCTACTGATTGAGGCTAGATATTTGCCAAAAAGGGAGTAACATACAGAATATTGAGAAAGAAAACTGCCCACTGAGCCACCTCTTGTATGACTTCAGGACCAGATGGAACTAGTGTAGATGCATTTTAAAATCAATTTACATTTGGACTGAAATAAATCACTCAACACCAAATGGTATACAGTGGTTATAGCTGAGGAGGGTGGTCTGGAGGTTTTTGGGTTTTTTTTTTTTTTTACACTTTTTATGTAATCTGTTTCTAAAACATTTTAATTTTTAGACTTAGGAGCATATCTGACTTTAGTGAAGAGGAAAGCAGTTTTAATTTAATATCTTGCGAATACCTGAATTGTATTTTTCAAGGTCTTTGTAGAGAATAATACAAAATTTCGATGAGATTTTATCACCTTCAGGTTCCATTAAGCAGTTCTCCACCTTAGGACACCAGATTTGTTCCTGGTCCATAAAGAAGCCGGCTAGCAGCTTCCATCCCCACATGCTGTGTTGCGACCCTGGAAAGCTGCAGTTTAGAAAGGATAGGGTTCTGATGACTTATGGGCTCAATCTCACCTATACATGAAGTTGTTTTTTTTTTTTTTTTTGGCTTGCCCAGTGTCTTGAAAATTTGACAATTTCACATTTTAAAAAATCTGTGTTTCTAGCTTTCTTGGAAAAACCGATGAATGGCAGTGCTGGGCCTGCACTGTACTATTGCTGGAACCAAGTAGTAGCTCTCTGCTTTTAGACTCTCTGATTTGCTCCAGTCCTTATCATTCCCTGTTGTACTTTCATGTCTATTACCTTCCTGTAGATACATGAGTTAATGACCCCTCGAGTAGAGGATATGTGCCTCAGAAGTGGAGACATGCAGAGAGAAGACAGCTTTCAGGAGGATGCTTGTGGAACCTTTATACAGTTAGGCTTGGTGTGCCCATGTCTTCTGCCCCCTCCCACTCTGTCTAAGGTTTTTCCCTTTTTTTCTACGTAATACCTCAATTTTCCCCTTCACCATTAGGGAAATTATACCTACCAGAACTTTGAGTTATGTTCCCCCAGCCACCCTTAGTAAATATCCTATGTACCTGGTGTGTAGGAGTTTTGTGAATGTTTACTAGATCTTTAATCTACCCATTTGTATGTGTAGTTTAATCATCTAGTTTTTCTTCTTGTTTTTAGTAGAAATCAGCTTTCTTGAAGGATAAGAGATTGATTAGAAAAGGAATGGAGACATTTTTAAAGGTCTGGGCAGATTGAGAGTTAGGGCAGATCCTGCTGTGATGCCGTGGTGGGAGAGGCTGACAGCAATGGGATCCTTTCTAGCATGGACAGGAGGAAGCGGAAAGATGCCAGGGATTAAATTTTCTCAGAAAAGGAGAAGAAATGATCCTCTTCTTCCTTCTTTTCTTCCCTACTCCTGTGCTGTTTGGTGTTTAAACTCTTAGCACTCAGTGAAATGGGAAAGGTTCCCTTGTCCCCCTCGCAGGGCGTGTGATGTGTGTGTGGCTCACTTCTTCAGTCTCCCACTGCTCGAACCTCTAGGGGAGCATACAGACGGGCAGGTCGTGGGGCTCTGACCCCATGGCAGTGTCTAAGGGTGGATGCTTACAGCTCCTGAAGCCCCAGTAGGCGTGTGTTACAGGGTGCTTTTTTAGTCTTTCCGTCTATAGGCTTGTGTTAACCAGCTGAATTAGACCCTCTCCCTTGTCACAAGGACAGAGGGCTTTCTGTATCCCGGATTCTTGCCTTGGTGTACCGGAAGAATCAGATCACACCTGGGCTTGGGGAATGAGTGCAAGGTTTAATTGAGTGGAAGTAGCTTTCAGCAGATGGGGGAGCCAGAAGGGAGATGGTTTTCTTGTGGATTGGGCCTTCCAACTGCTCAGGCAAAACTTGTCGTTCCGCCAGTCGATGGCCGGCTGGCCTGCTGGCCTGCTGGTGTCTGTTGTGTGCCCCTCTGGACGTCCTCTCGATATCCAGCCACCTGTGTTTTCTTCGCCGATGTGTTCCTCATGATGTCCAGCCACTTGTGTGTTGGCCTGCTAGGGTCTCGGGGTTTTTATAGGCACACGATGGGGTGTGGCCGGCCAGGGTGGTCTTGGGAAATGTAACATTTGGATGTGAAGGCAGGAGTGCCTGTCCTCACCTAGGTCTGTGGGGGTGGAGCCCTAGCCAGGGGCCACGCCCTTCTCTACCCAGCACTTCCCTTCACCACTTCTTTATCATTTGAAGGGACCA
Organism: Homo sapiens; assembly: GCF_000001405.40. NCBI lineage: Eukaryota > Metazoa > Chordata > Mammalia > Primates > Hominidae > Homo > Homo sapiens. Next base: position 20,702,910 of record NC_000006.12, read on the forward strand.
CGCTCTTCCCTTCCCAGCACTCCCGTATCACTAGGGTCTGTGGCAGAAATAGGATTTCCCTTTGCTTCTAATTGGGTATAGAGAGAAGTGAAGAGCTGAGTTTCATTTGTCTAAGAATCTCACAACTTACTGTAATATGGTTTCCATTAGAATATGTGTTGCAAATATAGTGAAACTTAAAAACAAAACCTCCATTGTAAGTTGACTTTTGGCACGTAGCTTCCTCATAGCTTGGGTTGTTCTTGGCTTTGTTAAATAAAGTTAAAATAAAGAAAGTGGTGTAGACTGGGGCTTGGCAAACAATGGCCCTCAGGACAAATCTAGCCTGTTGCCTGTTTTTATAAATAAAGTTTTATCGGAACAGAGTTGCTCTAGTTAATTAAGGTACTGTTTGTGACTGCATTCACAATATTAGTGTAGAGTTGAGTAGTTACGATAGAGACTATATGGCTCACAAAATCTAAAATATTTATTATCTGGCACTTTACATAAACAATTTTGCTGACCTTTGGTGTAGATGGTTAATATCCAAAAAACAAAAAGGAAAAAAAAACCCAACTCTTTTATGTGCTCTAATGTATTTGCTGTTGAAAACAAAGGGAATTTGTGATTCATTTAAAAAATATATATATAGCTATTTGATGATTTTGAAGATATTTTATAGTTATTGTTCCATTTGAATGAAGTAAAAATGTTATGATGTCTTAGGGTACAATTGAGCTATAATTTTAGTATGTCAATGACTACAGCTTTTTTCTAGGGAAGGTTATAATAGTTAACAGGAAAATATGACATAAATAGTAAAAACATGATATAATAGTAAAAATTAGTAAAAAATTTTTGTTTTGGGCTGTAAGTTTTTTTGGAGAGGAGACTGTAGTAAGTGTAAAAACATGATGTTATATAATTAGTTTTACACATATTTTCAGGAATATTTTTAATACACAAATGTGTGGATATAGTCTATTTTGGTGTGAATTTAAACTTTGAAAACTGCTAAAAGTTTCAGTTACTTGAGAAATAGTGAATTTTTATTTAATGATCAAATTAAACACTAATAAAATTATGTCTTTATTGTTTTCAGTTTTGAGAGCATTTGAAAAGTGCAGGCCTGTGTTGGGGATTTCATTCAACACAATTATTGATTGTTTCAGGTATTAAGCACTGTTTGAGGCTCTGGGATTTCAGTACTGAATAAAACAAAATACTTAATGAGCTTATGTGGGTAGGGAGAGAAACAAACAAACATTCCTTGACTCAATTTTTTTATCAAATTACACCAAGTGCTTTTTTAAGACCTGGGGATCGATAATAGCAATGAAGGAAGCAAATTTTCTGCTGTCATGTAGCTTAAAGAAAGGTAACATGTAAGTCTGGTAGCAACTGTTAGGAAGAAAATGAAAGCAAGGCATTGAGAGAGAAGAGGGGTGTAATTTTTTGTAGCGTAGTCAAGGAAGACTTCTCTGGTAAAATGATTTGAGCAGGGACCTGAATGAAATAAGGTAATGAGTAATGGGAATATTTGAGAAAAGAACATTCTAGACAGAGGAAACAGCAATAAAAAAAACACTGGGGGAGGAATGTGCTTGTCATGTTCAAGAAACAGCAAGGAGAGGCAAGTGTGGCTGGAATAGAAAGTGCCAGAGGGAGAATGGTAGGAGATGAGTTTATTTTCTACTTAATGAATAGCTTTGAATATGTATCAGAGGCAAAGCCACATGAGACCAAGCTAAATTCTGTATGAGGTGACAGCAGTATAAAACCAGAAAACAAGGATATATGGAAGAGGTCCCTAGACCAGAAGTGAGGAAATAATAGTTAATTTGCTCATTGTTTCTCAAATTAAATCCCACTTCTGTGAATCTCTTTGTGATTTACTCTTTCAAAATGGAATTCTAGATGGTATAGTCCAGTGCCCCGAGGCCTGTGTAAATTGTTGAATTTATGGTGTGCCAATACCATTATAGGGTGGTCATCTGGTTAATTTGCAACAAAGAATATGAGGTTTGGAATAAATGGGTCAGAAAGCCTGACTAAAATGAGAATAACAATTCACATTCAATTAAAAATGTGAGTAGCCTGCAATAATTTCTTATTGTACTTGGGTAAAGGGGAGAATAGAAGTAGAATGATAATTAATAGTTGTAAATTTAAAAGTCAGCTTTTTTGCAAGTGTTAATTTTTCCTGGAAGTGTTGTACAAAATGATCAAGTTCCTGTAATTGCAGAAACACTGATCATGGTATTTATAATTGCAAGGCATGCGAGGTAGCTGACCTTAAGTGTAAACTAATTAACGTAGGATTTGTGTGATATGCTTTAGCAAAAGTAGATATTTGAAAATAACTGACTTTTTTTCATTGTACAAATGACAATATTTGTGGCATTTTATTTGTTTAATATTACTGAGCACAATTTTCACTGTGATTCTTTTCATTTTAAAGCAAGTATCAATAAATGAAATTTTGTTTCTGGCATAATAAGATTATTACTTAAGCTTGTTCACAAAATATTTTATAAAGAACAGCATCAATCACAACTATTATTTAGCTACTGTTTGTGGAAGAGTACAGGCTTTTGACACTCAGCAGTTAGTAATAATTATTTAAATACCATATAAAGACAAGACAAATTAAATGTATACCATTCAGACATTCGGAGATCTCACCAGGAAAGACCCCCATGTATAAACAACTGGGCCTAAGAAGCTCTTTTGCAAAGACTTGGTGGAATTCAGGACACATTTTTACTCAGGAGAACCATATATAGGGTATTCACTTCACAGGCAAATGCAAAATGTATCAGGAAGCTGTATACATTTCATGGATTTTAGAGGAGTCTAGTACTAGTTTTTAGCAGATCTAACTTTATAGAAAAGCTTATAGCTTTCCCTTTCCTTGGTGTATATATATCAGTAGCACAGCCATTCTCGAATCTGTTTAGGATTACTCTTCTGTTTGCTACCTGTGTCACTTGTCCTGTGTGGTGGGTCTGGTAGTATGTGTTCATAGCGGGGTTGCTTTATGAGTAGGTCCACTGGTGAGGCAGTTATTGACATTGCAGTCACTCTTCCAAGGGCAGCAGCAGACCGTCTCCATGGGTGCTGTGCTTATGATTTTCAGCCACAGAAAGCCAAGGTGATGATGAGGGCCGTCCTTGACCACGCATTTGGTCCACACTTCACAGGACAATAGGAGAGGTGGGGAAGGCCAGGCACAGCAGACTGGGACAGGCAGGCCCTCTCTATGGAAAGCCCTATGGTGCTACCCATCAAGATTCCTTTGCCTTCATTCTGCTGCTGTATCCAGAGATACCCATGCCTCTCACTAGCCTTGCCTGGTATGGGGAGGCAAACCTGTTTGGGGCTGGATTTTGGCTGTAGGGTTGTGTGAAATAGGGTGAAATAGAAGAAGGGGAAGAAAAAATCTCTCAGTCTAACTTCTTTTCTTTACTTTAGGCTTCCCGCCAACCCTTTGGTGAATTTGAAAGTAGTGATCAGATGCTCATATGCTGATCCAACTAGCCTAGTTTCCACCCTTACATTTTGAGTAAACTACTACAATCCAGACTTTAATGGCACTGGACACACCTTTCTCCTCACTACCATTTTAGATTTATAACATTTTACTTTTATTTACTCAAGCCAAAGTACTCATTTAAGGTGTCCTCTAACTTTACAACTAGGGAGATGGAATACCATCAAATATATAACTACACTTAAATATATCTGTGTCTATCTGTATTTGTGTGTATCATTTAAATATCTGTTATACAAGGTCATAAATAATCCAGGAGTACAGCATCTGTTTCACCTGCTGCTCTCTTTATGATGTGAAGTGATGAGTCACATGAGTAATTGTATTACTTGTATAAAGTACTTGGAAGACAGTTTAACTTGCATAAGTCCTGTGCTGTGTGTCATAAAGATGAAAAGTTTGAGCCATCTGTTACTTAAAAAAAAAATTACCCCAGTGTACCACCTGGTGTTTAACTAGGCCTTGGGATTTGTTCCAGATACAGCACTGCTTCATTGAACAAATATTGGGGGTGAGGGTGGGTGGGGTTTGGTGATTACTTCTGGGACCTGGGAGGGACCCTTTTCACTGAGTCCTGAACAACGTTATTTAGATCATTGTTATTTCCTATTGTGGTTTGTCTGTCATTAAAAACAATTTTGTCTTAATTTTGAAAATTGGATATGAGGAGTTACATTACACAAAACAACATTATACAATGATGGAGATAATGTTCTGTGCAGCATGATTTAATTTGGAGCAGTGGATAGCCACCTGCTAGGCCTTTGTTCTTGTGGCAGTCTGGCAAGTGGTCCCAGTGTTTTGGGTCTTTCCTTGGTCACGTGGCTGTTGAGATCTGCCTGGGTTAGTTGCAAACCATTAATCCAGTAGCACAGAATGATGAAATATTTGACTACTGGGTGTTTGAAGTAAGAAAACAAATCCTTTTAAAAGTTATTATTCAGCAACCACAGAATGCTTTTATCATGTTGATATAACATCTGAGTCTTTACATTTTATCTAAGGGTAGCCTATTCTTATCTACAACATAAAAAAGAAATCTAGGTAATATTTGGCATTATGGTAACTAGCTACCATATAGCACCTGTCTGCTTACCCACTGTGGTGGGGTAACCATATAATTCAGTGATTAAACTGGAATACTTTTGTCAGTGACAGAGAGCTAGGACGAAAGGTGTAAACAAGGATATGTAGTCATTTTACTTACAAGGCATAGCCATATTTTGCCATCTTCCATGATCAAGAATAACTGACTATTCCTCATGCATGTAAGAGTAATTCTTATTTTCAAATTGCATTAATTGTGCTGGTATAGTGCCTCATATAAAGTAGGTACTCAATAAATATTTGTAAATTGAATAAATGTTTATGCTTAAAGAAATCTTAAAGCTTCCTGCCAAAATCTTTAAAAATGTACGTTTTAGAAGGGCTTTGAGTTAAACATCCTCTGTATTTTCTTGATATTAAGACCCAGTGTCAGGATTCCCCACAGTGGCATTACCCATGGACCTGTGATCTAAACTCTGAAACCATTTTAATATGTAGTATATTATAAGAGTAGGAAAAGCACTTAATTGCAATTACGTATTGTTCTGTCTAAAATAATTTAACTGTGTGCTAGAAGAGTGAGCCCTTTAGTCAAGTGCTTATGACTTATCTTGGTAACTTATTTACTTTACCTTTTTACTTGAAGTTGTTAAACAATTCAGTGGCTACTTAACATTTCCTTAAATTTACTCTGAGAGAAAATAAGGAACCCAAGTCATTTAATTTACTTGTTTGTTAGTACCTTGTCAGAGACTTTAATAGTACGGAAAGAAATTTGGGATAATTTTTTTCACGAATTTTCAATTTTTGTGTTGTTCACTTTAGAAATTTTCTTTCATTTAAAGTTTTCTCTCTCCTTGCAAGGCCTACTTTACTATATATGACATAGAAAAGGGTGCAGGAATTTCTATCCTTTTCTATGTGGTGATTCTTGCCTGCCTGGGCAGCTTATGAGACAGATTGGATTTAGCTCAACCCTGGAATGTGTGTTACAGTGTGGTGGGTTTTGGCAAGTCACTTGTGGTTTAGAGGGACTCTATGACGTGGGCTGGGAACTTTGGTCTTTTCTTTTGGTTTGAAGTAGGTTTTTTAAAAAAGGTGTTAGACAGTTTCAGGTTCGAGACCTTGTTAATTGGTTTAACATCCCATCTGTCCTAGTCACTCTGATTCTAATATGACAGAATTGAAACAGATGCTATTTAAATCTCCATTTCTTTATTTTATTTTAGTTTTTTGTATGTGTGCATGTGTCTGATGATATTGTAGTCTTGGTCTTTCTGTATCTTTCCCTTTGACTTTTCTACAATTTCTGGTCTGGTTTCTTTGTGTTTCAGCCTTTTTCTTCTTGTCCTTATGTTTTTTCTTTTTGACTTTTTTCACTTGAGTGACAGAGTTTACCAAGTCTTATTGTTTATGTCTACCCTGATGTATCATAATAGTCAAACATTGGTCATGATAGAACTTGCTTCAGTACTTCATGATTTTTATACAGTAGAACTAAATCCATGGGAAGATATTTATTTACTTGTTAATTATCTTCCCATTGCAATGTAAGCTCCAAGGGCAGGGGTTCTCTTTTTTTTACGACTGTATCCCCAGAGCCTGGAAGTGTGCTGAGTGTCTAACAGCTGTTAAAAAAAAAATGAATAGAAATGCTTTAGTTTTCTGAGAGTTTCCCAAATTAGATATTATTTAGGGAGAGTCTTGAAGTTCCTTTGCTCTACAGCACACCCCTGAACCTTGGCTGGTATTTGAACCGTCTAATGAAGAACAAAGTACTTTTGAGAGATTCTATTTGTAATACTGTAAGATTTTTTTTTTAATAGATTGAGCATCCCTAACCCAAAAATCCAAAATCTGAAATGCTCTAAAATTCACAACATTTTGAGCACCAATGTGATGCTCAAAGGAAATACTCATTGGAGCATTTTCAATTTTGGATTTTCCAATTAGGGATGCAAAAAAAAAATTTGAAGTCTGAACACTTCCACTTCCAAGCATTTCAGATAAGGGATCCTCAACCTGTAGTCTCTTCCCTTTCTAGTGCTCATTGTCCCTAGACTCGATTTTACTACTTTATCAGTTAAGATGCTTGTTGGTTTCATTAATAGAAATCTCAGCTGAAACTCACTTAACAATAAGGACGTGGATTATGTTGCACAACAGGAAGTACAAGAAGGCTTCAGAGTGGGTTAATTGAACTCATTGTTGTCATAAGAGACCTAGGTTGGGTCTTTTTATATTTTTCTTTTGCTTTCTTGGCTTCATCCTTCAAGCTATTATTTTCTGTGATTATTAGGACAAGGGCAGCAATTAGATCAACATTTTCCTTGTTGTATGTAATGGGAAAGAGGCTGGCATTTCTTTCCTTGAAGACCTGAGTAAGAATTTCTCTATGTTTTTATTGGGCCAAATTGGTCTCAGATTATTCTCTCCCGAGTATTGGCAAAGGCAATGGAGTTATAGCGATTAGCTTGGAGTAATCATCGAGAGTGAAATGGATGTTGGAATCAACTACAACACTTGCAGAAAATCCCATATGAATTAACCTTTATAAATAAATTTCTAAAGACTGTTGATTTCCTGAGCTTCAAGTTAAAACTTCCCTGAGTAATTAGGTTTATAACCAAGAGGATGCAGGGTGAAGTCAACATTATGATAATTACTTCATTAGGGAAATCATGGCATTTAAATAAAAAAAGTAACAAGTTTCATCTTCCTAAATTTAGTAAATATTACATGCAACATTGTTTGTAGAAAGTAGGTACAGTCATGTGTCCCATGATCCCGTGATGTTTCAGCCATTGAGAGCCACATACACATCTAGCTATGTTTAGAAACACAAATACTTAGCTTTGTGTTATAGTTGCCTACAGTGTTTAGTACAGTAACATGCTGTATAGATGTGTAGCCTAGGAGCAATAGGCTACACTATATAGTCTAGGTGTGCAGTAGGCTGTACCATCTAGATTTGTGTACATACACTCTGTGATATTCACACAGTGATGAAATTGCCTAATGACACATTTCTTAAAATGTATCCGCATCATTAAGTGACGAATGACTGTATGTAAAAATCAGTTAGAACTGACTTCCCTTTAAGTCTGTTTAAACTGATAACAATCAGTAAGTTTGAATTATTTAAATAAAATGAAATCTGTGGACTAGAAAAGTGGAGGAGATAACTAGGACATAGTGAAGCTTACTTTAAAAAATACAGAGTCAATATAAAAGGTAATGTGCATCTGTTACCTTAATTTACTGAGAAGTTTTTGATTTACTTGAACATGCAGTAATGGATTATTTTTGTTTGGCCAAGTATTTTCAGTAAATTTTAATAGGCATTTGGAAGCATTATGATATTATGGAGAAAATACTGAATCAGGAATTGGAATCCAAATTTCTGGTTCTGGTCCTACCTATTGACATGATTTCTAGTAAAACATTCAACCTCTGTAAGCCCTCATTTCTTTGTAAAATGCTTCCTTTTTAATTTTCTTAAAATGTCTATTTCTTTTCATTGATTGTAACCACTGCTTTCCTGGGAATTGAGCGACATATATCATTCCTCTAGAGGTGTGGCTTTTTAGTAGGATTAAGATTATATGTAATTAAGTTTATTTGAACAAGAAGGAACAGGTAAAAAGCAAATAAAAGTTGTGAGATAGATATCAGTTCTGTCCTCGGTGTATACAGTGATTGTAGAGAAGAGTATTTCTGTTTTGAAATATACATGTTAATTCATTAGAAAGGAATTATTTTGTAGGTATAAACACATTACATTTTCCCAATATTTCGAGTATGTCATTAGCCAAATATGAGATTCTAATGTTGTCTGGCATTTCGAATAGTGTCAGACTTCTACATTTGTAAATAAAAGACTGAAGCATAGATTCCTTAATCACCTGTAATATAGTAAAAAGAGTTTTGGACTTAGAGTCAGAAGACAAATTGGAATCCTGGCTCAGCTAGTTTAGAAAAAACCTTGGTAGCATGGCGGAATGATAATATGGATGCTGGAGTCAAACAGAGGCAGGAATGAGTTGGATTTCACCACTTACATTAATACATTTTGATGAAAGAAAGTTTGGATACCTTTGGCCTGTATGTTGCAGAAAACAACCAGAAGTAGCATGAATCATAAGTGTGTTATCTCATAGAACAGGAAGTCTGGAAATTGGTATTTATGTGTTAATTCCATGGCTTAATGATATCTTCTGCAACACAGGAGTATTTAAACTTTTGGTTCTGTCATTCTTAGTTTGTTTGTGGTATCTTCGTTTGAGTGGTGATATTGCTGTAATAGCAATAGTTCAAGATATTACATGCAGTCATGATGACAGCCAGTAAAGAGAGGAATTCCTCCCATTTGTCTCTTTTTAGTAGGTAGAAAACCATTCTCAAAAGCTGTAGTACACACCATTGATTCAAATTATGTCTCAAACTCAGACTAAAAGTTACTCACTAGCAAGGATAATGAAGATGCCATGACTGACTTAGACTTTTTTTTTTAACCCCACCTTTGGATTTGGGGGTGGGGAGGCTCTTTCCTGAGCACAGCCCCTCATAGGGTAAACAACAAACAAAATCGGATCTCTGCCAGGAAGCAAATGGGGTGTGTAGGGAGAAGAACCTGAGTTGGCAAACAAAAGTGATGAGCTAATCATCTTGAGTAGAGGCCAGTAGGAGATGCACAGAAACCAAGAGAGAGTGGTAACAGAATACAACAGTCTGTGCTCGGGGCAGTATGCAGGGTGCTACAGGAGAATGTATGAGAAAACCTGAATCCAAAGTTGCAATGGTCAGGAAAGACTTTTCTGGAGGAAATGACAGCTTAGTTATCACCTAAGGGATTAGTGGAAACCAGACAGGAATTAGTCATGAGCAGCATACCCTTCTTCTGTATCTATAAGAGCACAAAACTTAGCCATGATGGTGTTTCAGGACTATTTTAAGGAAAGTTTTAGGACAAATGTTGGCTTCAATACCTAATCAGTGTGCTTGATGTGTTAGAAAAAAAAAAAAGAAGTGAAATGAAAAGAAAAGAAAATTTAAAAAAAGAAAAGAAAAAAACACCTAATCAGAGGTAAGCACCATTATCTGTATGTATAACAACTAATGTTCAAAATGATTGTTGTTTTTCAAGAAAAAGTTATATAACTTTTTTTTTTGAGATGGAGTCTCACTCTGTCGCCCATGCTGGAGCGCAATGGCACAATCTCGGCTCACTGCAACCTCCACCTCCTGGGATCAAGTCGTTCTCCTGCCTCAGCCTCTGAAGTAGCTGGGATTACAGGCACCCGCCACCATGCCCAGCTAAGTTTTTGTATTTTTAGTAGAGGGTTTCACCATGTTGGCCAGGCTGGTCTTGAACTCCTGACCTCGTGATCCACCTGCCTCACCCTCCCAAAGTGCTGGGATTACAGGCCTGAGCCATCATGCCTGGCCTATATAACTTTAAAAATGCTGTATATTACAGTATGAAACACTCTCTTTTAATCTTTGTAAGATTCTAAGATTCAAAGGACTTGTGATCATGTAGTTCTTACTTCTGTGAAAAGCAATCATTACTTACTTGATGCCTGTAATGAGAAGTGTTTATTAGAACAAAAACTAGGATGACTTTAATTATTTCAAGAAGCACAGGTAAGAGACTTTACCCTCTGATGTTAATGCAAAGCATATACCTGGAATCGACATTCTGCCATATCTTTACTTGCATCCTTTAAAGCTGTTTCTTAAGTTTTGATTGAATTAATTAATTTAGAAAAGAGCTTACACTAACAAGGGTTTTTTTCTTCTAATGAATCAGGAGTGAGTTTGCATGTTTTGCTCTCCACTGCCATTTTTATATGTTTTGTTTCTCTTTAAATAATACTCGTATCTTAATTATTTAAAAATGATACCACATCCTAAGAGTACATGATGTAAATCATTCTTAGTTCCTAATACTTACTCTCCACTCTCCAAAGACATAGACATCATATTAGGAGACTGATATTCTTTTTTCATATTACTTGGATAATTCATTGCCCCATATATTCATGGAGAATAATTGCAAGGCAAACCAACAGATATTTCAGGTAACCCAGAAAAAGGATATGGTAAGCACATTTGCAAAGAAATACTTGATGAACTAGAATTCATACACTGTACAATGAAAATAAAGATTTTTATGATCGATTTTGACTTAAAATTTTTCTTTTTTTTCTTGTTAAAAACAAAACAACATCTAAGCTCAAGAAATATAATACTTAACAATTGACATAGAAAAGTCAGACAAGTTCTTTATTTATAGAGCTTTCTAAATACCTTATCACAAGTTACCACAAGATAAATGTGTATGAAAAATTAGAGCCACCTACCTGTTTTGGTTTTTGTAAAAATCAAATGTGAGACATATACTTTATTCACTCTATTAAAATACATCAGTGATGCTAACTTTGATCATATTTGGACTTTTAAACAAACTATTTTATCCTTAAAAAAAGAAAACATAAATGCAAGCAAAATGATTTCTTATGACACTTTTTAAAAATGAAAAATGCTTTTGTCAAGATAGACTTATACTTAAGAAATAAAGAAAAAGCAGGATCTATCGACCAGGATGAAAGATGTTCTTTTTTTTATCATAATAACATGAAGGGCAAATTACCACCAGCTTATGGGCAAGAAGTAAATAAAAACAAAGTACTATGATACAAAAAATTCTCATAATGTTCAGTTGATCCAGAAGATAATAGTCTAAGGCTATTAGCTATGCTAGTCTCTTATTTTTAATATTAAAATATTTTTTATTAAATTTTTTGCATGTTAAGTGTTTGTCGTAATCAATGATGTCCCAAATTCAATGCTTTTGTTAATATTAATGATACTATTGTCTGTTCTTTTTTTTTTTTTTTTTTTTTTTTTTTTGAGACAGAATCTCACTCTGTCACCCAGACTGGAGTGTAGTGGTACAATCATAGTTCACTGCAGCCTTGATTTCCCAGGCTCAAGTGATCCTCCCACTTCAGCCTCCCAAGTAGCTGACACTACAGGTGCGCACCCACCATGCCTGGCTAAATTTTTTATTATTTGTAGAGACTGGGTCTTCCAATGTTGTCCAAACTGTATTATTGTCTATTCTTGTTCACTAGCCTGAGCCATTCACCTGATATGGGTGACATTTTTTCTTTTTTCACTGAAATGAAAATTGGCAGACTTTTGCTGCTTCTTTATTACCCAATGTTAACTAATGTTTTCCAGTCTAGAATTTTAACTTAACTAATATTTTAAACTTGTATATTAAAATAAAACACTTGGCATACATAAGAGTTTATAGAGTATAACCTCTACATCTGAAGAATTAGGGATACTTCTGAAGGTGAGGAAATCACTTTGCATCATGCTATGAATTTGTTAAACTGTTTTTATTTTGTGACTAGCAGCCTTGTTTTATTTAAAAAATAAATTTTATTGTATAAATTTAAGATACGTGATCAGACACATATATAGTAAAAATATTATTATAGTGGAACAAATTAAGATCATCATCTTACAATTATTCATTTTTCCCTGCCTGTGGCAAGAGCAGTTATAATCTACTCATTTAGCAAAAATTCTGAATATAATACAACATTATTAACTATAGTCCTTATGTTATACATTGCATCTTTCAACTTGTTCATCCTGTTGTGTTTGCTGCTTTGTATCCTTTGACCTACATCTCCCTATTTTCTCCCACTTCTGCCAGAATCACTGTTTTATCCTTTATGTATTATATTTGCCAACCCTCCCCCCACCTTTTTAAAAAAGATTCCAGATTTAAGTGAGATGATGCAATATTTTTCTTTCTGTGTCTGGCTTATTTTACATAGCCTAATATCCTTCAGGCCCATCCATGACGGGATCTTCTCCTTCTTAAAGACTGAATAATAGTCTGTTGTATGTATTCACCACATTTACTCTATCCATTTGTCTGTCCATAGACACTTAAGTTGTTTCCATTTCTTGGCTATTGTGAATAATGCTGCAATGAACATGGAAGTGCAGAGATCTTTTATGAAGTGGTGATTTCATCTTTTTGGGGTATATGCCCAGAAGGTAGATTGCTGGGTCATATGGTAGTTCTATTTTTAATTTCTGTGGGCACCTCCGTACTGTTTTCCATAGTGGTTTGTACCAATCTACATTCCTTCCAACAGTGCACAAGGGTTCTCTTTCCACCACGCTTTCATCAATGCTTGTTATCTTTTGTCTTTTTGATAACAGCTATGTAGGATATTCTGAAAATATATTTAAAATATTCTTATTTTTCCTAGTCAGTATTTCCTGACTTTTCTCCTCTAGGTTGCATGTATTGCTTTAGTAATAAACAAAAGCATTAATGAAAACTTCGTTTTGAAAAAATTGGATCTGGGATAGAATTTACCATTTTGTTGTGGGTTTATTTTCTGATATGGATTTATTTTACTATTTCACTTGTAATTTTAGTTTTTCTCAACTTAGGTAAGAAGACGAATGAGAAGGTGAGAGACAGCTAGTGCGTGCTCATGGGATATGACATTTGAAGGGAAAAGGATTTGATAGAATCTCAGGCATTTGATAAAGAGTTATTTGGCACTTGCAGTAAGCTAAGCACTGTTCTGGTTTGGTGCACACTGTGATGAATAAGAGAGTTTCTCAGCCTTGTGGGGATTGGGGAGATAGGAACTAACTAAATATTTTCAAAATAAAAACAGGATTTCAGGTTTGATAGGCTTGATAATAAGCATGCAGCATAAAGTAAAAAGGAGTGATGAGGTCAAATGGGGCCTATTTTATATAATATGGTCAGGGAAACCATTTGAAAGAGGTGATATTTGAACAGAGACTTGAATGCTGTGGCAGAGCAGAAGTTTGTGAAGAGCTGGGGAATGAGATTTTTTAAAATTATCCTGCTGTTGGACAGAAAGTACAGCAAGAGATGATGTGGCTTGGATGAGTGTGGTGCCAGTGGAGATGAGAAGGGCTTGGATTTGAATTCTGTCTTGAAGGTAGCCTTGGAGGTAGATTGTGCAAATGAAAAGAAGAGAGCAATCGGGTAACTGCTTGTTTCATTTTGTTTTGGTTTGGTTGGGTCTGGGTTGAGTACTGGGCATATGTTGGTACCATTTATCTGAGATGAGAAAGAACAGAAGAGGAGTTTTTCTGTTTGTTTTGTTTGGGGTGGGATGGGTGTGGGAATGAGAAGTCAAGAAGAATTTGTTGGTTTGTATACTTGATTTGAGGCATTTACTAGATACCTGAGTTGATATGTTATATGTATGAGGCTGGAGTTTGGCATATAAATTTGGGAATCATGTGCTGTAGATGGTGTGTAAATCCATGGGACTGCAGAAGATCACCCAGAGAATGTGGGAAGGCAGAGAAGAGAGAACCAAGGACTAAGAATGTGCTCAGGAGGTTGAGGAGCACTGATCAGTAGAGGTGGAGGAAGTCGGGGGAAGTGTTTTAGTGAAGCATGTTTCCAGAAGGAGGAGTGATCAGCTGTGTAAGTGTTGCTGAGAAATTGAGTTAGATGAAGACTGAAGATTGACTTACTGGATTTGTCAATAGGGAACTGGTGGTTGTTCTGATGAGCAGTTTCAGTGGAGAGGTGGACACACAAGACTGATTTGAGTGGGTTTTAAACAGAATGAGAGCCAAGGAAGTGAGATAAAGTACTTATTGCATTTTAGGGGAGGTTTGCTATAAAGGGAAGCAGAAATGGAGCTAGAGCTTGGCAGGGGTTGGGAAGATGTAGAATCAAGGGAGAGTTTTTATTTTGTATTTTTAATACAAAATACATGCGTATATTTATGCTATTGAGTCTGATCCATTATAGAGGAAAAAAGCTTTGTAGAAGGGAAAAGGATAATTTACAGGACCAAAGTATGACAGAAAGGCTAGGATCTAGCACACAAGCAGAAGCATCAGGCTTACTGGGGAGTGAGGACAGCTGATCTATTGTAACAGGTGGGAAAACTAATATGTTGATACAGAACAGGTAGTTTGATAGATATGATGGTGTAATGAAACAGCGGTTCCTTCTTCTTGTTTCTGTTTTCTCAGTGAAGTCAGAAGGCAGGTAATTTGCTGAGACCCTTAATGGGGAAGGCCTTATTAGAGCAATATAAAATATTTTATTTTAAAAATACTACTTTATAAATGTATTCTTCACTTAGCTGTTGCTTTTTGGTTGTTATTGTGGTTAGCAATATATGTCTGAATATGTTTTCTTTAAACAGGTAGAGTTGAGTTTCCCTGGGCCACATAGGGCATAAGTCAGGAGCCCTCACCACCTTTTTTGTATATGGGGAATTTGAAATCTAGAAACCTTGTGTTTTTTTGCCTTCTCCCTCTTCTGGTTCTCTAATTTTTCATCAGGCACAGTAGAGAAGGAGAAAGGATGGTTTCATTTAGTTCAGTGTGCTCATTCAGCTGTTCTGCAGCCTCCAGGTCTTGAGAGTTGTTGAGCATAATCCCTTGCACAGTGAACTGTCCCAGGCTTGTGAAATCCTAGTGGCCACTCTAACACAGATGACTGAGTTGAGATGTTCTTTTTGTTCAGGTTTTAAAGTGAAGTGCCACCCTTTAGCAGGTAGAGATTATATACATCATTCTGTTTTCTTTGAGGACTCCAAGTGCCCCTCTTAGCTGTAAGTAGTAGAGACCAACGTTAATTCATCTCTCAATCTTGTATTCCATTTTCCAGTTCATTTCCCTGAACCATATTTTCCTCATTTGTGGAGTAATACTTCCCACTCATGGGTTCTTCATCAGGCAGCTTATGATGCATGTGAAAATTGTTCTGGAAAAGCCTAAACAGTACAAAAAGAGAAATCCTATTGTCATGGTGATAATTTTGTTATTCTCTAGAAGACATTGACAGTTCCCTAGGACCACCCCTTAAACTCTTGTTTTTCATCTTACAGAGGCATCCATTTCTTGTTTTATTTCTTCTGTTAGGGGCTTAGTGTAGTGACTTGAGTACTGTTTAGGGTTTTGATATATGGAGTTCAAATTTGCATACTACAAACTGGGGGTGAAAGAAAAGAAGCTGAATATATTGCCTGTTTTCAAATAGTTTATTATTCTTCTAACTTTTTAAAACCACAAGCTTCCCTCTTATCACATTTTTACAAATGGATATATGAAAGCTGGTAGAAAAAGCTTGAATTTAAGATGATAAAATGAACCTTGTTCTTATGTTTTTCTTTGCTAATTTTCAATTCTGCTGGAGATTAGCATCTTCTATTAGCAAGGTGTAAAAATTGAGTGCAGATTGCAGCTTTTGGGAGAGTGTTCAAAAATATTTTTACTTTTTTTATAATTAAAAAAAACTTCTTACTATTTGGAAAAGAAAAAATGTCTAATGACGTCATCTACTACTGTGGTATTTCTTCTTAATCCTACCTCTAGGGGCAAATATTTCCCATCACAATAATAGATTTTTAGTCCTGGAAGAAACCTTAGGGTTCATCTTTTTAAACCATTTTCATGTAACTTGTGAGAAAATGAAGACTCAGAGAAGAAGATTTGTCTTTCTGTCAGTTCATGGCAGAGTCCGGGTTCAAGTTGAGGTCTCTGGACAGTCAGTGTGTAGGGTTTTCCTTCCTGAACCATCCTGCCTTTTAAAGTTTACAGTTGTGTTCTCAGAAAGAGAAGAGTGAAGTTACCCAGCCACAGTAGAGGAGGAGGATGGGCAGATGAGTTCTGTGTACACTTTGTGCATTTAATTTGCCTCAGTCTTCTCAATGGTTTTAACTCATTACCACAAAATATAGAAAACAAACAGGTTCTTTGAGTTGTGCTCTCTTTGAAAGCTCTTTAATAGTAATTCTGAATTATTTGGTCTTTTTAGTGTCATCCTAGTTACTTCTGATAAGGATGGTCAGAGGACCAAATACAGTTTTGTTTCTACTAATACGAGTGTACATAGGAATTTTTCCAGCTAACTGTGACATAGTATTTATATGCCATGGGTTAAAACCACTTTCATGTGGGTTCTGAGATACATAGGAAGGTTGAAAAGACTTTAGAGACAGCTACCATGGTTTTATTTCTCTTCTTCTTTTTGAGGGCTGGGAAATCTCAGGTTATTTAATTTTAGAGTATTTTTAATTAAAATATTTTATGTTTAACCTCTATTGTAAAATACAATAAAAAATTTAAAAACCACACAGAAATGTATAGTTTAGCGAATTAAGTAAGATACCCTGTAGCTCTTACCACTAGCTCAAGAAATGAAACATTGCCAGCCACTCTGGAAAACCCTTTTATGTTCCCCATGAAACTCACAGATCTCTCTCTACCTCAACAAGTAACCACTCTCCTGACTTTTATAATGCCCACTTCTTTATGTTTCCTTATGGCTTTTTCCCCTGCTTGTGCTTAGATAATAAAGTTAAATCTTGCTCATTTTAAAAAGCCTGGTACGTATTTTAAATCTTTCTTAATCTACAGGCTCCCCTCCATTTCTTTCTATTCCTTACAGTTTACCTGTTGAAGAACCTGGGCCTTTTGACCTGTAGCCTTTCCGTAGTCTGGATTTTGGTGATTGCATATTCAAAGGTGACAAGATCATGGTTCTCTGAGGATTGGCTTCCTCATGGGATTGGCTTCCTTATGGCATAGGGAAGTTACTGGTCTTCTTGATGTGGTTTTGGGCCCTGTGGTGGCTTTAAGTCATTTGGTGGCACTGTTCTGCTTTCCTGGTTGCAATGCTAATGGATACAGGCCCATATATAGGCATTTTTTGTTTGTCTACCTTTTTCTTTAAAAAAAAATTTGCACAAATTTGTGGGGTGCATGAGAAATTTAGTTACATGTGTGTAATGCATAGTAAACAAGTCAGAGTGTTTAGGGTGTCCACCACCCACGTACAGCACATGTTTGTTAACTGTAGCCTTCCTACTCTGCTATCAAATATTGAATTTATTCCTTCTGTGTTCTTACCCTTTAAGCCACCTTTCTTCATCATTCCTTCTCCCCAGTCACCCTTCCCAGCCTCTGTTATCTGTCTTTCTTTACTCTCTACTTCTTTTTTGTAGCCCAGGCTAGAGTGCAGTGGTGTGATCTCGGCTCACGGCAACCTTTACCTCCTGGGCTCAAGCAATTCTCCTGCCTCAGCCTCCCTATGATTACAGGCATACGCCACCAGGCCTGGCTAATTTTTGTATTTTTAGTAGAGACAGGGTTTCACCATGTTGGCCAGGCTGGTCTCAAACTCCTGACCTCAAGTGATCTGCCCACCTCTGCCTCCCAAAGTGCTAGATTTCAGGCGTGAGCCCTCGCACTGGCCTCTATTCTCTACTTCTGTGTGATCACATTTTTTAACTCCCACATGTAAGTGAGGATATGTGATATTTGTCTTTTTGTGCCTGCCTTATTTCACTTGAGATAATGACCTCCAGTTCCATCCATATTGCTGCAAATGACATTATTTCTTTTTGTTCTTTTTATGTATTTATTTATTTTTATTATACTTTAAGTTCTAGGGTACATGTGCACAACGTGCAGGTTTGTTACATATGTATACGTGTGCCATGTTGGTATGCTGCACCCGTTAACTGGTCATTTACATTAGGTATATCTCCTAGTGCTATCCCACCCCCCTCCCCCTACCCCACAACAGGCCCCGGTGTGTGGTGTTCCCCACCCTGTGTCCAAGTGTTCTCATTGTTAAATTCCCACCTATAAGTGAGAACATGTGGTGTTTGGTTTTCTGTCCTTGAGATAGTTTGCTAAGAATGATGGTTTGCAGCTTCATCCATGTCCCTACAAAGGACATGAACTCATCCTTTTTTATGGCTGCATAGTATTCCATGGCTTTTATGTGCCACATTTTTTAAATCCCGTCTATCATTGATGGACATTTGGGTTGGTTCCAAGGCAAATGACATTATTTCATTCTTTTTATGGCCAAATAGTATTCCGTTAGGTATATATACCACATTTTCTTTATCCATTGATGGACACTTAGGTTGATTCTATGTCTTTGCTATTGTAATTAGTGCTACAATAAATATGTAAGTGCAGGTAGCCCTTTAATATGTTGATTTCTTTTCCTTTGGGTAGATACCCAGTAGTGGGATTGCTGGACAAATGGTAATCTTATTTTTAGTTTTTTGAGCAATC
The DNA here is from genome assembly GCF_000001405.40 of Homo sapiens. Taxonomy (NCBI): domain Eukaryota; kingdom Metazoa; phylum Chordata; class Mammalia; order Primates; family Hominidae; genus Homo; species Homo sapiens. The sequence goes on from NC_000006.12 coordinate 20,721,634, forward strand.
TCCATACTATTTTCCATAGTGTCTGTACTAGTTTACATTCCCACCAACAGTGCGTAAGCATTCCTTCTTCTCTGCACCCTGACCAACTTCTGTTTTTTTTTTTTTTTTTTTTTTTTTGAGACAGAGTCTTACTCTGTCACCCAGGCTAGAGTGCAATGGCATGGTATCAGCTCACTGCAACCTCCGCCTCCTGGGTTCAAACAATTCTCCTGCCTCAGCCTCCCGAGTAGCTGGGACTACAGGCTTGTGCCACCACACCTGGCTAATTTTTGCATTTTTAGTAGAGATGGGATTTCACTATTTTGGCCAGACTGGTCTCAAACTCCTGACCTCATGATCCTCCCCCCTTGGCCTCCCAAAATGCTGGGATTACAGGCGTGAGCCACCGTGCCTGGCCCGATTTTGTTATTTTATGTAGAACTACTTTTATATTGAGAGCCATACTTGTGGCCTCAACTTACTTGCAGGTTACTCTGGAAGCCAACTCCTGTGAAGGCAGGGGACTCAAATTATCATTTTTCCATCTTTAATTATGAAGGTCAGCTTTCATTTGCTGTGAAAACAACACGGATAATTTGGGACCATAATACGTTCTGAAATAGTTCAAGACAAGCATGTTAAAAATGAGGGTTTTTTTTTTTCCCCACTGAACCTTCCCTCAAGATTTTATTGTCTTCATAATAAAAGATGATGCTTAGAACTAGTTAATTTGGCTCTTTCTCTTCTTTTCTCCTCCCGGTTCAAAATGCTTGCTTCTCTTAATAGGCAGCATTCTCTTAGATTTGCAACTGGGCTCAAAGCACTGAAGCCTCATCACAGTCTTCTTTTTGGCAGTAGCCTTTTTACAGAATTCCAGAAAATGGGTTTAGTATGCCCACCATAGCCACTCTGCTTCCTGTCATAATGCTGCTTACCCTGGGCACACATAGAATCCTTGTAGTAGAGGCAGGAGGCAGAGAAATTGTAGACAGACAGGGGCCGGACCCTGGTGAAACCTCACCATCAAAAACAAAACCAAAAAAACAGCCTGAAACCCGCAGCCCAAAGTGAGAACTTCTGTTCCTGTTTGCCCACTCTCTTCTGGTTGGTTCTTTCTGATTAATGCCTTTTTACCAATTGAATGTTGCCTTTTCCAAAACTACCTATGGGCTGCCCTGCCCCCATCCTGTGCCTATAAAGACCCCAGACTCAGTTGGGAGAGAGAGGAGAGAGAGACAGACAGCCAGACAGCCAGCCTGACATCGGGGTAGAGACAACCTGACTTTGGGGAAGATGACCTGCGCTTCCCATCCCCTCTCCACCTCCACTTTCTGCTGAGAGCTGTTTTCATTGCTCAATAAAATTTTCCATCTTCACCATCCTTCAGCTATCCATGTGACCTCATTCTTCTTGGATGCTGGACAAGAGCTTGGGACCCATCAACTGCAGGTACCCAGAAAGGCTGCCACACAAGCCCTTTGCCCTTTCCAGTGGAGGGCAGCTGCCCCATGTGATGAGGCAAGGGGCCAACTGAGCTGTTAACCCACCACTGTCCGTGGACAGTGGAACTAAAGGAGCACTGTAACACCCACTCTGGGGCTTCAGGGTCGTGGGCACCCTCACCTGGATGCCACCTCAAGGGCCAGCTGAGCTGCTAACACACGCTGTCTGCGGATGGCAGAACTAAAGAAGCACTGTATCACCCCCTCTGGGGCTTTGGGGTCATGGGCATCCTCACCTGGGTGCAGCTGTGTTCCCCTTGAGGCGACATGCCTGGTCTGGCTGTGGGCCCTGCGCGGAGCTTGCTCCTGTGTCGGCATCTGGAGCAACTGGCCAGGTCCTGCACTTGCTCGCTCATGTGTTCCCTCCACAAGGGGTTGAGTGTGGCAGGCCGAGTAGAGGGGGCACCCCTGCTGGGAGTCCGGCAAAGGGGCCGACAAAAATCCTGCATTACTTGCTCTTCTTGCACTGTGTCATTTTGTAGGGTTGGTGCTTGCCACACGCGTTACAGAAAGTTTGATGGTTTTTAGGAATGTTCACCATGTTTATAGGAGTGCTATTGGAACAGAAAGAAAAATGAGTTTTTTTAAGTGTCCTAAAATACTGTTAGTCTCTGCCTCTTGCCCCTTTAGTGGAACTTTTTGATTATGCAGAATTACAACTTGCTGAAGCCCAGTTGAGGTAGCTTTGAAGGAAGTTCATTTCTTCTTTTGCCTCTGTTCAGAGGTTGGGGAATTTTGTGACTATGTAAATTTGCTAAGGAGACACCATTCCAGATTCTTATCTTTCCCAGGACTCAAGTGGCTCTTGCTTTGCCACTGTTTTTGCTGTTGTTTTTGAGACAGGGTCTTACTCTGTCGCTCAGGCTGGAGTGCAGTGGTATGATCTTGACTCAGTGTAACCTCCGCCTACTGGGTTTAAGTGATTTTCCCACCTCAGCCTCCCGAGTAGCTGGGAGTACAAGCATGTGCCACCACACCTGGATACTTTTTTTTTGTATTTTTTGGTAGAGATGGTGTTTCACCATGTTGGCCAGGCTGGTCTCGAACTCCTGACCTCAAGTGATCTGCCCGCCTTGGCCTCCCAAAGTGCTGGGATTACAGGCATGAACCACCACCTCCAGCCACTTTTGTATTATTTTGAATAACAAAGGGCATTTTTGTTACTCCCTGCAAGGGAGTAGCTTTTACATTAATACCTTTTCTTTTTGAAAATGGACTTTGATAAAAGATGTAAAAAGACTTTGTAAAATTTTGTTTGATAACCTTTTATGAGGTTAAAACAAAGTTTAATTCTGATTACATGGCCAATTCTAAATTTGAGACCAGGTACAGTGGCTTATACCTGTAATCCCAGCACTTTGGGAGGCCAAGGAGGACAGATGGCTTGAGTTTAGGAGATCCAGAACAGTGTAGGCAACATGGTGAAACCCGTCTCTACTTAAAAAAGAAAAAAAAAGCTGAGAGTGGAGGTGCGTGCCTGTAGTCCCAGCTACTCAGGAGGCTGAGCCTGGGGGGCGGAGGTTGCAGTGAGCCAGGATCATGACCCTGCATTCCAGCCTGTCTGAAACAGTGAGACCCTGCCTCAAACAAACAAACAAACAAATTCATTTGGCTGTGTCTTCCACCTGAAATCAGATTGGGATCTCATAGTACTACAGCTCTCATAGCATTCAGGTAGATGGAGCTAGAAATAAGCCCAAGTATGCATTTTCCTTCAGGACTTTTTAACACTAAGCTAGAAAATATAAGTATCTCATAAACCTTATCCCTTTAATTAAATTTTTAGTAGGAACCAGAATGTAAATTTCTTCCTTCCCTACCCCAGAATGTAGATGCATGTCCTCATTTAATTTTAGTCATTCTTGGCGAATGTGATAATTAGGGTAAAGTGCAATGAGATTTGCAAATTGGATGGTGAATTCACTAAATGTAACAGCTGATCAGGGCTTCTCTTCTCAGTGTCACTTTATTAAGGTCTTCGGATATACTGATATATTCTGGAGTTTCCTCCCCACCCCCGCCTTTTTCTTTTCTCTCTTTCTCCCCTTGTTGAAAGATACTAACTTCTACAGTGTTGGTGTGAGTAGAGTATCAGGATATTGATCTTAGGGGAGGTGAACTAATTATAGATTTGTTTTTTCATTTTATGAGAGGCTATTCTTCATAATAGGAATATAGAATATATGCCATATACTTGAGGTTACTTTTGTTAATCCCTTTAAGAATGGAGCACTTTACCTTGCTTAACAAGAAGGAAATAATTGATTCAGATGCTGCATGCTGTGCAAGGTGAGTTTTGAATGCAGTGAGGCGTATATGCAGTGGTCTGACTTCCGTAAGCCTCACTCATCTGACTTTCCTTTGGTTCTTAATGTTACACTGAAGACTAGCTGGGCATGGTGGCTTATGCCTGTAATCCCAGCACTGTGGGAGGCTGAGGCAGGCGGATCACCTGAGGTCAGGAGTTCAAGACCAGCCTGACCAACATGGAGAAACCCTGTCTCTACTAAAAATACAAAATTAGCCGGGCGTGGTGGCACATGCCTGTAATCCCAGCTATGCGGGAGGCTGAGGCAGGAGAATCACTTGAATCTGGGAGACCGAGGTTGCGGTCAGCTGAGATCATGCCATTGTGCTGCAGCCTGGGCAACAAGAGTGAAACTCCGTCTAAAAAAAAAAAAAAAAAAAAAGAAAAAGTTACACTGAGGACTAAACTCTAACCTTTTTTCTCTCTTGCCCAAATTCTTATCTAAGGGATCTAGGGTGTCACACCCTACAAACCATATAAATTTCATCAGGTGGGTTTTATTTAACCCTATATAATATGCCTTACTTTTCAACCTGACTCTGGCATAATATCACATAACAGATAAGAAAAATCAAAATATTTTACCCTAAAATACGTTTTTTTTTCTTCCATATCTTAAAATGGCCCTGCAAAGCCATCTTTTATAGGGGGGAGTATTTGCATCTGAGAGTCTATCACCTTTTAAAGGTTTGGATAGGAGACATTTGCCATTTATTTGTCTCTAAGGGTGGCCACCTATAAGACCTCATCTGCAGAATAACCTTGGTCTCCACAACCCCCCAGACAGTTCTATTGATTCCAGGTCTTAGATAATAACTCTTTTGACCAATTGCCAATCAGAAAATCTTGGAATCCAGCTATGACCTGTGTGACCCTCCCCCCACCTGTTCTCCATATATCCTACTTTTCTGCACCAATCCAGTATATACCTCACATGTACTGACTGATGCCTTTTGTTTCCCTAAAACATATACAATCAAACTGTAACCAAGCGACCTTGGGCAGATGTTCTCAGGACCTCTTGAGACTGTGCCTGGAGCCATGGTCACTCATATTGAGCGCATTATAAACTTCTTTAAATATTTTAGAGTTTTACTCTTTTTGTTGACAACACAAAAATACCATTGAACCTTAAATTTCATGTTACAGGGAAGTGACATCCCAAAGACTCCCAGGATGGCTAAACAGTAGAAAGGAGAACTTTTATTGGTGATACTGGTTTGTAAGCTGGGAAGAGGAAGTCTCCAGCATAGACTGAAGGTGCTCTCTCTTTGAAGAGGAAAAGGACAGACTGGGTTTTATGCCTCACCAGTTCTGTATTACACAGTGGAGTCATATATATTCAGCAGGTTTGGGGGAAAAGCTACATATTTATGAGGAGAGCTGAGTACAAGCACAATGAGTAAACATTTATGTAACATATACCCCATATTCACTTTGTGGTGGGGTTTTAGCATTAAAATGAGATGGAATTTCACTATCTATATCAAAAGGTGAACAAAAGCACACAAAGACTTTGTGCAGCCCCTATAAACTAGCTGAAACTGGTTTCTGGTCTCCAGTAGCTTATCGGAAAAGAATGTTTATAAGGCCCATCATCTGTCTAATCAAGTGGCCTGGGTTGTAAATCAGTTCTGAAAATTTGCCTGATAGCTCCTATTGTTAAGGAGTTAAACAAGAGGGTGGTTACTCTTATAGCCATAGGAATTTAGAAAAATGCCATGCCAGCCAGGCCCTGAACCCTTGACCCACAGGTAACTGTTTCCTTAACTTTAGGGTCTGTCTTAGTTGATTAAGGGGCATCATTTTGATCTTGCAGGTCACAGGAGGAAAAAAGCTCTTCCACTACCCTCTTAGGCTCAGTAGCTGGGGTCTATGAATCAAAATGATAAAGGACAGATTAACAGGAATAAAAACATACATATAACTACATATGGATATACAGGGTTTAACAAATGAATGTGACTTAAGGACACAGTTAGAATTTGGGGCTTATATCCCATCTTAACAAAGGGAATGAAATACAGAGAAGAGTCTTGTTAGACAAAGAAGAAAAGGTTTGGGGCTTCTTGAGGGGGGTAAGTTGTGGGAAAGGGACTAAAAAGGGTACAGTAAATAAGGGTCATTTGTAAGGTTTTTTAAAATGCAAACTAGAGTCTTTTCAGGTGCCAAGAGTTGTCTTCAGAGTAGTTCTCTTCCTGATACTGGAGAGGGAGACACCTTTACAAATGGAACTTTATGTGCTGTTTTTAGTAAGATGGGGAAGGACAGGGAGATTTTTTTCTGTGTCTGCTTTTTCTTAAATGCTTTCAGCTGAAAATAGTTCTTATGCTATAGTGGCATATTTTTGGATGGTATATTCTTGTCCCCTTCCATGAGGAAATGAGTTTTGAGGTGACTGATAATACTACACCAGACTTTATAAGGGCCGTATTTGGACCTGCAATGAGTTCTGTCCTATTTGAACTCAGAACATTAATTTTCTTTTGCTGTTTTTCACTTAAAAATATTCTAATTTCAAGGCAGTTTTATAGTGTGTGCAATATAGTACTGTAGTACTGCATGTATATATTTTATATGTAGTTGCATGTATTTGGGGTACATGAGAGCTTTTCTGTTCTTTGCTTTTGTTTTCACTGGTGAGTGCCTTCATAAAATGTCTAGTGGCCACTGGTCTGTGAACTTATTTGTGTTTATTAATGTACAAATAATGTCCTAACCTTTTATTTAAGTGTTCATGTGTATTTCTGTATAATTTGTATATTTCAGTGGAGGGTGGTCTTTCCAACTTCATGTGTGTTCTTTGAAGCAAAAATTCCTCTTGGTATCTGACAGGTATCTAAGCTTATATTGTATGCACGATAGGCACAAAATAAATATTCATTAATGAATTTCAAAAATCATATATAAAAGGAAGTTGTTGATTTTCATCGTTTACTCCAGAAATTTTTATGGATTCATTACATAGCAGTTAGAAATGGTGATGGTAGATTGAGTAGATAAGTTAGAAATTGACATATTGAGAAGTAATAGGTGACACCCACAAAAGAAAAAGAAGAGTGAATATGTATGGCTTATTGAGATTATTTATTATGGGGCCACACAGCTTGATGGAGCTTGGTAACCCCTAGCTTAGGGCATTATTATATTGAAGCAAAGGACAGTGATAGATGATTTCCAGTAATGACACTGTCTTTACTTTGATCTTGGACAAGCCATTTAATCTTTCTGGTCCTCAGTTTCCTCTTTCATAAAACGAAATGACAGGGCTAGAAAGCTTTTGATGTCTTTTAAAAATTTGAAATTCTACATGTACTCCGATTATCTGAGGCAGTCACCTTACCAAGTCACTTAGATTCGCTATATTCTCTATAATAAGAAAGGTAAACACGTTGTGGAAACATTTTTATTAGAATGCTTACTCTTTTTTCTTTTCTTTTCTTTCTTTTTTTATTTTTTTTGACCAAAAATGATTTGGGATGTAGTTCAGTTTTTTGACATTAAAAGGGCAAATTTGGATGAATAGGTGAAAGGTATATGAATTAAAGTTTTATAATAATAACATATGGCATTTGTGATTAAACAGGAAGTGTTAAAGTAATGAACTCCCTACATCTGATGAAATGAAGCAGAAGCCACATGATCACTTATCAGGGATATTGTAGAAAATATTGACCAGTTGGGTAAAAATCCATTCAAACAGGCAACCTTCCTATCCAAGAGAAACTCCCCTAATGTTGGGGAACTCTTTGAGGTTACATAAAGCAAGTTAGGCAGGTAGTTAGGGAGGTACTCTTTATGACATCTGTCCCCTTAGATTAGTCTTAATCTTGGGATGATGCCTTCTAAGGAGCTTGTCAGGATGCAGCCTTCCCACAGCTGCTGGGGAACTCTTTCCTCTTGCTCTGTTTTGGTGTCAGGCTTTGAGAGTTTCTTCTTTTTTTTCTTAATGTCTTATCCAACAAAAGTAGTTATTTACAATTCGGAGTATTTTCTTTCACAGGTTTTTCTATGCATGTACCCTCTTTATAAAAATTGGACATAGTTTACATCCTGTTCTATAACTTGCTACTTTCGTGTAACCATATATTGTGGACACATTTCCTTGTCAGCACTTGTAGATCTCTATAATTCTCAGTTTATAAAGTACTTACTGCGTGGCAGCACTTTTAAAGTGCTTTCACATATTAACATTTAACCCTCACGACAACCTCATGAGGTAGGAAATTCTATTACAGGTAAAGACGCTGAAGCAGAGAGAGGTTAAGTAATTCCCCTATGGTTATATAGTTAGTAAATAGCAGAGCCAGTGTTAGAACCCAGGCAGCCTGGCTTAAGTCTGGGTGCTAACTATTTTACTACCCTGCTTCTCAAATGACCGTAAGGTTCCTTTTTGTGCCTATGCCGTGATTCATGTTAGCTACTCCTCGTGGTTGTACTTTTAGTTCTCTCCTGTTTCCTTTTTGCTGCTACAATGTGCCAGGCATACTCTAAGCCTGGTAGCATGCTTGTGGACTAAAATACGCCAAAATCCCCATCTTTATGACATTCATGCTCTGGAGGAAGGAGGTGGTTGGAGACAGACTATTAAAAGGTTAAATAAGAAAATTACATTGGCCTGGCACAGTGGCTCATGCCTGTAATCCCAGCACTTTGGGATGCCGAGATGGACAGATCACTTGAGCTCAGGAGTTTGAGACCAGGCTGGGCAAAACCCTGTGTCTAAAAAACAAAAACAACAAAAATCAAAAAGTATCTGGGGCATGGTGGCGTGTGCCTGTAGTCCTAGCTACTTGGGAGGCTGAGGCAGGAGAATCACTTGAACCTGGGAGGTGGAGGTTTCAGTGAGCTGAGATGGAGCCACACCCTGAAAAAAAAAGAAAGAAAGAGAAAGAAAAGAAAAGAAAGAAAGAAGCCAGACCCGAAAAGAAAGAAAGATAGATAGATGGAGCCCGACCCGAAAAAAAAGGAAGAAAGGAAGAAAGAGAAAGAAAGAAAAGAAAGGAAGAAAGAAAGAGAAAGAAAAGAAAGAAAGGAAAGAAAAGAAAGAAGGAAGGAAGGAAAGAAAAAGAAAAGAAAGAAAGAAAGAAAGAGATTACATGGTAGAGGAACAGGTGAGAAGTACTGTGAAAAAGAAATAGGCCAGGTGTGGTGGCTCATGTCTGTAATCCCAGCACTTTGGGAGGCCGAGGCGGGCAGATCACTTGATGTCAGGGGTTTGAGACCAGCCTGGCCAACATGGTAAAACCCCGTCTCTACTAAAAATACAAAAATTAGCTGGGTGTGGTGGCACGTGCCTGTAATCCCAGCTACTCGGGAGGCTGAGGCAGGGAATTGCTTGAACCCGGGAGGTGGAGGTTGCAGTGAGCTGAGATCACACCACTGCACTCCAGCTGGGGCTAAGAAGCAAGACTCCGTCTCAAAAAAAAAAAAAAAAAAGAGAGAAGGAGAAATAAAGCAGGGAAGCAGCCAGTGGTGTTGCTGTGGAGTATAAGAGTTTTAAGCAGATGAGAGGGCGATGTGAGCAAAGTTGAGGCAGATGAAGGAAAGTGAGCCATGTGGACATCTGGGCCAAGAATGTATCAGTGGAGAAACAGCAAGTGCCATGGCTTAATGTCAAGTGCATGCATGACTTTTTTTCAGGAACACTCAGAAGGCCTCTGTGGCTGAAACAGAGTGAATGAGGAAAGAGTAGGAGAAGATAAGGGAAGGAACGCAGAAGGGAGGACTGCCCAGGTAGTTAGAGCTTCGTAGGCCATTCTTATGAACTATTAGTCCTTGTGAGATGATGATATATGAAACGATTTTCAGGAGAAGAGTACCATGTTCTGGCTTCTGTTTTAAAATGACCACTGCTGTGTTGAGACCAAAGTCTAAGGGAATGAAGATGGAAGGCAGCAGGGAAAAAGTGTTACTGGCTTAGACCATGGTGGTAGCTGTGGGGATGGTGATAAGTGGCTTAAACCTGGACATATTTCTGAGGTATGTTGAAACATGGTATATTTCTGAGTGGGATTTGCTGATGGATTGAGTGTGAGAGAAGTTAAGAGTAATTCTAAGAGTTATGGGAAGAACTGGAAGGATGGACTTGCTGTTGACTGAGATTAACTTGCACAAATGACTTGATGCTGAATTTTTAAATCAAAGAACAAACTTACGGCCTTTAGTACTTTAGATACAGCTTTTAAGTCACTAGCCTGAGAAGCTAGGTAGTATATATGCTTCATTATCTTGAAGGATTGGAGTTTCAGTTGTAGAGAAGTGGAAACATGTGTCATAGAGACAAGCTGTCTATCAGGTGACATAAATAGGCGTTGACAGTAATTTTCAGGGTATGAAAGGTTCAGTTTGGCAGGTTCAGGAATTTGATTTTTTAGGTTTACCTAGAGTTAAATGGGCCCAGGCACAGAACTCATAAGTAACCAGTCTCATCCATTCAGTTTGTCATGGAGCCCCATCAGACCATAGCCAACAGCAGCCAGCCTCCCAGGATGACAAGATCTCTCCCCTTACCTTGCTGCCAGGACATCTGGTGAAAGATTTCCAGGGAGGATGACCTGTAGCAGCCAGCCTGGTAGGACTCAGAAGCATCATCTTCTCTCTTTTTTTAAACATTATTTTTTAATTAAAAAAATTTTTTTGAGATGGAGTCTTGCTCTGCTCCCCAGGCTGGAGTGTAGTGGCACAGTCGAAGCTCACTGCAGCCTCGACCTTCTGGGCTCAAACTCTCCTTGCACCTCAGCCTCCTGAGTACCTGGGACTACAGGTGTGTACCATCTTGCCTGGCTATGAGAACCATCTCCTTTTCCTTTTCTTTTTTTCTTTTTCTTTTCTTTCTTTCTTTTTTTTTTTTTTTTTTTTTTGTTGTTGTTGAGACAGGGTCTCACTCTGTCACCCAGGCTGGAGTGCAGTGGCACCATTTTGCTCAGTGCAACCTCTGCCTCCGGGGTTCAAGCGATTCTCCTGCCTCAGCCTTCTGAGTAGCTGGGATTGCAGCTGTGCACCATGACACCTGGCTATTTTTTTTTTTTTTTTGGTATTTTTAGTAGAGATCGGGTTTCATCATGTTGGCCAAGCTGGTCTCAAATTCCTGACCTCAAGTGATCTGCCCGCCTCTGCCTCCCAAAGTGCTAGGATTACAGGCGTGAGCCACTATGCCTGGCTGACAAGTATCTTCTTACAAGTCTAAGGAATCATTCCCGTTGTCTGCACTTGGTTCACTTTGGAGCCATAAGGCTAGTTAAGCCCCTCTGATGCGTGTTTTATTTTTACTGTACTTCTCATTCATTACTCATTGTGCGAGCACCACAGTCACCATTTTCTAATTTCTGCAGGTACCACCTTTGACTTTTCTCCATCGTTTACTTTTCCGCCCTTCATTTTTCCCATGTAGTTTCTTTTTCAAACTTTTTGTATGTGTCTCATTGAATTTCTCTTTCTATAATGAACCAAGTTTTTAAAGACCCTTAACCTCTTCACAGAAGTCTGTATACGTATCCTCATTTCTTCCCCTTAAAATAAAGCTACAAAACATTTAAACTAATCTTTCACAGACCCTTGTTGCCCTTGTAAAGCAGATGGAAACACAGTAACAGGTGGCACTGTAGGCTGGGGAGGACTCTTAGTCTCAGCTGCCCAGCCGCCCCAGTGCCCCTGACCTTCTCCCTCAGGGACCTCAGTGGGAGTCAGGGTGATGGAGTCATGCTTTCAGGGAAAACCACTTCTCCTGCATAACGTTGGTATCCTTGGGTCTCTTGATAAAGGTGCATGATGACTGTCCCACAGCTACTTGCAGCTGTCCTTGCCATCTCCACATCTCTGTTCTTCCATTCTTCCCTTTTACATGAAAACTTGGCTTCTAAAGCATATTTCTTCCTTCTCGCTCTAAACTGTGAACTTTAGATCAGTGACTATCTTTGTGTCTTTATTTTTCCTTGTGTCTGGCATGTGATACATGAACAAATTGTAGAATGAAAACATGAAATGCTTGTGAACAAAAGTTCTCTGAAAAAGGGATTTGGAGGAAACAGACTTTATTCCAGTGCACCATGACACCCGGCTATTTGAAGCCTTTAGTGTAAAACAAAGGTGCATTCTAGAGAATGAAGAGGAGGCTTGAGTTGTATAACAAAAGTTCCCACCCAGGTTTCCAATCAGGTCCATTTGTGCAAATGAAGGATTGAAACTTGCTTAGTTTTGATTGGCCAACACAGCTGAGTTCTGATTGTTGAATGCAATAAGGTTTTTGAAATATGGTATTCATGGAATCTGGAGATCTTGGGTGCTCCTGCCAGCTCCAGCACTAACTATGGAAACTGTGGGACTTTAGGCCTCAATCATTGCCTCTTCTTAAATCTTAATCTTCTCATCTGTGAAGTAAGGGAATGATATTTTGTCATCTTTAAGTATTTTTTATTATGCTATGAATTTTAAGATTTTGTACAGGCCGGGCATGGTGGCTCATGCCTGTAATCCCAGCACTTTGGGAGGCTGAGGTGGGTGGATCCCTTGAGGTCAGGAGTTTGAGACCAGGCTGGCCAACATGGTGAAACCCCGTCTCTACTAAAAATACAAAAATTTGCCAGGTGTGGTGGTGCATGCCTGTAGTGCCAACTACTCAGGAGGCTGAGGCAGGAGAATCAATTGAACCTGGGAGATAGAGGTTGCAGGGAGCTGAGATTATGCCACTGCACTCCAACCTGGGCATCAGAGCGAGACTCTGTCTTGAAAAAAAAAAAAAAAAGAAAGAAAGAAAAAGATTTTGTACAAATTGTTTCTTCCATTTGGTTTTTGGAAGACAAGAGGGAAAAGCTTCTTTATGTTTTCTATATTACTCAAGTTAATGCTCTAGAAAAGGGTACCTCTCTTTATTTAGAAATATGTTTCAAGAAAAAATGACCCATTATATTAAATTTATATTGTTTTTATATTAGCATTTCAAGGCTATCTGAAGTGAAGAAATGGAAATTAATACTATTTTAAATTTTCTTCAGGTATTATTCTTATCACCATTCATATTTTGCAGGATAAAAGCTTTTAAAAATATGTCTGTGCTGGGTACATTTTTAAAGGAAATTTTTTTAAGGCTTTTATTAACCTGAACAAAGCTAACCAGACAAAAAGAACAAGCTGTAAGAAGGTACTGTTGAGAACAAAAATACTGTGTGAATTTGCATTAAAACTTTGCTACTTTATTTGGTGACTTGTAAAGTATGGTGTTAATATTCCATGACAGCTATGATTTCGGCTTAGATTATAGTTCTGGTCTGCCTTAGAATTTTAAAGCCAAATTTAAAAAAATAATGAAATAATTTTTTCCCCAAAGCCAATGTAATTCCACATCATTGCCCAGGCTGGTCTCAAACGCCTTCCTGGGCTCAAGCTATACACCTGCCTAGGCCTCCCAAAGAGCTGGGATAAAGGGGCAAGTTGCTGCACCTCTTTTTTTTTTTTTTTTTTTTTTTTGAGATGGAGTCTCACTGTGTTGCCTGAGCTGGAGTGCAGTGGTGCGATCTTGGCTCACTGCAACCTCCACCTCCCTGGTTCAAGCAATTCCCTGCCTCAGCCTCCTGAGTGGCTGGGATTACAGGTGCATGCCACCATGCCCGGCTAATTTTTTTGTATTTTTAGTAGAGATGGGTTTCACCACGTTGGCCAGACTGGTCTCGAACTCCTGACCTTAGGCAACCCACCCGCCTTGGCCTCCCAAAGTGCTGGGATTTCAGGCGTGAGCCACTGCATCCGACCTTCTCTTTTTTTAAAAAACTAATTTCAACTTTTATTTTAGATTCAGTGGGTACATGTGCAGATTTGTTACATGGGTGTATTAGTTCATTCTCATGCTACAAATAAAGACATACCTGAGACTGGGTAATTTATTAAAAAAAAGAGGTTTAATTGACTCAGTTCTGCATGGCTGGGAAAGCCTCAGGAAACTTACAATCATGGCAGAAGGCACCTCTTTACAGGGGAGCAGGAGGCAGAATGAGAGCTGAGCAAATGGGAAAGCCCCTTATAAACCATCAGATCTCATCAGAACTTACTATCATGAGAACAGCATGAGGGAAACGACTCCTATGATTCAGTTACCTCCCACTGGGCTCCTCCCGTGATATGTGAGTATTATGGGAACTACAATTCAAGATGAGATTTGGGTGGGGACACAGCCAAACCATATCAATGGTATAGTGTGTGAATTACTTAATCATGCACCTCAATTTTTCTTTGAATTTTTTGGTGTTCTTATTCCCTTAAAATAAGCTTTCGCCTATTTCATGTCACGAGAACATTGTCCCTGAGTTGTTATATATTGGCTGTACTGTTTTCAAGTATTCTGCATGACTAATTACATAATGGCTATTACCCTGATTAAGTGCTATGTAAGTGCTAACCACAGTTTTTATTGTCATAGTATCATTGGTTCTTTGTTTTCACCTATTATTTTTGATCCTATAGAAATGTTTGTACACCTCTATAAAACTGTAATGTTTTATATTCAATTGGATTCTCTCACACTTTGACACTGCTGCATCCGCTGTCATCAACTATCACTTTGAAATCTATCCTCACTTATTCTCAGCCAGCCAACTTGCATTTCAGAGATTTGATGGGCATTGCTAGAATCTCAGATTCAGTGTGTCCTATGTTAATTTATTACCTTCTATCCCAGTGCTCAGCTCTGACAACCAGTGGAACAACTATTTCTTTTTTTTTTTTCTCTCTGTTTTCTTAAGCTGTGGATTAGCAAACTATTAGCAAACTATGGCCTGCTGCCTGTTTTTGTAAATAAAGTTTTATTAATGTTAGATGCCCATTCGTGTAAGTATTGTCTATGGCTGCTTTTGCACTAAGGTGGCAGAGTTTAAGAAGTTGCAACAGAGACCTTATGACCAGCAAAGCTGAAAGTTTTGACTTTTGGTCCCTTTATAGAAAAGTTTGCTGACCCCTACTTTAGACTAAAACTTTGGCATTATCTTTGATTCCTCCTTTGGTATTTTTCAAGTATATTCTAGCAAGAGAACTAATCTCCATTTCTGTAATCATCATCATCTTTTTAAAAATCTTCCGGCCGGGGGCGGTGGCTCACGCCTGTAATCCCAGCACTTTGGGAGGCCGAGGCAGGCAGATCACGAGGTCAGGAGATCGAGACCATCCTGGCTAACACGGTGAAACCCCATCTCTACTAAAAATACAAAAAAAATTAGCCGGGCCTGGTGGTGGGCACCTGTAGTCCCAGCTACTCCGGAGGCTGAGGCAGGAGAATGGCAGGAACCCAGGAGGCGGAACTTGGAGTGAGCCAAGACAGCACCATTGCACTCCAGCCTGGGCCACAGAGCGAGACTCTGCCTCAAAAAAAAAAAAAATTTCCTCCACATGCGTTCTGGTTCTCTGATCCTTTTGCCTAGGGTATTAAATTAATTTCCTCACCTCCTGGCTTCTTTTCCCCTTCTATTTAGGGCAAACAGAAGGGGAATGTCGATGTCAAATGTATTGACATTTTACACTATGTCACCAGTGTTATGTTCTCAAAGTTCCACTCTGCCACCAAAACTTAAGAGATTTCCATATTGCCCACAAAATTAGAGACTCTCAACCCTCTTAAGATTCTTTCTACAGTATAAGCCCTCTCATTCTCCCAATTACAGAAATTATTTCTATTAATATAATGAAATACTTTCCTCCTCCTTGTCTTTGTTCATGCTCTAACAACTGCCCTGAGCTTTCTGTGCCTCCATCTCCATTTTTCCTACTCCTGTCTTGCCAATAAAAATCCTCCTAGATTTCCTCATGAAGCTTTTTCCTGTGTTTTCCTTTCTGCATATTCTTTTTGACTTCGTGGTATGTTAGCTATCCATCTCACTGTCACCAAGGACACCTTACTGAATGCTGTGTTTTTAACGTTCTTTTATATTTCAAATATTATAAACCATAAGCTTGTTGAGTGCAAAGCACTTGTCTTCTTCATTACCGTGTTCTCTTAAACACTGAGTGTAATGATGTCTTAGATATGCTTAATAAGAAATTGAATAGCATTTTAGGAAGCAGGCTTTTTGAATTTGGATTTAATTATTAGTCATCTCAATGTCTCTTGGATGTTTGGCAGAAATTCTAGGTGTTATAATGAAAGTTCTTGAAAAACTTGATGTTAACGTCTTTGTATACATGGCTAATGAAAATGGAAAGATTTTTTTGTTTGATAAGGTATTTCACATTTAATACAAGAAAAGTATTTATATGCAATGATGTGCTTGGTACTGATAAAAAGTAAAACCAGGTGGCAGAGCCAGGCAATAATTCTCTTGGATGTGTTATGCAATCTACCAAAGTCAGATTTGTTTTTATTTCGTTAACAAGCTTTTTCAAGATTCCAAGAAGAAAAATTATATCAAAGTGTTCTTAGAAGCTATTGAAATGAAATGCAGGTGCCGTTAAAATAGTATTTTGTACTCTGTCTATTCATTTATTTAATCATTCTCTCTGTACTTCCCAGAAAATTTTGATGTGGCTGTTCATCACAAAGAGCCCAATTTTTTGTTGGCATCTAGTTCTGAATTTGTACTCTTGAAAAAGTTGACAAAGACAAAGAAGTGTGCCAGGTTTAGAGACCTTTTACTTTGTAGTAGTACAGTTTAATGTCACACCGACAGAAACTCAGCTGCTAATACCCTTACCTTTCTCAGTTGGTTTCAGAAACCTAGAGGTTGCTTGTAGTGGTGGGAGGAGGGACCCAATTGGGTACATAACACGCAGTGCCCAAAGACTCAGCAATAAAAGTGAACAAAGCATCAAAACACACTCCAATACCCGTACACATGCAAAAGAATTAAAGACTTGAAAATTTAATTTTAAGATGGGCAAAGGATTTGACTAGTTTCTAGGAGAGGATATAAGTTCTGCTTTGTTCACTACTGTCTTCTAGCACAAAATAAATGTTTGCTATATATATGCATACCCGAGTGAATAATGTCACATCAAAACATATTGCTAGCACCCTCTTGAGTAAAGAAATGCTTAAAAAATAGCCATATATGTATACTTTTGAGCCAGCATTTCTACTTCTTAGTTTTTTTTTTTTTTTTTTTTTGATACACAGTCTTGCTCTGTTGCCCAGGCTAGAATACAGTGGCGCCATCATCATTGGTGGTGCTCACCACAACCTTGAACTCCTGGGGCTTCAGTGCTCCTCCTGGCTCAGCCTCCAGAGTAGCTAGGACTACAGACACGCCCCACCATGCCTGGCTAATTTGTTTATTTTTAGTAGAGACAAGGTCTCGCGATGTTGCCCAGGCTGGTTTCAAACTCCTGGGCTCAAGTGATCCTCCCGCCTTGGCCTCCCAAAGTGTTGGGATTACAGGTGTGAACCACTGCACCCAATTACTTAGAATTTATACTGAGGAAATAATTACACAACAGAGTGGGGATTTCACATCTAGGTTTCTGTAATCCAGAAATACTTTCTCAAATCTTCAAATATGTTTGTATGTACAAAGCACCAGCTTGTTTTCCCATATATGCTTGCATATGTGAGGGATAGTCTTGTGTCTGGAAGTAAGCATATGCAGTCAACTTTAGCATGTCTCTAGGGAGCAGGACTGAGGAGATGGGGGAATTACTAGCACGTAGGGTATTATACCTTTTATTTACTCTTCTCTGTTTCAGTTTTTTTAAAGTATATTTTACTTTTATATTGGTCAAAAGACTAGGAAATAGTCTATTAAGTTTTAGGCATATTTTCATTAACATTTAAAATAAGTAACCTACTTGGAGAGTTAGCTTGCCTATCTGGAAAATGCAGTTTTCAAGAATGATTCATATCCTTGGGAATAAAGTAAAAAATAATGAATTTTTTTGTTTTATAATGAGACGGTAATGAATGGCATTATCAGATTGGACTGCTGTTGTGTTCTTTAATGCTGCGATAAATAGACATATTGTACAGAAGTTTTATTATGTGTTCTTTAACCAGTTGTAAGAAAATCTTGTTTCATGTGAGATAGGCCTGTTATTATTTGGAGAACTAATATGCACTAACAACAGTTTCCAAGAGTATACCCATGAGCAAAGGAATTCACATTGTCTTCTCTTCAATCTTTTAGAAAAGCTCAAGAGGAGAACAAGAAAATCGTACTGGCTGGATGCGTTCCTCAAGCCCAGCCTCGCCAGGACTACCTTAAGGGACTGAGTATCATTGGGGTAAGCTTGTACCTGATGCAAAAAGAGAAAATCTTACATTGTTAACACCTGTAATAGCTCCGCATTTTATTTTCTGTTTGTAGGTTATTTGTAAGCTATGTTACACTTATGGCTGTCCTAAACATATTTTCCTTATTGTCCCTGAAACTGTCATTTCTGTGTAACTTTTTCACCTTAGCACAAAAACATGTGTTAGTTTCTCTCATTAAGAAAGAGCAACACAATAAAAAGCCATAGTGTGGAATTTACATCCCTTAATAACCCGGTCTTTGGCTGTCTGTTACCATCGCTTTCCAAGTCATTACAGTTTTTCCACCTCACTCAGCTACTTGCTTTTCGCCCCCTAGTACATCAATGCCTTTTTTCAAATGCCCCACTTCCCTTATACCTACCACCACAAGTCTCAGCTCCAACATGACAACATTCTGTGAAGCCTTCTCTGCCTACTCCGTGTAGTCCACCATAATTATTCTCTCTAGTTTCTCTTTGCTTACTGTGCAGTTACCTGTCGTATAATTCTTTGAATAAAGCCCACCTGTCTATTTAAATTGTTAGCCTCATGCGAATAGTTTTTCAATCTTTTTTTAAAACTCTCACCATGTTTCTCTAGCCTTTCCTGTGATACCTGGCACATAGTAAGCACTCAATAAGTGTTTGTTGATTGCCTGAAAAAAATCTTCCCGTTGTATTTCTGTTGTTAGCATACTTTTTTTTGGGGGGCGTGGGCAGTCAGCTCTGTGAAGTAAGGAGACTACTGTCTATTCTCTCTCTCTTGTTCTTTGTAGTCAATTACTCTTTGACTGAGTAAAAATGCCCTGAAGTAGCTGATATTCAGTCAATATTTGTTGATCAAATGATGGTGCTTCTTCCTTCCCAACATTCTACTGAAGCTGTAGGTGATAAGCTCAGCAATGTTGTTTGTTTAAAAAGGCTACATTAATTTAAAAAAATATGTAAAAACATCATATGCTCATAGAAGAAGTTTACATAATTAATTGGCATCTGCTTTGAACTTTATGATAGATTTTTCCTTATTTGATATACTACTGACAGGTTCTTGTATCATGTTCTCAGTGTAATGAACTTGTTTTCTGCTGTGAAGTCCTTACCCCACTAGCAAATTTAATAATCTTTGAACAAACATTCTCACTTTCAACAAACAGAACCTGAATGTTTGGTAACTTTAGTTTGTTTTCACCATTTGTCTGTTTACATTTTGATTTTTCTTGGTTTAAGGAATGAAATGAATATGGGACTCCCGAGTTATCTTTTCATGTCAGACTAACTTTCTCTATAAACATAATCCTGCTGTGGTAGGGAAATAGGAAACTAGTTGGAAGTCTTTTTTAGAGATGGAATGTGGTAAAAACTTGGAGTTGATCTTAGATTTCATCTCAAGGAATTACGTTAGAGAATAGCAGAATTTCTCTAGTATGGCAAAAGGCTCTTCTCTGCATACATTTTGGCAACATTTTTTAAAATGCCATTGTGTGCCGGGAAAAGCGTATGTTAGGATGTACAGGAGATTCTCCAGATGCAGTGTAAGGGAGGACACTTAGTGCTATTAATATGAGTTTATTTGCCAATGTCACAGCTTTGTGTCAGTCCAATTTTCAGGGCCGACACAAAGCTGTGACACTGGCAGATAAACATTTTTTTTTCTATTTAATCCCACACCTTTGTTGTTCTGTGGTTAACATTTATTTTCTTTAAACTTCTATTTTAAGTTGAGGGGTACATGTGCAGGTTTGTTATACAGGTTAAACACGCGTCTGTTGTACAGATTATTTTATCACCTAGGTACTAAGCCTTTTACTCATTAGTTATTTTTCCTGATCCTCTGCTTCTTCCCACTCACTACCCTCCAATAGGCCCCAGTGTGGTGTTACCGCCAATGTGTCCATGTATTCTCATCATGTAGCTCCCACTTAAAAATGAGAATGTATGGTATTTGGTTTTCTGCTCCTGTGTTAGTTTGTTAAGGATAATGGCCTCCAGCTCCATCCATAGTCCTACAAAAGACATGCTCTTGTTTTTGTTTTTTTATGGCTGCATAGTATTCCATAGTGTATATGTACCACATTTTCTTTATCCGATATGTCATTGTAGGTTGATTCCATGTCTTTGCTATTGTGAATAGTGCTACAGTGAACATTCACATGCATGTGTTTTTGTGGTAGAATGATTTATATTTCTCTGGGTATATACCCAGTAATTACATTGCTGGGTCAAATGGTAGTTTTGCTTTTAGCTCTCTGAGGAGTTGCCACACTGCTTTCCATAATGGTTGAACTAATTTACACTCCCACCAATAGCATGTAAGTGTTCCCTTTTCTCCACAGTCTTGCCAGCATCTGTTATTTTTTGACATTCTGATAATAGCCATTCTGACTGGCATGAGGTAGTATCTCATTGAGGTTTTGATTTTCATTTCTCTAACAATCAGTGACACTGAGCTTTTTTTCATATGCTTGTTAGCCGCGTGTATGTCTTCTTTTGAAGTGTCTGTTCATGTCCTTTGCCCACTTTTTAATAGGGCTGTTTGTTTTTTCTCTTGTAAATTTGTTTATGTTCCTTATAGATGCTGGATATTAGACCTTTGTCAGATGTATGGTTTGCAAACATTTTCTGCCATTCTGTACATTGTCTGTTTACTCTGTTGAGAGTTTCTTTTGCTGTTTTGTTCTGTCATATAGTCCCATTTTGTTACCACTAGTAGTCTTTAGGTTTATCTTATTTTGTTCATTTACAATTGGAGAAATAAGAACACATTTTGAAGAGTGAGTAGAAATAAAATCTATATTTCTATCGCCATAATGCATTTAAAATTTTGCTTATCTTCTTCAGACTTAACCTTTGCATCTTTTACTTAATTGTAATCTCAAACCTATTTTGTATTCTTATTTTTTGATGTTCTTTCATGAGTTTTTTAACCATTTTAAGTGTGGCATTAGTGTTCTATTGAAGGATATAACGTACTTTACCTATTTCTTAATTATTGTATTTAAGAATTTTCTAGTTTTTAGGAAATATGCATAATACATTAATGCTCTCGCTGGTCTTTTAAATTTTTTAAATTTGAAATTAGTATATTTTGAAAAGTTTCTGAAAGTGGGGTCACACTATCATTAACATTTCAGAGGTGTAATTTAATTATATGTTTACCAGCATTACATATTATTAAAGTATAAGATTATTATTTGTTAATATCATTTTGTAGAGCATTTTTTTCTGTGGCAGGTATATTACATTTTATTTATCATCACTGACTTTTTATATATGAAAATTATGTCCACATAACTAAAAATTTTGAAAACAAATTACAAATTAGGAAACAAAATTATCTAAGTTTTACCTTTAGAGAGACCTACTTTTGAATAGAACTGTTGTATAGAATTGCTATAAAACTAGAAACCTTCTCAAATATAGTGAGTTACAGTGAAATAAAGAAATGAATTATATTTTATACAAAGAGAAAACAGTTCTGAAGTCCAAAAAGAATAGATGTTTAAATTCAGTGACTTGGGAAACTATTTTTAGCAGGAAGTTTAGAATTGTATTGCACGATTGAGTAAAGAATGCTATTCCTTCACAAAATTTCTATGATGGGAGGATGTTAATAGAGTTGGAAGGAAGAACAACTGTAACTGCATTCTTTGCTTTTATCTTCTGCTAGCCTTTATCTGTGTCACCTTACAGTACAGGAAGAATGTGTCAATTCTGTTGACCAGGCGATTAAAATAAAAAACTTCCATGAGGTGGGGATCATTGGGTGAGCAAGCTGCTTATTGTACATCTGAGTTAAAGGACTTTTATTGTACTTACCCATGTTTGAAAGTGCTCATAGCATAGGCATTTAAGAAGATATTAATAGATAAAGAGAGAAATTACTACCATCATAACATGCTGGTTTCCATCAATATAAGCCTGTAGGAATGGGGCATTTAGTTTAGTAATCAGAACAAGGCAGTGTGGTGAGAACACATGGTAAGCAATTTTTTGACCTCTGGGCCTTTTATTATCATCTGTCCCACTCTCTCCTGAAATCACCTAGTTGTGATTAATATTATTTGTGTGATGGTGCATGGAAAGAAAATAACAACATTGAAACCAGAAATAAAGCCTGCCATCCTCTGAGTCCAGATCCTCTGGCTTTGGTGGCTGTAACCTCTGCACTTCTCCCATCTTGGAGCAAAAATCTGTGCACAAACCTGTCTAATTTCTTCACAATGGAAGCGGAGAGAGAACAGATTTGAAAACATGTATGTCTTGAATAAAAAGTTTTAGCCAAAATCTTTTTCACAAGATATGAAACTATCTTAGCATGAAGTGAAGTTTAAATTTTGTATCTAGATGATGTATATTTATGAGTGACCAGTATAGAATCAGGATCTTTTTGTCTCTTTTTAGGATCTTGAAACATTTTACCTTACAGTTAAAAATTCCCTTTCTCTTTTAACAAATAGTTATAGTTAATCATCTACCTTAGAGTTTTCATGCAATGCCATTTTTATTACTGCTATTTGTTTATGTCATTTATGTTAGCTGTAGATAGTTTCATATCTTGTGAATATATCTGTTTGAATGTTTCTGTTTTTCTTTTAGGCTAATTTGTTGGCAGAAAGTTTCTTTTAGATTAGTTAACCAGAACATAGGATGTTCTCTTAACATTTGCAGTAAAAAAAGAGTAGTAGACTTCAGGCTTCAGAAAGCCTAGCTTCAAATCCTAGACCCACCATATCATTATTTATTTGGTTCAGCAAGTACTTACTGAGTGCCTACTGTGTGCTTGGTGTACTGTTCCTTGCACAGTACTATGCAAGTGCTGGGAATGCAGCAGTATATAAAATCGTCCCAGATCCCTGTCCTCACTGAGCTTACGTTCTGGTTCTTAGGGAGAGAATTCTGGTTTGAGTCCAGAACTTCTCCAGCTTCCTGGAGAATCTAGTGAGATGGGTCCCTAGACCACAGTGAGATCAATTAGTTGGGAATTTCTCTTTAAGGCTCAGATGGAAATGCCCTTGGTGTCTGCTGGTTGTGAGTTGTGTTAGGGAGAGATGAGTGAAACAATATTTATTTGCTGAGTTCTTCTTCCTAAGGTAGTGTTATTTATCAGTTATTACAGTATCCATTATTAACAGGAACAACATTTATTAGGAAGTTAGGCTCTCACTCTATTACTAGAAAGTGTGTTTATGAAATTGTGTGCTTTGTGTAGTTTTTCTGTGTTATTAACAAGGACCACATTTGAAGTTGGTCTTGGTGTTAATTCATTGGACTGATCATTGTAACTAATTATAGCTCTAGAAATTCTAAATAAACTGCAAATTAATAGACACGTTGTAAAATGTTAAGACATGCAATTCACAACGGAATATACAATTTGATATTGAAAATTTGTAAATGACAAGGCTTCCTCATGTGCCAGCTGTGAGCCCTGCAGGCAGGTGAACATTTTCTTTGGAGAGCTGAACAGAAATGTGGTTTAACACAGGTGTCCACTTATCTCAGGGACTATTAGCAGGTTGATTTGCAGTGGTTAAACATCTTTTCAGGCAGGCTGCTCTAATCTCGAAAAGTGAAACAGGATTGACTTTTGACTATTTCAAATGCGAGCACTTTAATTTTGAAAATTATGTGTACAGTTAAAGCTGCATTTGAACGGCTAAATTTGAGAATATTTCTATCGTACACCATGTTGCAAAAGGTAAACAAATTCACAAAGTGGAGCAGTGTCACAGTAACAGTGGGATCAGTATTGAGGGCAAGGCTTGAGGAACGCTCTCCTTCTCCTGTTTGCCCCTACTTCGAACATTTCTTCTTGCCATGTTCTATTTTTTTTTAACTTCCGTTGTCTAAAAGGTAGTATTGTGAGAGAATGACATGTAAATTTAAACACCCATTTATGTTTTTCCCTTCCTTGACCTGTTGGTTTCACTTTTTTTGGCATCTTCTAATCTCACCTGTATTCATATATGTTTCACCTATTGAATGATTAAAATGTAGTATATCATAGTGATTAAGAGTATGGATTCAGGAACTAGATTGCGTGGGTTCAAATTGCTGATCTCAAATTCTCGGCTAATACTAACAATAGCTGATGAGCTAAAAAAAAATCGCCAAAAAAAATCTAATAATGTTTTAAGAAAGTTTATTAGTTTGCGTTGGGCCACATTCAAAGCTGTCCTGGGCCACGTGGGGCCCAGAGGCCATGGGTTGGACAAGTCTGATGTGTAAAATTGTTTATTAATTGGTATTTTACATCTCTAATGTGTATTTGTTTTAGTTATAATATTACTCTGTGTTTAACTTTGGTATCACTTTTTAAATTATCTTTTAATTTGCAACATGTTCTGTTATTTAATAGGAGTATTCTGATGTCCCAAACACTGTTTCTGTGTGTGATTGAGCTTAGCCTGTTGAATTTTGTTTTTATTGCTGAAGGGGTTTTGTGCCTCCTTTACCCCTCCCCGCTACAGAAAGTTTAATCGGTATTTTAGTTGCATTTAAGAGGAAGAGAGGTTCCTGGTACCAATCCTCATTTTACTGGCACCCTTCTAGCCTGGCTTCATCTTTCAGTTAGTTATTTTTATCTCTAACTCAGTATTAGTCACTCACTGGTACTACCATTCAGGTGAAATATGCCTTCAGTGTTATGAGGAATGTACTGTCATGTAACTTCTGTTGAAAGGGCTATTTCTACCTTTGGGGAAGAATCTTTTTGAATGAAGAGATTAAAGATGAAAATATACTGGGAGATGAGTATTAAAGTTAAATCACACATAACATCAAATGCTGTTTTGTGTTACACAGCAAAGTTGCTCACGGGCTTGTGAGTTCAAGAAAAATCTTCTCATAGCGTTGAAACACATTAAGCTAGCTTAGTGACTGCTGTCAGCTTCCCCACATTTAAGGGATTTGGAAATTGAGCCCTCCTCCATTACTATGTAAGGTAGGGACTTGGCTTAATAGAGAAGTTAATATTGAACTTTGACTTGTCAGATGCTGATTATTCAATCAAACTTCGTTATGGTAAAGGGGAAACATCTGAACATATATTTGATGGAAAAGACTTTATATGTATAGTTCTTAATGGAGATGGAAATAAGGGCATTTCTTTCCTTTTTTATTGTATATATTTAAGGTGTACAATGTTTTTATATATACATAGTGAAATGATTACTAGAGTCAAGCAAAATAACTTATCCATCTCCTTCTGTAGTTACTTTTTATGTTTGTGTGTAGTAAGAGCACCTAATATCTACTCTTAGCAGATTTTCAGTATACAATATTAAATATAGCCCTGATGATGTAATTAGATCTCTAGACTTGTCCTACATAACTGCAACTTTGTACCCTTTGATCTACTTCACATTTTTCTCCCCCTCCCCACCCCGGTAATCCCCAGGCTACTCCCTGTTTCTCTGTATTTGACTTGTTTTAAGTAAAGCTTTTACACACAATTGAAATCATGCATTTTTTTTTCCCAGTGTCTGGCTTAGTTTACTTAGCATAATGTCCTCCAGGTTCATCAGTGTTGTCACAAATGACTGGATATCCTTTTAAAAATGTTGAATAATATTCCATTACTTAAATATACCACAATTATTTTATTCATTCATCCATCGATGGATACTTAGGTTGTTTTCACATCTTGGTTATTGTGTATAATGCTGCATTGAACTTGAGAGCACAGATATCTCTACAGAGTGCTGATTTCATTTCCTTTGGATATATAAGGATTGCTGGATCATATGGTAGTTCTATTTTTAAGTCTTTGAGGAATCTTCATACTGTTTTCCATAACGGCTGTACCAGTTTACTTTCCTACCAACAGTGCATAACGGTTCTCTCTTCTCTACTTCCTCGCTGACACTCGTTATTTATTGTCTCTTTGGCATGGCCATCCTCAGTGAGGTGATAGCTCATGGTGGTTTTGATTTGTCTTTCCCTAATCATTATGATGTTGACCACATTTTTATATATGTTTTCATTGGCTATTTGTATGTTTCCTTTGGAAAAATGTCTATTCAGGTCCTTTGCCCATTTTTAAATAAGGTTATTTAATTATTTTGCCATTAAGTTATATGAATTCCTTGTATATTTTGGACATGAACCCCTTATCAGGTATATGGTTTGCAAATATTTTCTCCCAATCCATAGGCTGCCTTTTCATTCAGTTGATTGCTTCCCTTGCTGTGCAGAATCATTTTAGCTTGATGTAGTCCCATTTGTTTATTTTTGCTTTTTGTTGCCTGAGCTTTTGGTGTGATATCCAAAAAATCAGTGCCAAGGCCAATGTCAAAGATCTTTTTCCCTATGTTTAAGGAGAGAGAGTTTTCTCCCAGGAATTTCACAGTGTCAGGTCTTACATTTAGACCTATAATCTGGAGCTGATTTTTATGTATGGTGTAGTATACAGATTCAATGCAGTTTCTATCAAAATTCCAATGACATTGTTTGCAAATATAGAAAAACAGTTCTAAAATTTGTGTGAAACCACAGGAGACTCTGAATAGCCAAAACAGTCTTGAAAAGGAAAAAGTTGGAGACATAACACTTTGTGGTTTAAAATTACAGTCTAAAGCCATTGTGGCTAGCAGTGGTTTGTGCCTGTAATTGCCGCAACTCAAGAGGCTGAAGTGAGAGGATCTCTTGAGGCCGAGAATTTGAGATCAGCCTGGGCAACATACTGAAACCTTGTCTCTAAAATAATAATAATGATAATAATAACAATAACAAAAATTAGCCTGGCATGATGGCATACTCCTGTAGTTCCAGCTACTTGGGAGGCTGAGGCAGGAGGGTTGCTTGAGTCGAGGAGTTCCAGGCTGTGGCGAGTTCCAGGCTGTGGTGAGTTCCAGGCTGTGGCGAGTTGTTGTGATTGTGCCACTGCACTCCAGCTCCAGCTTGGGAAAGAGAGCAAGACTCTGTTTCTGGAAAAAAAAAAAAAAAAAAAAAAAAAAAAAAAAAAAAAAAAGCTATAGTAATCAAAACAGTATGGTACTGGCATAAAAATAGACACATAGACGAATGGGAACAGAATAGAGAGCCTAGAGATAAAGCCAAGCATACCAAGGATATGCACTCAACTGAAGTTTTTTCAACAAGCCCACCAAGAAGACACACTGGGGAAAGGATAGTCTCTTTATGGTGTTGGGAATGAAACTGGACCTAGATATCACTTTTTCCTTTTACAGATCAGTGGAGTTTTCAGGTAGTTTTAAAGTTTTGGTTGTGGTATTTTTTAATTGGAATTAAAATGACATTGTCTTTTTATTTATTTATATACAATCAAAATTAAGACAGCTAATAAGAAAGTACTTTGCATGTATGTGTATATATATATGTATATGTATGTGTATATATATGTATGTGTGTGTATATATATATATAAAATGTATTCACTTCTTTTACTCCTGAAAGGATTTGAGGTATCTTGGGATAAAATCAAGAGATAGTAAAACCCCAGCCAGATTCATGCAGTCTTAATAAGAGTCATACCAACTAATAGAGAAATATGGACAAAGAGCACTGTTTCACATTTTTAATATAATTAGCCTGAGCAATGTTGTTAATATTATTCTATTAACCCTCCAGTGGCTTTCATTTGCAAATAGAATAAAATTTAAACCACATAGCATGAACTGCTGAACTGCAAGATCTCACATACTCTTTCTCCCATCATTATGTGACCTCATCTCTTACCACTGTGTCCCTAATTGCTGTCCCTCTTTTGACCACACAACCCATTTATGTTATTTCAGCCTCTCAGTCCTTGTGCTTACTCTTCTGCCGGAGGTTCGCATTGATGCCTCTGTCAGTGGTTCGGGTCCCTGGACTGATGCTACCTATTCAGTAAGTTTAACTGGACTGCTGTAGAAAAATTTTGCTCTCTACCTCCTACCACTAATCCCAGATTTTCTTTTTTTTCTTTTCTTTTTTTTTTTGAGATGGAGTCTCACTCCATCCCCCAGGCTAGAGTGCAGTGGCACGATCTCGGCTCACTGCAAGCTCCGCCTCCTGGGTTCACGCCATTCTCCTGCCTCAGCCTCCCAAGTAGCTGGGACTACAGGTGCCCGCCACCAAGCCTGGCTATTTTTTTGTATTTTTAGTAGAGATGGGGTCTCACTGTGTTAGCCAAGAGGGTCTCGATCTTCTGACCTCGTGATCTGCCCACCTCGGCCTCCCAAAGTGCTGGGATTAGAGGTGTGAGCCACCACGCCCAGCCCCAGATTTTCTTTTTCTTTTCCTTTTTTGTTTTTTTTTAAATAAAGACGGGGTCTCGCCATGTTGTCCAGGGTGGTTTCAAACTCCTAGGCTCAAACAATCTTCCCGCCTCAGCCTCCCAGAGTGCTGTGATTATAGGCATGAACCACCACACCTGGCCCCAGATTTTAATTTCTTCATAGTGTCTGTCATTGTAGCAAATGAAAATTTTCCATTATTTGCAGTTTCTTTCCCCTAATTAGACTATAAGGTCCATGAAGCAGGGATGTTGTATTTTTTGTTTGTTTGAGACAAGGTTTCGCCCTGTCACTCTGGCTAAGTGGAATGATGTGATCACGGCACACTGCAGCCTCCCAAGTAGCTGGGACTGCAGGCACATGCCACCACACATGGCTAATTTTTTGTTTCTGTAAAGATGGTGTCTCTAGTTTTCCAGGCTGGTCTCAAACTCCTGGGCTCAAGTGATTCTCCCTCCTCACCCTCCCAAAGTAGGGACATTGTATTTTTCACTGTTATGTCCCCAGTTACTAGAACTTTGTAGTTCATAGTTAGTGTTTAACAAATATTTTTCAAATGAATGTATTTATGCCAATGGTGATTTGTGGGGGAGAGTTTGGAGAAAATAGTTGTCTGAGTCTCTTGAAAGTTCACGTTCAGTTGAAGGGCATTTTATGATCATTTAATAATAACCTCCATGTGCATAGGAGAAGGGAGATTCATCAAGTGGACCACCTATCTGCCATTCCTGGACAAGATGTACTAGGAATCATTGGCAAAAATCTATCTTGATATCCTTGTGCCTCAAATCTCTCAGCCTCAGAAATAACAGTACTATCAGCCAGGCGTGGTGACTCATGCCTGTAATCCCAGCACTTTGGGAGGCCGAGGCGGGCAGATCACTTGAGGTCAGGAGTTCGGGATCAGTCTGGCCAACATGGTGAAACCCTATCTCTGCTAAAAATACAAAAATTAGCCGGGTGTGGTGGCAGGCACCTGTAATCCCAGCTACTCAGGAGGCTGAGGCAGGAGAATCGCTTGAACCCAGGAAGCGGAGGTTGCAGTGAGCCGAGATTACACCACTGCACTCCAGGCTGAGCAACAGAGTGAAAAAAAAAAAAAAAAAAAAAAAAAAAAAAAAAAGAAGTAACAGTACTGTCTCCTCCTCCCTAGTAGTGTTTGAGGATTAAGTGTGATAATGCACGTGAAGTGTCAGTGTAGAGCATGAAACAGAGTAATTGTTCAAGAAATGTTAGCTGTCACTGTGTTATTCCTAGTCATTAACTTATCTAGCTGCTGGTTTTTCAGGAAAAATGATACTTCAAGTGCATACTAAAACAGAACCTTCGACTGCAGAGTAGTGTCAGCTTGTTCTCCGACGGCTTCAAATGAGTGGACTTTTTTTTTTAAAGCCTAGTTGGCAAAATTGTGTTTGAGATGTATGTTCATTTCCTAAGGCTGCCATAACAAATTACTGTAAACTGAGTGGCTCCCTTAGCCATTCCCTAAAGCTGCACTTTTCAGTGTGGCTGCAGTAGCCACATTTGACTATTTAAATATGAATTAAGTTCCTCAGTAACAGTAGCCACATTTGAAGTCTGTAATAACCACATGTGGCTAGTGACTATCATAGTGGATGGCACAGCATATAAACATTTCCATCATTGCAGAAGGTCCTGCTGACAGCACTGCTCTGAGTGATTAGGATACTTTAGAATAGCATTTTTATTTGCTTTGAGTGCCATTGTATAGGCTTGTTTCTTCAATACATGTCTAGTTATAAATTTGGAATAGTTGATAATAGCTGAATAAAATATTTTTGTGGATTTCTTTTTAAAGTTCTGCAGTAGAATGACTCATTAATGTTATTTATGAATTGTTTATACACCAACTCCTTTCTTCATTGTTGAGAACATATGGAGTCAGTAATAAAACATACTGCCTGTCTTTTTTTGTGTGTATTTATAACTAAGTGCCTCAAGGACACAAGATACTGTTTTATTTATTTTATTTGAATTACATGCTAGAGAATAAGCTCTTGTGTATTCAGAGCCTCAATTTATATATTAATTAAGAACAACTTTCCTTTTCTCCCAGAATGAGTTCAATATATTCTTCATTACTGTATGTGAATTTTGAGTTTGTTTTCTTGCTCTCGATTGTTTTTTCTTCTTTCTCTGCCTCCCACCCTTCATTTTTTTTTTCTTCTGATGTTTTCCTCTTCCGCGTAACTCCCCCTCCCCTGACTCTTCTCTCCGTTTCCTCTTGGTCTCCCCTTTTTTCCCTTTTCCCCATTGCTTCCTCCGTTGTCTTCCGTACTGGAAACCAAAATGGACATAATATTATCTTTAAATCATTTAATAAACTTCTCTTCTGTTTGTAATCAAGTACTTACATTTTTTTTTTAAATTTTACAGTTTTGGCAGATCTTTCTTTTTAAGGTCCTGGGGTTCCCACACACCATCCAGTGATTTAAATTATCATGTGTTGGCAATATTCCACTTCCTGCCATAAAAGCAAATGTAATCAAGTACTATTTTAAATTAGAGGATATATTTTCAGCTATATACATTCAAGCAAATTCTGTGTGACCATCAGGGTCTCCATCTTCATCAGGCCATCTTTGTTTCTTCTATGTGCATGCACACATGTACACACACACACAGACACAGACACACTCTTAGACTTTTCATTTTGACGTAGTATCACTCAGAAATGTTGCAAAAATAAAGAGTTCCTATATGCTCTTTACCCAGATTCCCCAAATATTAACATTTTAACACATTTTCTCATTCTTTTTATGTGTACACATTTTCCCCCTGATCCCGATCCTTATGAAAGTGAGTTGCAACCATGATGCCCTTTACTTCTAAATACCCATATATTTAAAAAGCTACGACACACTCTTAAATCACTATAGTACAATTATCAGTATTAATACAATATTATAAACTAGTGTATTAGCTTTATTCAGATATTGCCAATTGTTTCAATACTGTCCTTTATAGGAAATGAAAAGTCTCAGATTCATAGTAGCATTCAGGTCAGGTCTCTTCAGTCTCCTTTAATCTGGATCATTTCCTCAGTTTTTCGTTGACTTTCATGGCCTTGACATTGGAACCTTTGACCACTCCCAACGTTTTTTTTCTTTTTGGTAATAACAACTTTACTGAGATATAATTCACACACTATGCAATTCACCCATTTAAAGTGTACAATTCATTGCATTTTAGTTTATTCATAGAATTGTATGACCATTACCACAATTAATTTTAGAACATTTTCATCATTTCAAAAAAAACGCAGGTACTTCTTAGCAACTGCCTTTCATTCTCCCTCTGCCCATCCAAAGACAATCACTAACTGACATTGTCTCTGTAGATTTTCTTATTTTGGACATTTCCTATTGTGACCTTTTTGTCTAGCTTCTTTCACTTTGCATTTATAGCATGTAACCATACTTCATTCCCTTTTATGGATTAGTAATATGATCAGGCACCACGTAACAAACTTTAATCAATGATGTATATAAGTCAGTGGTCTCTTTAGATTATAATACAGTATTTTTACTGTACCTTTTATATGTTTAGATTCTTACCATTGTGTATCAGCTGCCTGCAGTATTCAGTACAGTAGCAGGCTGTACAGGTTTGTAGCCTAGGAGCAGTAGGCTATATCATATAGCCTAGTTGAGTAGTAGGCTGTACCATCTGGGTTTGTGTAAGTACACTCTGAAGTTCACACAATGAAGCGATGACCTAATAACACGTTTCTCAGAACACATTCTGTCTTAGTGATGCGTTGCTGTATTTCGTTGTATGCATATGCCACATGTTGTTAATCTGAATGGATACTTCCGTTCCCAGTTTTTGCCTATTATGAATAATGCTATTATGAACATTTGTGTACAAGTTTTTTTATGGACATGTTTTCATTTTTCTTGGAGTTATAACTAGGATTGACATTACTAAATTATATGGTAACTGTTTATTTAATCATTTGAGGAACAGGCAGCTTATTTTCCAAAGTGCTGCATCATTTTACTGCATTCCCATCAGCAATGTATGAAGGTTCCAATTTCTCCACATTTTCACCAACACTCGTTATTATCTGTATGTGTGTGTGTGTGTGTGTGTGTGTGTGTGTGTATTTTAAGAGACAGGGTCTCACTCTGTCACCTACGCTGGAGTCCAGTGGTGTGATCATAGGTCACTGTAATTTTGAACTCCTGGGCTCAAGCGGTCTTTCCCCCTTAGCCTCTCAAGTATTTAGGACTACAGGTGAGCACCACTGTGCCCAGCTAATTTTTAAAAATTTTTTGTAGAGACAGGATCTCGCTGTGTTGCCCAAGCTGGGCTCAAACTCCTGGCCTTAAAGTGATCTTCCCATATTGGCCTCCCAAAGTGCTGGGATTACAGGTGTGAGCAACTGCACCTGGCCTGCCTGTCTTTTTGTTGGTAGTCATCCTACTGGGTGTGAAGTAGTATCTCATTGTGTTTTTTCAGTAGTGGTAAACTACACATAAAATACAATTGACCACTGTAACCATTTTTAACTGATGTGGAGTACATTTACATTGTTGTGTAGTCATCACCACTATCCATCTCTAGAATATTTTCATTTTCTCATACTAAAACTCTATACCCATTAAGCAATAGCTCCCTATTCCTACGTTACGGTTCTGATTTGCATTTCCTGGTTGGCTAATGATGTTGAGCATCTTTTCATATATTTATTGGCCATAAGTATATTTTCCTTGGAAAAGTGTCTGTTCAGATTATTTTCCCATTTTTAATTGGGTTGTCTTTTTATTATTGAGTTGTAGAAGTTCTTCATAAATTCTAGATATAAGTTCCTTACCAGATATGTGATTTATAAAAGTTTTCTCTCATTTTCTGTGTTGTCATGTTACTTTGTTGATGTTGTCCTTTGAAGTACCAAATGGTTTGAATTTTGATGATATCCAATTTATTTTTTCTTTTGTTGTTTTTGTTGTTTGTGCTTTGGCATTACATCTAAGAAATCAGTGTCTAATCTAAGGTTCATATAGATTTATGGCTGTGTTTTCTTCTAAGACTTTTATAGTTTTAGCTTACCCTCAACTTTTTAACAGACTGCTTCCTCTGCATGTTCTGACTTTTCTCTAGAAATATGGCTTCTTATTCAGTCCATGTGCTACAAGAGTGGATGCAGTGCTTTTGAGCTTTTATATTTTTAACTGCATAGGAAAACATTTTTCTTTATGGTTTCATCATGGAATTATCTTATATTTTATTCATTTTATTGTCTGTCTTCTATCCTTAATTGATATCTTGGTCATTCACCCACATCCAGTAGGAAATTTGACCAACTCTTTCTTATCCTATTCATGTCTGTATTATCTTTGGCAATCTGAGTGTCTGGATATAATGTCTTGGCAACATTGTCACCTCTCACTTCATCATACATCAGTTCCAGCAGTCATCACCTACACCTTGTTTCAGCAACCTATTCCCATTGCCAGATACTGGACCTTACTATTCTTCAGAAATACTAAATGCCTGTGTCTGTACTCTGGTTATAACTTTCTGTCCTTTTTCTTTTCTCCTTCCTTTTTTTCCCCTTCATTTTTTTCTTTCTCCAACCCCCAGCCACTTCATTTCTTCTTTTCTGGCTCTATTTCTTTCCCTGTTTAACCTATTTGCCAAACTTCGTCTCATCTAAAATGCATAGTTAACTTTCCTTGTTCCATTTTCTTTCTAGTCCATTCCACAAATCTCTTAGTGTTGTTTCATCAGTCCTTTCAACCATCCTGGTATAATTTAGATGCTCAATAATTGATGAGTGAATAAATGGTGGTATTAACAAACCTTGGGTCAGTCTGTTTGTCTGTTTGGCTCCTACTGTAGAACTGCTGGGACTTGAGAAAAATTATAGCTCTACTTGGAGTTATTGTTATAAATTCATGGTCTCATATTTCAACTGGTGTCCCAATATTGTGTGGTGAATTTTATGTGTTCTTAGTCATCACTGTCTCTTGTTGTCTGTAATAGGTATTTGAAAACATTCATTCTGTTATTTTATGATATGCTTTCTAACTCTTAGCAGATGAACTTCTGGTTACTTTACTGAGAAAAATTGAGGGCAACAGGTGGGAATTTGCTTAGATTCTCCCTGACCTCTACAAGAGTACTAGCATCTTTTCCCATGCTTTACCCCTAACCTCTTCTTTCAGGAGACGAAGAGTTGGCCCTTTTCTCACTCTGACTTGTTCTCTATTCATGTTTTAGATTTTGCTCGGTCTACTTCCTGAAGATCATTGCTCCATCACTTGTTTTTCAGTCTACAGCTCCTTTGCCTACTGCCTTTCTCTGCTCAAACTGCAAAAAAAGAAATAAATAGTTACTTGTACGAACCTAAACCAAAATGTAATATATTCAATATTCTCTAGCCATCAAGAGCCTTTCTTCTCCTTCCCTTTCTCCCCAGCTTTTTACTGAGTACAAATTAACTCTCTCTGTTTTCTTACGTATAATTCATTACTACTGAACTCACTGCTTTCCCTAAGTTTGATTCCCGTATTGTTAAATCAAACATATTCATTTTAGTCTGTATACTTATGTCTCTGTAGTATTTGACACTGTTGGTCACTTCCTCCTCTTTGAAATCTTTGTTCTGCTGGCTTCTTCAATCACATTCTGTATGGAAGCCACATGGGCTCTTATAATAAAACCAGGGCCTAATGGTTCCATTGTTTCCTGGTAGATGCATCTCCGGTTGGGTAGGTTTGTTGGGGGCTGAAAACCTAATGTTGTCTGAGATTTACTTACCTTTGGCAGTTTCTCAGTAATTATTGTTGCTGCTGCCATCATGTTGGGCTGAGTGGTCAGACGTAGAATGGAGTTCAGGTCTGCTCTCACAAGCCTTTCCTCATTTTCTGTAAGATACTGAGACCAAAGGAATATTTTTAAGAGAATTACCATTTCCTTCCTTCCTTCCTTCCTTCCTTCCTTCCTTTCTTCCTTCCTTCTCCCCTTCCTTCCTTCCTTCCTTCCTTCCTTCCTTCCTTCCTTCCTTCCTTCCTTCCTTCCTTCCTTCCTTCCCTCCTTCCCTTCCTTCCCTCCTTCCTTCCTTCCTTTCCTTACTGTGTTGCCCAGGCTTGAGTGCAGTGGTGTGATCTCAGCTCACTACAACCTCCACCTCCCATGTTCAAGTTATTATCTTGCCTCAGCCTCCTGAGTAGCTGGGACTAAGGCATGCACCACTACACCTGGCTAATTTTTGTATTTTTAATAGAGATAGGGTTTCACCATGTTGGCCAGGCTGGTCTCGAACTCCTGACCTCAAGTGATCTGCCCCCTCCTAGGCCTCCCAAAATGCTGGAATTATAGGCATGAACCACTGTGGCCAGCCAGCCATTACATTTTTAATAAAGTTTTTTAAACAGGTTCCTCTTGTCTCAGTTGAGTTCATTGCAGAGTTGTATAATAATGAAAGAATAGAAATTTTTTCATCAATAGAGGTATGGATGCATGCATCACATCATGCATCCATACAGAGAGATAGTAAGGTGAATGAAATAGACCTATAGACTGACAATATATAGAAAAAACATCAAGGCACAGGTGTATTTTATACATATGTATAACCCCCTACCAAAGACCCCGGGACCTCACTGTGTTGCCCCAGCTGGTCTTGGTCTATTTTGTATATCTTTTTTATATATTTATTTACACACACACACACACACCCTCTATCATTTGTAAAAGAAGGATAAAACTATAGAACAGACCTATATGTAAATGTTTGATGCCAGAAAATGTCATGGTATCTGCTCATCACACTATTATTAGTGGTTTCATCTGAGGAGTGGAAATACAGCATGAAAGATGTTATGATTTCTTTCAACTGACTTCCATTTTATATTCTATTTTGTTTGACTTTTTTGTGATATTTCTTCTGTAATAAAACAACGGTAATTTAAGGACTTTTAAAGAAGAATCGACTTTGACTTATTCTTTTTTTAGCTTTGTGAATCATAATATTACTTTGCTTTTTTTCATTTTCCTTTTAAACTCTAGCCATGCTTACTCATTCTCAGTGGGTTTCTCCAATCATAATCCTGTTTAATCATAACCCCAGGAGTCATCCTTGGTTCTCTAGGAAGCATTCCTGCATCACTTGGTCTGATTTTATTACCTTTCCTCTGTGTTCCCATGGCAAAGCTTCCTTAGTCTCTGGTGTATAGAACAGAAGCTGTATTATTTGACTTTGTATTTCATGGACCTGAGTACAGTACCCAGCACATGGTAGAAATTCATCAAAAGGGTTTTGAGTATTAAAATAATAAAGATAGAATTTGGAACAGATCTCCTTAATACTAGCATGTTCTTTTTGTGTAGCTTGTCGTTTTATGCCATTTTTTTTCCTGAAGCTCTGTGTGAGAAGACATGTGTTAATTAAACTTAAGTTTCTGTCTCAGGATATGTTGAGTATATGTTGATAGGCTATCCTAAAACAACTCCAGGCAGTTTATTTAAATGCAATATGATATCTTCAGTTATCATTGGAGGACAGGAGAGTGATAATTTCATACTTCATTGAAACACAAAATATTAATATAGGATATTTTTTATAGTGTCTCCAAATACATTAAAGGAAACCTGCATTGATGTGCTTAGAAAATGTGTAACATTGACTCAAGCATAAGGATAAACACAAATTTTGTTTCTTCGTGTAAATTACTTGTGTAATCGTTTTTTTTTTTTTCCAGGTTCAGCAGATAGATCGTGTGGTAGAAGTTGTGGAGGAGACAATTAAAGGTAATCGTTGAAAGTGAGATAAACAGATGTATATATTTTCTGAACTACATAGTAGAAACACCACTCAGGTAACTCTTGCCAGGCACCTTTATAAAAGTTATTGTTTTAGATATAAAATCATAAAATGTTATCCTTGGCTTCATGAATTTGCCAGTCTAATATTGGAGGCAGGCACTCGCTGTATATTTGTTTGGCTTATAAATGAATCAGGCAAAGAGCAATGGCTTACTCCTGTAACCCCAGCAGTTGGGGCTGGGGCTGAGGCTGAGGCTGAGGCTGGAGGATTCCTGAGGCCAGGAGTTCAAGACCAGCCTGGGCAAGATCCTGGGATCTCTGGGGGAGAAAGTCAGCTTGATGCTGTGGTGTGCACCTGTAGTCCCAGCTACTTAGGAAGTTGAAGCTGGAGGATCATTTGGGTCCAGGAGTTCAAGTCTGCAGTAAGCTATAATCATGTAACTGCACTCCAGCCTGAGCAACACAGTGACACCCTGTCTTTAAAGAATAAATGAATCAGGTCATAGTTTTCTTTTTTAAATATTATTTTATTTTTGTGTAAAATGAATTTAGTTTGAATTTCAGATTGAAAGAATTTAATCAATTTTAAGATAAAGAAATTTTCTGGGCACAGTGGTTCATGCCTGTAATCCCAGCACTTTGGGAGACTGAGGTAGTTGGATTGCTTGAGCCCAGGAGTTCGAGACCAGCTTGGGCAACATGGCGAAACCTCATCTCTACAAAAAATAGAAAAATTAGCTGGGTGTGGTGGGGTGCTCATGTAGACCCATCTACTCAGGAGGCTGAGGTGGGAGGATTGCTTGAGGCTGGGAGGTTGAGGCTGCAGTGAACAGTGATTGCACCATTGCACTCCAGCCCAGTTGACAGAGCGAGACCCTATCTCAAAATAAATAAATAAATAATAAGGAATTTTTTATTTGTACATTTTGTTATCACATAATTAGGTTGTTTTGTAAGTACTTTTAACAGTAATAATTTTGATGCTTGTTCAAGGTGTATTTTTTATAGTTACACTAAAAATTACACAAAGAAAGTAGAATTAAGCTTTGCTTATTTTGTTAGCCAACACTCACTGACATAGATTCTTATTGAAGTCACTGTGAAATAAACCATCTTCAACTCTGTGGTATAATTTTAAATTTTTAAAGGCTTTTTCCTATGTTTGATTAGCACAAATGAAAACCAATAATATGATACTGAAATATTAAGTGAATTGAAAGTCTCACTTAAGTACTGTTTTGTTGTAAATGAGAAACTTATATTTTTTAAAAAACCATATAGTCTCCACGTGCCAAACTGGAAATTTTAATGCTGCACTTTTCCTTCTGGGTGGTGTCTACTACTTTCCACATGCTTCTATTCATTAATTTTGAATCATTGCCTTATCAGAGATTATTACAGAATCAATTTCTAATAAATGAGATTATGAGAATATGAGAATGAGACTATACCTTAATCTTTTTTTATTATTTTTTAATTTTTAAAAATTATTTATTTTATAAATAGAGATGAGATTTTGCCATGTTGCCCAGGCTGGTCTCGAACTCCTGGGGTCAAACGATCCACCCACCTTGGCCTCCAAAAGTGCTGGAATTACAGGCATGAGCTGCCATGCTTGGCCCTTAATCTTCTTTTGATGTTCCAAAATAAAGTGAAATATCAGGATTAAAAATTTATAGCAATGATAATTTGAATGTTTTTACAAACTACTTCAACTCCGTCCTGGAGAATCCAGAAGTGCTAGCATTTATTGTGTACCTACAGTGTGACAGCCACTATGTTAAACACTTCACATGGGTTAAGTCATTTAACCTTCATAATAGTACTGTGAAGTGAAGTGGGCATAAATATTTTCCTAATTTTGCAGAGGACCAAGTTGAGACACAGGTGCATACAGCTAGTAAGTGACAGCATTGGGATTTGAATCCAGGCAGTCTGGCTCCAAAGCCTGTACATTATACTGTGATTTATACGATACTGTTATTTCTTTGCTCTCTCACAGTTGAGATTCACTACCTTAAATGTTATTTGATTGAGTGTCTTAAGCAGTGATTTAAGATACTTGAGGGCATTGTTGCCTTATTCATCCTTTGTCTTAAGTACCAGGTATATACTGGCCACTCAATAATTTTTTAAAAAAATTAATGATGATGAAGAATATAGGAGAAAATCTAGGTGATCTTGATGTGGCGTGATTGTTTAGATACGACATCAAAAGTATGATTTATGAAAGAAATAATTGCCAAGTTGGATGTCATTAAGTTGAAAATTTTTTGCTCTATAAAAGACACTGTCAAGAGGATGGGAAAATAAGCCACAGAGTGGGAGAAAATATTTGCAAAATACACATATGATAAAGGGCTATTATCCAAAATATATGAAGACCTCTTAAAACTCAATAATAAGAAAAGGAACAACCCAGTTAAAAAATGGGCAAAAGACCTGAACAGACAATTTACTAAAGAAGATATGCAAATGTCAAATTAGCATATAAAAAGGTGTTTGACATCGTATGTCTGTCATTAGTGAATTACCAATTAAAGCAGCAATGCAATATAGTGGTATGTTAAAACTATACACCTGGTACAATGGTCAAAATCCAAAACATTGACAACACCAAATTCTGGCAAGGATATGGAGCAACAGGAACTCTCATTTATTGCTGGTGGTAATGCAAAATGGTACAGGTACTTTGAAAGACAGTTTGGCAATTTCTTAAAACTAAACACAGTCTTACATCATCCAGCAGGTGTGCTACTTGATATTTATCCAAATGAGTTGAAAACTTACGTCTATACAAAAACCTGTTCAGTGTTTATAGTAGCTTTATTTGTAATTACTAAAACTTAGAAGCAAAAAAATGGCCCTTTAGTAAGTAAATAGATAAAGAAACTGTGGTACATGCAGACAATGGAGTATTATTTGACACTAAAAGAAATGAGCTAAAAAACCATGAAATGACATAGAGGGACTTTAAATGCATACTATGATGTGAAAGACATCAATCTGTAAGGCTACATACTCTATGAGTCCAACTAATTGGACATTGTGGAAAAGGTGAAATACGGAAGGAGTAAACGGATCAGTTGGTGTCAGTGATTAGAGAGTAGGGAGGGATGTGTAGGCAGAAAACAGAAGATATTTATGACAGTAATTCTATTCTGTATGATGCTGTAATGGTGGACAATTGTCATTATATATTTGTTTAAATCCTTAGAATGAACAACACCAAGCGTGAACCCTAATGTAAACTGTGGACTCTTGATGAAAATGATGTGTCAGTGTAGGTTCATTGATTGTAACAAACGTACCACTCTGTTGTAGGATATTGATAGTTGGAGAGGCTGTGTGTGAAGTGGGGGCAGTGATATATAGAAACTGTACTTCTGCTGAGTTTTTCTTTGAATCTAAAACTACTCTAAAAAATAAAATCTATTTTAGGAAATTAATGGTAATTAACAGTGTGCTTAGGAGTTTGCCAAATGGCCTGGAGAGATAAAATTTCTATGGGAAATCATACAAGACCTGTTACTCCCAGGCTGAGTTAATCATGGATAGCTCCTTACTGATGAGCGTGGACTTGAGTGGATTTACTGGAGAGATTGTGTGTGCATTTGGCTATGAAAGTGAGTCGAAGATGAAGTTGAAGGGGATATTCATTGGCAGGTTTGGTTAGAGGATGGGAAGTTTGATAATTAAGCCTTCATAATGCAACAGGAGAATTTTTCAGATGGAAGGAATAATTTTGATAGCTTTCCTTAGTTTGCAGATCAGGAAGCTGAGCTGTGAAGGAGTTACATGATGTTTTTGAGATCTCTTAGTTAATAGAGAACTGTGCCTATCAGTCAACTTCTGTTCTTCGCTTTCTATGTCTACTGCCAGTACTTCATTCAGACAGCATATGTCACTGAAATAATGTGGTTGTTACAGCAGTTAGCCAGTTGTTGGTTGTCTTTCAGCAAGTTATTTTTCTGAGGCTTAGTTTTCTCAGCTTAAAATGGTCAGGATTAAATGGATAAGACTTTTGAGGTACACAGAACATATTAAGGCATTAGTTCATGTTAATGCTTACCTCTTACTTCCTCCTTAATATAAGAACTGCTGGAATAATCTAACTGATCTTTGCCATCAGTGACTCTCCTTTCAATCTGACTGCATATCCTGCTATCATTAACCTGGGATTATTTTACTTTCCTGTATGTATACTCTCACTGGTGCCTCTTACCCACCAAGTTAATTTGGGACTTTCTACCATTTTCACTTCTTTTGTCCATGCATGCTGTACATTATACCCTTTGCTCCAGCCAACTGTGCTGCTTGATGTTTCTTATATATTTTTTCACTGTGCTTTACATTTACTTGATGGTCCTCCACAGAAGTGGATATCTTCTGTTTGTCCTTCCACATCTATTCTCCATCTTGATCTGTGTCCTTGGAGGCTGACCTGTATGGATTGAATCAGTAAGATTCTTGCCATCTTATGTCCAGTTGGATTTAGCCAATTGGAGGATGTGACAAGAGAGCAAGCTAAGAGTATCCATTCCCGTCTCTCCTTCCCTCCCTGCCTATTTTGGGTTGGTTGCTTTCCTTACCCTAAGGTCACAGCTCTTGTCTGGTGACCCTCCCTGTTTATCTTTCTCCAGGTTTCTGCAGCTCTTCTCTTCCTTGCCTCTGGGATGGAAACAGCACCCCGTTGTTGCTAGCCTCAGAGTACCGCATTGTCTGTTGATTTTCCTAACCCTGCCCAGATTTTAGTAAATCGTTCCTTTATGAAAATCTTCTTAGTTATGCAGTGAGCCATCTGCTTTGCTGGTACCCTGATTGATAAGAAGTTAGCTGTGGAGAAGCAAGGCTCTGCCCAGAAGGGCCAGATGGAATACCGCCTGACAAGAGGATTTTGCTATAACCCTCTTGTTTCCACATTTGATCCCTGTTGGGCTCTCTTCATATCTCATCTTTGAAGGGGCTTTAGACATACAGCCTCTGTCACAGCCTGTTTGCATTCTTCTTATTGCTGCTTATGTTACACCAAGTAGTATTTTAAAAACTGTACTAATAAGGTACATTGATACTAAAAGCATTTAACTCTATTGTAATTAACATAAAACCATAAAAGCTTGTTTTCATTTATCTGTCTTGATTGTATCAAAATGGCAAATTCTTGATAAGTTATTCTGAAATGGATCTTCATCATGTTAATAGCAACAAGAAAACTCCATTCATTTGTGGTTTTGGCTTCAGGATATATGAAATTATAATGAATTTAGGATTTTTTTCCTGTATCACTTTGATAATTTTATAAGGTGTGGAACTGAATGTAAGGAAAGAAATACAGCGTCTAGTGGATTCACATTCATTTCCGTCTTTTAAAAATATTCATACGCACCTTAGTCTTGGCTCATATGGTCATTAAAAACTTTTTTTTGTATGAAAACTATGAAAGGAATATAAATCTGCATTTCTTCCAAAAAAAGTATGTGAAATCTTCTAAACAAAATATCATTAAAAATAATCTTATCTTTGTGGAAAGATAGTCTAATTGGATATCTTATGACAAGTTATTGCAAATAAATTTTACCTATCGACATTAGAAAAATGTTTTTACCATTACGTCATGTTTCTTTACCAATCAACCTCTGTTGAGATCCCTATTGTAATTAATATGTTTGCTGGTATTTCTTTCAGTTAGATTCCAAATGCCTCAAGTGGCGGTAATTTAGGGTTTTCCCAACGTGGTATATAATTTGCAAGTTTCACCGATTTTCTGTTTTTTCCTAACTTCTCAGTAATTGGTGCCATCTTGCACTAGACTGACCTAAATTCCCAGAGTACGTCACCAAGCAGCTTTCTTATTTAAGACATTGCTACTAATCTTCACTCTGTAAGGTTTTGTATTTTGCATGTGGTACTTATTTAGAGCATAAACTGTTCATAGGTTGAGACTGGGAAGCAGTACTGTATCAAGTGTGGTTTGATCAGTGTGAGTGACTGAATAACCACCTTACAGAGCTCAATGCAGACTTACTTGAGGATGTTTTCCAAACTCAATGAGTAAGTGATTGAGCTTAGATATGTAGCATGGTATATCTGGGAGGGTATTGGACCACAAAAGCACATCTGCTTTTTCAATAGTTGCATTTCAATAAAATAATTTTTATTGATTTTTAATATGTGCTTTGAAAGAACACTTGTATGCATCCTCTCATTATATGTAATCTCTGATACAGTTAGTATAGTCTGAATGTAGTGGGAAAAAGTTTGTGGATTGCCTTACATGTTAGGAATACTTTCCAGTCTCATCGGTGTAAGTAAATACATGATAACTTCTACCTTCTAGTGAGTAAAGGAGCCAGGGATTTATTACTTTATTTAGTTTTTTTCAATGAGCCTGTTTGTTTTAAGTTTATGAGTATAGTAAAGTTAACTTTACTATTTGATTACAGTTTGGTAACTTGCATTTCCCATTGCAAAGGTAATGGTTACATTCTTTTTTTTTTTTTTTTTTTTTTTTTTTTTGAGACGGAGTCTCGCTCTGTCGCCCAGGCTGGAGTGCAGTGGCGGGATCTC
The DNA here is from genome assembly GCF_000001405.40 of Homo sapiens. Taxonomy (NCBI): domain Eukaryota; kingdom Metazoa; phylum Chordata; class Mammalia; order Primates; family Hominidae; genus Homo; species Homo sapiens. The sequence goes on from NC_000006.12 coordinate 20,765,226, forward strand.
GGCTCACTGCAAGCTCCGCCTCCCGGGTTCACGCCATTCTCCTGCCTCAGCCTCCCAAGTAGCTGGGACTACAGGCGCCCGCCACTACGCCCGGCTAATTTTTTGTATTTTTAGTAGAGACGGGGTTTCACCGTTTTAGCCGGGATGGTCTCGATCTCCTGACCTCGTGATCCGCCCGCCTCGGCCTCCCAAAGTGCTGGGATTACAGGCGTGAGCCACCGCGCCCGGCCGGTTACATTCTTAAATGCACTCAGTTTATCTGTTTTGCTATCCTCTTTTCTTTATATCTCCTTTAGTTTCCCCACGTTAACAATAGGATTGCAGCTTTACTTATTTGTATTCTGTACATCTACATACATTATTTCTAGGATGAACTCCTTGTTATTCATTCTCTCTCTCTTAGATAGCATTTTTCAAACCATAACATTTTCTTAAAAATAAGAGTAGGCTAATTTCTTTATGGCCCCAAACAAAAACATTGTATGATAAGACTTTTAGTTGATTTTTTTACATCACTTCATTCTATACCTTGGTTTGGAATAATACCAGAAAGGACTTTGTAAGAGAAGCCAGCATGTGTTGTCTTGTCTGTATTTCTGTAACTTTATAACTGTATTGGCCAAATTATCAGTCCTGTTTTTAGCTACACACATACAGAGCAGCAGCAGTGTTTATCCACTACAAAATATGTAATAGATGCTCTAGAAAAAGTCTTCTTTAAACATTGTAAGTGGTCAAGTTCACTGGGTTTTTTTAAATGAAGATAGTAAGTAACTTTACATTTATCAAGTATTTTTAGCCATTAAGGCTTTTAGAACACAAATGAATGCCTAAATGAATCCCCCAAGTGGATTCTGCTGCTTTATGGTGGCTTCAGAATGGCAGAATGGTCTTACATGCTTTTTGTTCATCTTAAATTTAATTATACAGCTTTAGTGTATTTATCGCTTATATTTCCTTTTCTGATCAAAGATACATTTTTTTTAATTATTTGAAACCACCTTTCATCATTAATGGAGTTTATTTATATGAGGACTTGGGTATTTCTCTAACTTTTGATTTCTTAATTCTGGGGTTTTGGTGGGGTGAGCTGGTGCATAGTGTTGAATAGTTCAAGTTGATAATCATATTGTAGTTTTCACATAATACACTGTTATAGTGGTTTACTAGATTTGATTGCCGTAAGCAAGGAAAGGAAATTACTTTAGGCTTGAACCTCACAGGCTTCCCATGACCCAGCCCTTCTGCTAGTAGTCCCACTGACCTGTCCAGTATGGTATCCCCATCTTTCTTTGTTTAACTATTAACGAGGACTTGCCTACTCTTAATTACACTTACACATTAACTCTTGTGAATCCTGGTAGTGTTTTGGCAGATTTCATGAAGGTGAGACTACAAGTATTGTCAAATCTCTAAAAATGTATTATCATTTAGACTTTTGTGAAACTGTTAACATGAGCAAATATATGTTTGAACATCCTTGCTTTTACATGTGTATTTTAATCATTTTTATTTCTGGTACTTAATATTTTCAGATATGGCAACTTCTGATTCCCAGGGTTCTCGTTTCTCAACCATATTAATTTTTCTTAATAAATAAATAAAGCATCAATCCCAGAAAGAATTTGTATTATACCTAAATGTTATAGTATTTACTACAGTAGGAATTATTTAGTGAAAAAGAAAAATACCAAGTAGATCAATTAATCATTTTGAGGCTTCCATACAAAATGTTCACTTAATGTATGTATTTTAAGAGTTTTAATATGCTTTAAAAGAAAATACAAAAATAACATTTTTTTCATGTTATATTCTTCCTTTATTATAACCAACTTTTAAGAGAATTGGCAGTTGCTACACTGCTTTTATACACTGCATATGTATCATGTGCTTTATTACGTGACTGGAGAGATTTTATTCTTCATTAGAGAATGCACTATTTTTGGTTAGTAAAATATATTGAGAATAGATGAGACTGTAAAGTTAGAGAAAAAAATAGATACTAGCAGCTTCACTGCATTTTTCAAATGCAGGGTAAAGTTGTAGGTTAATTGTGGTATTTTCTGTTTTGCTTTGATTATTCTCAGCACAATAGTAAATTGTATTGTATTGGTAATTCTTCTTTAGTACTTTATAGCTGATTTCCCTAAAATTAAAAATATAAAATAGAAACCAGGTCATGTTAGAAATACAGTATCTAAAGCTTTGATAGGACATAGAAATTATCATCTTCAATTTTTTTTTAAAAAAACAAAGATTTTATTGTTATGGAAATAATTTATTATGTCACAGTCAAGTGAAAACTGGCACCACAAAGTAATTTGATGGCTCAGATGTAGGTAGAAAAGAAATTTAAATCTGACTTTCTCTTTTTCTTGAAAAATTGTATTTGATAATTGGAATAATTAATTAGGTGTAGGATAAACTTTTCTTTAGTGATGTTATGGATCTTTTCTTAGAAAACCTAATATTGATAATAATTGGTACAGGATTATTACAATAATGTTTAATCGATTTGAACATTTATTTCTAATATTTGGTGATTGGCACATTTTTTCTTTTAGAAGTTCATTCTGTAACACATTATGAAGTATACAGCAGAGATGTAGCAATTACTTTGGAGATGGAGAGACTAAATACCAATTTCACTTATTAATTTGAGGGAGAGAAAACTCACTTGGAGACTTCAGTTAGGATATCAACTCTGGATATCCTCTGGATATCTGGATATTTTAAAGAAGTTTATCTCAGTACTACCATTTTATAACTAAGTATGCACTGTATTGAGTAATAAAGAAATAGGAATTAAAATGTCCTTATAAAGGATGCTTTCTAACATTAAATCTTTATTGTAATTCTGAAAATTAAAGTGCACCATTTCTTGAAGCTGCACTGAAAAGTCAGCGCTGTGTTGGGTGCTGTTGGGTGCTGCTGTGACAGGTGAGAGTCCTTGATTGAGACTATGAAGAGCTGTGTGCAAATGCTTGTTTGTACTACTAACAATGCTATCTTTAACAGCCCATACAACCTCACTGGTTCTCAGTTTCCTGAGTTGCAAATTGTATCACATGGAAGGTCACTTCCACTCTGAAATTCTTGAAGTGCATGCGTCTGTAATATAAAATTGAGTTTCAGAGTCTGTCATTAGAATAGTTTTTGGCATTTTAGATAGTGATCTCTAGCAGAAGTTAATAGAATGTGACTAGCCTTTATCTCGCACCCCGATTTCTATATGCCAGATTTTACTTTTTCTTTCCTTGTGCCCTCCTTCTTACAAAATGAAGCTGAAGATGTTTGTGGCAGAGGTACCATGCATTTTTGTTTGGTGTACCTCTATATTTTTTAGTGAAGAGGGTCTTGAGTAATGCCCAGTTCTTGGACTCTTTTGCCCTTCCTCCATTCAGTTGTAATGCAGTTCTGGGCAGTGACAGGGAGCGTGCTTCCCAGTGTTGCTCAGAAACACTGTGCCTCTTTGAAGGAGCTTTCATTTCCACCCGGGAGCATGTTTATTTTCAGGACTTTGAGAGAGGTAGTTTTAGTCTTGGTAACTTGGTTTGCCGAGAGAAAAAGTGATTTGAGGGGATTTAATGTAGGTAACATTACCTAGAGCAGTGATTCTCAAGAATGTTTGCTGGGAGAGGGATGGTGGCTGAGAGGACCCATGACCTGAGAGGGGAGATGGCAGACTGCTCAATCCAGACTATTGGGAAACTGGGAGCTGGGGAGTTGGCCCTGCAGCCACTCACCTGGATTCATTGCCATGGTAAGCCCCTGTTCTAGACAGGTAAGGATCATATCACTCAGGCGTCCTGAGGTGGAAAAACAGCCTTGGCTCTCTGACATGGTCCCTGAACACACGTGCTTATACTCACCCAGGACCATGTACGGTTCCAGGTTCATTACCTATGCCTTTTTCCCGTAACTCACACCCGGGAAAGTACATCACAATGCAAATGAGTGACTTCACAGGGGTGACCTTTAATCTACTTTAATTTGTATATTTAAGATGTCATTCACAAACTTGTGATCATCTTTTTTTTTTTTTTTTTTCAAGACAGAGTCTTGCTCCGTCGCCCAGGCTGGAGTGCAGTGGTGCGATCTTGGCTCACTGCAGCCTCCACCTCCCAGGTTCAAGCGATTCTTGTGCCTCAGCCTCCCAAGTAGCTGGGATTACAGACATGCACCACTATGCTTGGCTTATTTTTGTATTTTTAGTAGAGAAGGAGTTTCACCATGTTGGCTAGGCTGGTCTCGAACTCCTTGCCTCATGTGATCTCCCCCGCCTTGTCCCAAAGTGCTAGGATTACAGGTGTGAGCCACCACACCGGCCTTGATCATCATTATCAATGCAATTATTTGTGACGTACTTCCTAGCCCTCCAGAGCTTTTAAAAGAAATGGAATCTGACTTTAACTTCTAGTGTTTGAAAGTTTTAAAAAGTCCCTTGCCATCTTGCTTTTGAGAAACGTCATTAGCGCTGTATGTTTTGATAGGAGTACAGTTGTTTAATTATGGTAGTAACTGTAATTAACTTCTGTCTAGCTCTTTGTGGCTTACCATTTTCATATACATTAATTCATTTCTACTCCACAGGAAGCCTGGCATTACTGATTATGCAGCCAAGCAGCAGTGTACTATAATTTGAAACCTAGTCCCCTTGTTCCACATACCCTCCTTTCTATTCTGTGAAGCTGTTAATATTGAACAGACGGAAATGAGAAAGTGAGGCCCATTTATTATTTTCTTTTCTGATACCTGTTGTTTAAGATCACTGCTCACTTTTTTTCCATGTTCCCTTTAGATCTTCTCTTATATATTTTGTTCCTTCATGTGTCTTGTTTCCTCTTTAATCTTTTTAAACTTTTTTTTCTCTTTTATTTGCTGTTTTATTTTGTGCCAACATAAAACATTCTTTTGTAAGGAGTTAATAAAGATACGCTTAATTTTTTATAGAAAATTCTGAGTATACTGTTTGAGTCATACCATGCTATAAAGGTGCTTAAATTGGGAAATGAGTGAGTGAACGTATTCCCTAACTATAAGCAACTGTTAAAAAAGCCAGCCAAAAAAAAAGCAAATGAAAGATTCTATAGAGAAAATTCTTGTGTATGTGTTGTAAGAATAAGTGTTGAAAGTTTTAATGTAAAACACACTTTGTATATAGAGTTTTTACTGTCAAATGGTTAGGTCAAAAAAATCCTGCGATGTTTTTTAAGGATATGTCTTAAATCTTGTATTCTCAATCCTAGTTATGTATTTAGGCCACATGAGTTTTGCAGCTGTAACCAGAAGTATTTTAATATTCATAACTTTCAATCTTTAACAGACCATGCCCAACACTGTCATTTTTAAAAATTAAATTTTAAGACGATGTTTGATTAGTCTTTTGACTAGAACTAAGAATCTCAAGCCCACATAATTTCTACTTCATACATTATTTTTAGGAGCATTTTCATTTTTGAAGGCGTGGTCTTTCACCATGGGGCCCCTTCCTGCCAAGTCTTAATAAATCTTTTAAGTGAAATCCAGTTAAAGTGATAGGCTTTTAACTAGCTTGGTTTTAAGAAGTGGAAAATCAGTCAAAAGCAGGAAATCTAGGAAAAGGTACTGTGAAATAGATATAATCATGTATATAATTTGTATCCTGCTTGCTCTGCCTCCCAGACTTCAGTGTCACCTCTCCCTGAAGCCTTTCCTGATTTTCCCTGGGAGAGTTGACCACTCCCTTGTGGTGTCTCTCTGTACTTAGAAACATCTGCCAGATCATCTCTGACACATCCTTCCACTTATTTGTTCAACAGTCTGCCTTCCTCGAGACCTTAAGTCCCTTTAAGGCAGAAGTCAAAGTAGTGGCTCAAGATAGAGAAGGTTTTAAATATTAAAAAGTAATCTTTCATACATGCTTCATTTTCTAAGCTCATCTATGGTATTATGGAACTTTTGTTTCAGTTATGCATGTACATTAATACAGTGACTTACAATATAAAATGTACATCCTCTTTGTTTTAACTACATTTTTAAACTTATTTCACTCTTGCCATTTCTATAGAAAGGCAGTGATAACACTTATCTCAACGGGTTGAGGACTAAGAGAGTGAATTTGAAGCAAAGTGAGCTCCAGGGGCCTCCTCTCATTTAGATGTATTTATGCTGCCTACAGTACAAGATTATTCAGTTCTTGATTGGAAGTGAAATGAAGGTCAGCAAGGTCAGAGAGGCATTTTTTAAGATACATAGATGGGAAAATTCCCCAGCCTTTACTGCTTCCCATCTCTTCTGTCACACTTTATGGTGGCTTGAGTTGAATTAGCGCGAGGAGACTTGACATGTTCATTTGTGATTGAAAGTGAGTGCAACATAGTTTGGATGTTTGTCTCTTCTAAATCTCATTTTGAAATGTGATCCTCGCTGTTGGAAGTGGGGCCTGGTGGGAGGTATTTGGGTCATGGGGGCGGTTCCCTCATGAATGGCTTGGTGCTGTACTGGCCCATAGGGAATTCTCATGTGAGTTGGTTGTTTAAAAGTGTGTGTTATCTGTCCCCTTCGTGTCTTTTCTTGTTCCTACTCTCCCCGTGTGACAGGTGGGCACCCCCTTTGCCTTCTGCCGTGACTGGAGGCTTCCTGAGGCCTTACTAGAAGCTGAGCAGATGCTGTTACCATACTTCCCGTACAGCCTGCAGAACCGTGAGCCAATTAAACCTCTTTTCTTTATAAATTACGCAGCCTCAGGTATTCCTTTATAGCAGTGCATAAAATGGCCTATATTCAGTGGGACTCTGAGCTTCAATTTTAAAAGTTAACTGTGGCTTACAAGTTCCTTATGTCTTGTACATTTTATTGTTCTCATTTTCCAGCAGCTTGAGTGCTGTCTTTTGTAAGGTCTGCTTTGCTTTCAACACTGGCTACAGTATCTTTGGGAATACAGGTTTGAGCATGAGAAATCGTTATGTTCTGTATTGTTGCTGTGGTTGCTTTACATACAGAAACAGAAGTGCTCATAGCTTTATTGCTGTAAATATCAAGGGCTTGGAGCCATTTGATAAATTTAGAATTCAGGAGAGTCTGTTGTAGCAAGACAGCTAATGACCTGAAGAGTTCTACTAAGGGTCAATACTAATGTTGAGTTATTGACATGGGACTGCTTTGACTTTTAACTGTTCTGATGTACATTTGATTTGGATTCTGAAAAGATAAATTGACACCACATAAGTCTACTCCCACTGTCATAAAAGACATATCTGCTTGCAAAAGATATAGTAATTAAAACATAAAATTAAATACTTACTGTAATTTGCCCCAGAAGGTATCTCCATTAGACTAAAAGGACATTTTGCTTATGCAGATTACTTTGTTATATGTATCCTTTGTTTAATGTAACTTAATTATTAGTTATACCATTGATAATGTCCAAATGGAAGAAAAAAATTGCCTAAGAACATTCCATTCCAATGAATGTTTTCATCTTTCCATGTTCTCTTCCATAATTCTTGTCCACACATAAATTTTACATTATTAAGATTATAGAGTAGGTACTTTTTTGTACAGCAGGAGTTTTGATATTAAACAATTCTCAGATTTCTAGGGATTTAAACTGTGTACTGTGATCTTACCTTCGCCTCCTCCCCAGTCCACCAGGTAAGGTGTTGGAACCTTCATGCTTTGTTAAACTCTGGAAATGCACCTTGGTAACATCAGTACCTTAGTGGGCTCTCTACTTATACTCTGATTTATACTTTGAGTTCTGTCTTTTTGGACAGTCTCTTCTTATTCTTTTCTCATTTTAATATCTTTTTCTAGGTGTCATTGCTGTCATTAACAAACTCTTCATACTTGCTGAAAAAGGAAATTATTTAATGTCAGTAACAAACAATTAGAGCTTGAGTTGTAAAGATTCTGTGTTTTTTAGTTAATTCTACCATTTTGTGTAAAGTTTTCCAATCTAGACTTGTGACAAAGCTGCTTCTTCCATTTAACCCAGTTTCTGTGTTTTATATTCTTTTCTTCTTTTAAGATGAAATATTTCAAAGGAGTGTCACACTTTAGTGTGAATACCTACCTTTTTTTCTTCTAAGAAGTACCTGTATATGAGGAATGATATTGAATGGAGTAGAGACAAACTTTGACTACACTTTTGTTGTTCTTTGTAATTGAGTAGTTAAAATGCCTGTTAAGGACACTTAAAGTGGTAACTATGGACATTTTGTAGAAAAACAGATTAAATTGGGCACTTTTGTATAATATTCTTAAATAAAATTCAAATTGATGTGATCAAATTTAAGTGAGAATTGATATGTACGGTACATTTATTTACTTATTTATTTTTTATTTTTATTTTTTTTTGAGGTGGAGTCTCGCTCTGTAGCCCAGGCTGGAGTGCAGTGGCGCGATCTCGGCTCACTGCAAGCTCCACCTTCTGGGTTCACGCCATTCTCCTGCCTCAGCCTCCCGAGTAGCTGGGACTACAGGTGCCTGCCACCACGCCCAGCTAATTTTTTTATTTTTAGTAGAGATGGGGTTTCACCGTGTTAGCCAGGATGGTCTTGATCTTCTGACCTCATGATCTGCCCGCCTCGGCCTCCCAAAGTGCTGGGATTACAGGCTTGAGCTGCTGCACCTGGCCCATTTATTCATTTTTTAAAAAACTTTTTTTGCTTGAATTTTCTGCCACCCTTCTGCCCTCTGCCCTCTGCCCCCATCATCGTGTTGGATTGCTTCACTAGGAATATTTCCAGCAGGCTGACCCAGAGCTAGGGTTCAGACAAGTCTTTTCAGTGTGTACTTAATAAAACCAAATTTGTGCAAGGTGAGACCAGTCATCAAGAGATAAAAAATAAAACCAACAAGCCTTGGCATGAGTCCTCTCTGGTGGTAGTGGAGGTGGATGGTCACATATTAAGAAAACAGTGAATGGCCTTTAAAATTAGATGGAGTGAATGAAGTATTGAAGAAAAGTTGGGCTGTTTATAGAGCCTTTAGAAAAAAGTAAAGGGAAAAAATAAACAATAGGAGTCCAAGTTGCCAGATCATTGGTATTTCTGTAATATGAATGATACTCTAAAGCTCGTATGTGCAACCCACTTTAGAACGTGAGAACCAAACAGAGAAGATTGGTTTGTGTGTAGGAGCGTAATTTAGTTAATAGATATATTTTGTAGCTAGTTATGTTTCTATCACTCAATTAATATATGTCTTTATGTTCGGGGAGGTGGTTCTTTTCTATTTGTGAGTGACCTTTATGATTGGCTTCCTGATATGCTGACAGGCCAGGCTTTCTAGTATACATGGGTGGGATGTTTTCCCTCGGTTCTAACACCATCCAATGCAAGTAGCACCATGAGATTTAGAAAACATTTTTGTTCCTGAAGATCGATAGACAGCATTGAACATTGATTCAACTAGTGTAGCAATTACTGTACAAATAATATACAGTGCCTTGGTTTCTCTTCTCATAAGCATTTCAGTATTATGAATTCAGAAATGTGCACACAGCAGTGAATTGTATCAAAAGCTAGCTTTCTGGTTCAAATTTTTACAATGTATAATAATTTTAGTTGGTAAAATCGTTTAGTAACATTCTTTAATGGATTAGATCAAATGTAAAAACCAGCATGGAATCAGGTTTTGTAGCTGATTTATAAATAACTGCTGAAAACCTCAGGGCTTAAAATTGAATTTGGTTTTAACAGGGTTGAATTGTATCTGACACTTGTACGTAACAACTCAGAGAGATGTTTATTAAAGCGGGTTAATAAACCCACTGAGACATATTTGACCATTATTTAGAGGAGGTGAAATGTGAATTTACATTAAAAATGGAAAAGATAAAAGATCTCAGAAATATAACATTTTTGAGTATGTCTCATTCTACATATATGCCAGTCTTCCTTTCTCATCTTTTTATTAAAGTTGCATATCTATTTTAGTCACTTTACATATTTATCACCATCTCCTCGGTGGCCTCATGTCATTATCAGTTGATCTTGTCACACTGAGCATCATCTCCCCATCTGTTCCTATTAATATTTCCTCCTTTAATTTCTTATTACATGGGATTGAAATGATATAAAAACTCACTCCCTTTTTCTTTTCTATATTGTTTTGCTTTCTTTCTTTTCTCTTTCCCTTCACTCAAGCCAAAAGGCTGATTCACAGTAGTCACAAAACAAACCAGTGCTCAGTGAGCAGCCATTCTTTTTCCATCACAGTGCTAGGCCTCAGTGGCTAACGAGAAAGGATCAAATAAAGAAGGAATGTGTGAATGTGCAATTATGGTCTTTGTCTCATGGTCCTTTCATAAGTATAGCATGTTCATTTTCAGGACAAATTTGCTCCAAAAATTTGCCTTTTACCTTTCACATCTCAACTCCTTCAGCATGTTTCTCTGGTCCTGAGTCCTTGTCCTCTCTCCTTTTCTTTCCAAAGACTTGCTTCCTTTAAGACATCTCTTTCAGTTTTATTATTTATTCTGGTAAGTTTTAGTTTGTTTTAGATGGCAGCAGTATTGATAACTGCACATAAAATAGGTAGTAAATAGTATTTATATTTACTATATGGTTTATGGATTTAAGGAATTAATTTGAAACAGCAGTTTTGCTTGAAAGAGGATTTCTAAATGAAAGGGTATATAACAAATAAAAGTTTTGTTCTGCTACTCCATTTTTAAACAAATAATTGTTTTATTGTTGAAATTCCCTCCTTTCATCTTTGGCCAGATATAACAAGTGACTGTTACGTTATTTCCTACTTTGTCTTTAGTGTGCAATAGTTTTCAATTAAAAAAAAAAACAGACTATTGTTAGGTCTGCTGCTCTTTAATGAATCATTGGATTGGAAAATAACTCATTATACCATCAGGCAGAGATACTTTCCTTTATTTGCATGTAGATAGTGAAGGTGAATAATTTATCAAATGTTATTAGTGCAGGCTGCATATTACTGGAGTCGCAGCAGGATATAATGAAATTTGTCTCATGCAAGTATGAAAATAGCATGCCTTTGCATAGTCATTATTGAATTCTTGGCATCTCTTGAAGAACTATTATGTTAGCATGCCAGTCTTGCTCACCTCTTCATTAACTGGGCTTTTGATTGGAGAGTTTAACTTATCTTGAAAATCTGTGGAATCCAACATGCCAAATGCTTGCTTGACTTTAGCATGTTTCCATATCAGAGCATACATTTTCAGAACGAATAAAGTACTAAATGTTTCTTATTAAAGTGAGTAGTGCAAAGAGGCTATGACTGATGGTGTTATTACTTTTGGTTGTGAAAAGTTGTACCGGAGATATTTAAGCAATAAAGCTTTCTGAAATGACAGGCGATGAAACATGTATATAACTACTTAGAATCTTAGAGCTGTACGAATTATGTATTTGAAGTTATTTTAATGATTGCTTTTTAAAAGTTGCATTTAATATGCTTCTGTCGTGATGGCATGAGGAGGTCAACAAACCTTCTCAAAAGCAATGCTAAAGCTGCACAAGCAGTCAAAAGCAAATCATGTCAGTACTCTGGAAATCAACTAAAAGCATTCAACAAACTGAAAAGTGTTTATTCATGAAAAAACTGAACTTTGGATAAAAACAGTGTAAGTCTGTGGTATTAATGCTGGGGCTGCTCCATTTTCCCTCCTCTATTCGGTGAGTAAGGTTGCAACTAGGGCAAAACAGGCCATGAAAGCCAGCAGCTTCTTTGCTGCTCCCAAGACAGCTCAGTGGATTTGGAGAACTGTCAGGTTCAGTGGAGATTTTGATGGCAAGCAGTAGGGAAGGTCTGCGGCTCTACTGGACTGAAGTTACTGACATGTTTGGTGCAAGCAATGGACAGACGGACTAGCCAGGGTTTTAGCAGGGAATTCTGGGAGCTGAGCTAGCGCTATGAGGCTTGTGAAACTCTCCACATACCTTCAGTTAACCAGAAGTTGTTTCTTCTGCACATGCAGCAGAAACTGGAATGGGCTTTGTAAGAAATACTGAAAGTTTGTCAGGCAGAAAAGAAGAGGCACTGAATGATAACTTGGATTCCAAGGAGCAGTGAAAAATGCTAGAAATGGTATTTATATGAGTAAACATATTTTTCACATTTTCATTATTAAAAAACAACATAGGCCAGGTGCAGTGACTCATACTTTTAATTCTAGTATTTTGGGAGGCCAAGGTGGGAGTATCACCTAATCCCAGGAGTTTGAGACCAGCTTGGGCAACATGGCAAGACCTCATCTCTATAAAAAAAATTTAAAAAGTAACTGGACGTGGTGGCGCACACCTATAGTCTCAGCTCCTCAGGAGGCTGAGATGGAAGGATTGCTTGAGCCCAGGAAGTCGAGGCTGCAGTGAGCCGTGATTGTGCCACTGCACTCCGGCCTGGGCGACAGAGTGAGACCCTGTCTCATAGAAAACAAAACGGAAAAAAACATACAATTACGTAAAAAACAATAATTATAGCACCATATTTTTAGCTTTACATGAGTCTCCCCTTAACCATGAGAGATACATTCCAAGATCCCCAGTGGATGCCTGCAACTATGGAGAGTACCAAACCCTGTATGTACCATGTTTTTTCCCATACATACATCCATACCTATGATAAGTTTTCATTCATAAACTAGGCACAGTAAGAGATTGACAACATTAGTGAGAAAATAGAATAATTATTACAATACACTGTAATAAAAGTTATGTGAATGTGGAGTGTCTCTCCCTGTCACAAAATACCTTATTATACTGTACTGTGGGTAACTGAATCTGTGGAAAGCAAAACCACAGATAAGTGGTGCTACTGTATATAACTGTATATGTTAATATGTGTGCCAATAGCACAAAAGAGGAAGAAGGAAAATAAATAGCATCAGGACAGTTGAATATTCATATTAAAAAAAGAGCTTAGGCCTTCACTGTACATAAAAATAAAGTGAATTCTAGACATAAATATAAGAACAGAAACAATAAAACATGTGGAAGAAAACACAGGAGAAATCTCTGTGCCCTTAATATAGCTAAAGAGTTCTTAGATGTGACACCAAAAGCATGAGCCATAAAAGAAAAAACTGGATAAATTGAACTTCATTAAATTGAAAAAACATTTACTTTTCAAGGCACACCATTGTGAAAGTGAAAATATAAGCCACAGACTGAGAGAAAATATTTATAAATCATATATCTGATAAAGGTCTTATAACCATAATATGTAAATAATTCTTACAACTCAGTAAGACAAATACTCTAATTAAAATACTGGGAAAATACTGGAGTAGACATTTATATTAGTTGGGACCAATGGGTGTATGTATGGAAAGAGACGTAGTGTAAGGAATTGGCACATGCAACCATGGAGGCTGAGAAGTCCCAAGATCTGCGTTCAGCAAGCTGGAAACCTCAGAGAGCTGATGTGTATGTAGTTCCAGTCTGAGTTCAAAGGCCTAAGAAACAGGAGAGCCAATGGTGTTAAGTTACAGTCCACAGGCTGGCACACTTGAGACCCAAGAAGAGCCAATATTTCAGTGTGAATCTGAAAGCCGAAATGGACCTATGTTCTGGCTCGTACAGACAGTCAGGAGGAGCTCACTTTTAGCCTTTTTTTTTAAATTGAGACTTTTATTTAATTGGACGAGGCTCATCCATACTGGGAAAACAATTTGCTTCACCCAGTGTACCAATTCAAATGTTATCTCATCTAGAAACACCCTCACAGAGACGTTCAGAATAATATCAAAATATCCGTGTACCTTGTGGCGCAGTCAAGTTGACATATAAAATTAATCGTCATAACATTCTACTGAATAAGAAATACATTTGGCTGATAATCACATGAGAAGGTACTCAACATCATTCCTCACTATGGAAATGAGTATTCAAACCACAGTCATATACCACTACACACCCATTAGAATGGCTGTTATCATAAGAAGCCGTAGTACTAAGTATTGGCAAGGATATGAAGAAACTCAAAACCTCATACATTGCTGATGGGAACATTAAATGGTATGACTGCTTTCGTAAGCAGTTGTTTCTTAAAATGTTAAACATAAATTTACCACATGATCCACCAGTTCTACTCCTAGGAATATATCCAAGGGAAATAAAACATATGTCCATACAAAAACTTGTATGTGAATGTTCACAGAAGCATTTTTATGGTAGCTGTTAATTGGAAGCAATTCAAATGTCAATCAGCTGGTCAATGGATTGACAAAATTCCCTATATTTGGTATGTGAATAGAGATAGACTCTGATAAGCTCAATTTTAGAACACTTACATCACCCCCCAAATTCTTATTTTGGGGTGATGTTCCATTCAGTTGTTTCATTCAGTTTTAGAACATTGACATCCTGTGTTCTAAAATTGAGTTATTGTGATGATTATAAAACTTTTTTTCTTTGAGACGGAGTCTCGCTGTGTCACCCAGGTTGTAGCGCAGTGGCGTGATCTTGGCTCACTGCAACCTCTGCTGCCCAGGTTCAAGTGATTCTCTTGTCTCACTCTCTCGAGTAGTTGGGTTTACAGGTGCACACCACCACACCCAGCTAATTTTTGTATTTTTAGTAGAGATGAGGTTTCACCATGCTGGTTGGGCTGGTCTGCCTGCCTTGGCCTCCCAAAGTGCTGGGATTACAGGTGTGAGCAACCATGCCTGGCCAAAACTTTATAAATGTATTTAAAATCATTGACTCTTACTCTCATAGTGTGTGAATTTTATAGGCTATGGGATATACCTCAGTAAAGTTATAAAAACAATAGGTCTAGGCTGTGTGCGGTGGCTCATGCCTGTAATCCCAGCACTTTGGGAGGCTGAGACAGGAGGACTGCTTGAGCCCAGGAGTTTGAAATCAGCCTAGGCAATATAGTGAGACCCTGTCTCTTAAAAAACCTAACCTTAAAAAAAAAAAAAAAAAAAAAGACAAAATGCAATATGTCCATATAGAAAGAAAAAATGACAAAGTAAATATGGTAAAATAATAATTGAATCTGAAGGGTATGGGATTTTTTTGTATTGTATTCTTCCACTTTTTCTACAAGTGTGAAATTATATCAAAATTAAAAAATTACAAATGTTTTAATGGCTCTTAATAGTGATCTGATTTCCTTTTGTGATAGTGTGTAAAAATAAGTTTAAAATGTTTGTTTGTTTAAAAAAAATCCAGCCCTAAAGTATAATTTTATCTCAGCTTTTTGTTTATTTACTTGTTTGATTTGTTGTTTGCTTTGAGCAGATACTTGGTTTTGCTTTTTTTTAATTACTCATTTTTTCTGCAATGTAATGGCAGGCAGGCCTAGTGCCCAAGCAAACCCTTCCTGCTGCACATGCATATTTGGCATATGCTAGAGAGTATTTATACCTGTAGAAATGATATTTTGAGGGTATTCTGTTTCTCATCTGTGCAAATATAAGCAAAGCAAGTAGGCCCTGAATACAGCTGTTTTTCTTGTTTTTTTTCATTTCTTTTTCTTTTTTTTTTTTTTTTTTTTTGAGATGGAGTCTCACTCTGTCACCTAGGCTGGAGTGCAGTGGTGCCATCTGGGCTCACTGCAAACTCCGCCTCCCGGGCTCGAGCTATTCTCCTGCCTCAGCCTCCTGAGTAGCTGGGATTACAGGCGCCCGCCACCACACCCGGCTTATTTTTGTACTTTTAATAGAGATGGAGTTTCACCATGTTGATCAGGCTGGTCTCAAACTCCTGACCTCAGGTGATCCACCCACCTTGGCCTCCCAAAGTGCTGGGATTACAGGTGTGAGCCACTGCACCTGGCCACTGTTTTTCCTTTTGACAGTATTTCTGAAGTTTAAATGATCACACTTCACTCTTCTATGTTGTTTCCCCTGCTCCCGAAAAGAAGTTAAATGAACACATTTGTTGAAAGCGTTAAGTTACAGTGAAGTGTGTAACTCTTGCTAATGTATATTTATGTGCTTGATTTGAAGGTCACTCTGTGAGACTGCTGGGTCAGAAAAAGGATAATGGAAGGCGGCTTGGGGGAGCACGATTGGATTTGCCGAAGATTAGGAAGAATCCACTGATAGAAATCATTTCCATCAATACCGGGTAAGCATCTCTCAAACTTGCTCATAAAATATTCAATATATTTCATGAATTCAGTTTTTTTTTCTTGGACATGTGACATAGAAAAGTAGCTGAACATTTTCTTGGGAAAGAAAAATTACAAAATGTGCTCAAATACAGTTTCTTCTGAAATGTTTCCTGTATGTAAACTACACTTATATTTGCAGCAGGCTTTTATAACTTTAATATTATTCCCATTTTTGGTAATAAACATAATAAACATGGATTTCATTTCCCAGCTATGCCCTTACTTAAAATCTTTGAAAAAAGTAGCACTTTATTTTGTTGAATGATTAAGACACTTGTCATATTCGACTGTTTTTTTCAGTAAAGGTATGGTAAATGTTGCCCAAGATACTAACCACGTTTTGATTATTCACTATTTGAAATGCATATTTTAAAATGTTATTATTCTGAGCTTTAAACTTAAAAGAAGCATCATGACAGAATATTAAGTACTCTTTTAATTTCCACACCTTGATTTAAAGTCCTTGATTATAACTCTTGGTATACTCATTTATACTTTGTTTCATATGCATTTATTGAATTTTTGCATTCTTTAAATTATGAGTCCATCAGAAAAAGAAACATTTTCTGAAAATTTGATGAGATGAAGGGCTTCTGTTTCTTAAATCACAGGGAGCACCTAATTACCCGTACAACCACATCTCATTCCCCACAGATTTAAGCTGTTCTGCCCCTTTTACTTCATCCTCCTTCCCTTTTATTTGAAATTGTTTTCCTTCTGTTCTGCTCTTTCTTCATGCTCCTTCTCATTGAGAACCGGTGAACAGCTTCCTTGTCCACCATCTGCCTGTTTCTCTGAATCCAATGGCTTTACTTCCTCCAGGACAGTGGCGGTTGTGTTGTCAGTAGCCCTCTTTTCTGTAGTCTCACCACTTTCTGGTTTATCCTCCACACTGCTGTCAAAGACTAGAGAAGGTTGACCAAAGTCATTCGGTTTTTCCCAAAAAACCCCATGGAGTGGCATTCAGTGACTTGGTGAATTTGTTGTAGACCAGCATCTGGCCTTCAGCGTTGAAGATTCAGAAACCCAAACTTATCAAGCTCAGAAACTAGTAATTAAAGCAGAATTTAACAGTGAGAAGTACAGTTGTCGCTTGACTGGAGTACCTCACATATTCATTCTGTCTGTCTAGCCTGAGCCGAATTATAAATGCAAGGCTGTTTGCTTTCCCCTTCCTCAGTTCTTTTTTCCCCTTCATTCAAACATTATAATACTTTCCCGCAACTCCTGATTATCCTATTTAAAATTGCAAACTTTCTAACATTCCTTCTCTTTTTCTCAGTTGCCTTGTTTTCCTCTGTAACTTTAATTGGCATTGAAATATATAAATGATCATTTATTTGTATTTTAATGGTCTCTCCTCACTGGCATATATGCTCCATGGGGGCAGGGCCTTTTTGATTGTGTTATTTACCACTCTATCCCCAGTGAGTAGAAAATTATACACAGTAGGGATTTAATGCATATTTATTTATTGACTGAATGAATGAATAAGTTTTAAAATTTGACAGTTTAGTGGGACTATGCTAAATTATCATCATGGTACAGATTGCCTTGCAAATTGGACAATAATATTTGGAGTTTGCTGGCTAATCACACTTTCTCCTGAAAAATGCAGATTTTTTTTTCTTTTTTTTGAGATGGAGTCTCCCTCTGTCACCTAGGCTGGAGTGCAATGGCGTGATCTTGGCTCACTGCAACCTCTGCCTCCGGGTTCAAGTGATTCTCCTGTCTCAGCCTCCCGAGTAACTGGGATTACAGGTGCACGCCACCATGCCCGGTTAATTTTTTCTAATTTAGTAGAGATGGAGTTTCACTGTGTTGCCCCTGCTAGTCTCAAACTCCTGAACTCAGGCAATCCACTTGCCTTGGCCTTCAAAAATGTTGGGATTACAGGCATGAGCCACTGCACCCAGCTGAAAAATGCCGGTTTTGTGTGTGTGTTTATGCGGGGCTTTTGGCTAGACACATGCCTTTAAAACATTAGTATTTCAGGGTCTGTCAAACTCTGTTAGATTAGGATCCATTAGGTCTCTGCATGGTAACTTTCCAGGTACGTATTTGGCCTACTGAGTGTCTGTTTTTAACTGTTTATTTTTCTAGTCCCTATGTTCTTCTTCATTTTGTCACTCCCTACTTCACACCCCAGTATTCAGTCTTCCTGAACTACTTGAAATTCTCAAAACTCCAGATTCTTCTCTGTCTTGACTGCAGGCCTCCCTGTAGGTTGAAGGGTTTTCCTGGCATGTCTGTCCTTCCCCGTTCACCTCATGGGTGAGCCTCCTGCACTCAACTATGTGCTCATTTCTTGGGATGTCTGCTTGTTTCTCCCTCCCAACCAGGCTAAATCTATCCCTCACTCTAATTTGTGTCCACAACATTCCCTATGTATCCTGATTATGGCACTTTACACACTATGTCATTTGTATCTTCCACTACAATGTAAGCTCCTTGGGGGCTGAATGTGTTTCAGTTGTCATTACATTATTATCTTTGAGTTCAGTGTTTAGTACAAAGTGAGTACAATTGTCCCTCGGTATCTGTAGGGGATTAGTTCCAGGACCTCCTCAGATACAACATCTATGCATACTCAAGTACCTCATATAAAATGGTGTAGTATTGGCCGGGCGTGGTGGCTCATGCCTGTAATCCCAGCACTTTGGGAGGCCAAGGTGGATGGATCATGAGGGCAGGAGATTGAGACCATCCTGGCCAACAAGGTGAAACCCCGACTCTACTAAAAATACAAAAATTAGCTGGGCGTGGCGGCGCGTGCCTGTAATCCTAGCTACTCGGGAAGCTGAGGCAGGGGAATCACTTGAACCTGGGTGGCAGAGGTTGCAGTGAGCTGAGATCGTGCCACTAAACTCCAGCCTGGAGATAGAGCTAGACTCCGTCTTAAAAAAAAAAAAAAAGTGTAGTATTTGCATATAACCCACTTACTTTTTCCCATATACTTTAAATCATCTCTAGATTACTAATAATACCTGATACAATAGAAATGCTGCCTAAATAGTTGTTATACTGTATTTTAAAAATTTGGCTTCTTTTAATTATTGCATTATTTTTAAGTGTTTTTTTTCTTCCAGATATTTTATTTCTTTTTTTTTTTTTTTTTTTTTTTTTTTTTGAGACAGAGTCTCACTCTGTCACCCAGGCTGGAGTGCAGTGGCACCATCTCGGCTCACTGCAACCTCCGCCCTCCTGGGTTCAAGTGATTCTTCTGCCTCAGCCTCCCGAGTAGCTGGGACTATAGGCGTGTGCCACCACACCCAGCTAGCTTTTGTATTTTTAGTAAAGACGGGGTTTCACCATATTGGCCAGGCTGGTCTCGAACTCCTGACCTTGTGATCCACGCACCTCGGTCTCCCAAAGTGCTGGGATTATAGGCATGAGCCACTGCACCTGGCCCCAGATATTTTCAATCCATGATTGGTTCAATCTGTAGATATGGCACACACATGGATACAGAGGGCTGCCTGCACTCAATAAATATTTGTTGAGTAAATGTTTTATAAGTTATGAGTTCTTGTTGCTGTACATTAATTAAAAATTAATCTTAAAAATATTTAAAATTTTTTTAATGTTTACAATTTTAAATTTTAAAAATTTGCTTTAGGTAACCATTTTCAATAGCCTTTAGGTAAAATTTTTTATGTATATTATTTGAATTTTCCCTCTTGTAGACTTAATGTTTTCTTCAAATGGGCCTGCTCTTTAAAAGATTGAAAGCTCACTGGATTTGGCATCACTCTCATCCTCTTGTATCCTTCACATTAGAGTAGAGTGTTGATCCTCGGTACATTAGCAAATAATGCTTTTGATATTAAGAAAATTTAATCCATATTGTCCCAGAATGAGAAATGGGTTTCTAATTTTCTCAGACTGCTAATCATCTTCCTGAATCAGTTGCAGCCTTATCACTTGCTCTCACATGAAAGCATTCCCATACGTATTTGTCCACACTATCATTCTATAACATATTAGCTTGGATTTCTTTTTCTTTTTTTTTTTTTTTTTTTGAGATGGAGTCTTGCTCTGTCGCCCAGGCTGGAGTGCAGTGGCACGATCTTGGCTCACTGCAACCTCCGCCTCCTGGGTTCAATTGATTCTTCTGCCTCAGCCTCCTGAGTAGCTGGGACTTCAGGCACACGCCACCACACCCGGCTAATTTTTGTTTTAGTAGAGATGGGGTTTCACTATATTGGCCAGGCTGGTCTCGAACTCCTGACTTTGTGATCCACCCACCTCAGCCTCCCAAATTGCTGGGATTACAGGTGTGAGCCACTATGCCCAGCCAGATTTCATTTTTTTCATGCTGGTGGAGCTCATTGCTTTTTTTCACTTACTTTTAAATGTTTTAATATGATTATACTCATAATTATTTTTCAGTAGAAAATGAGCCTTCTCAGTAAAATCCTCACACTTTTCAAAATTTTATTGCTTCCACATTAAATATGTAGATTTCACTTTCCATAAATTTTTCATTTTTCGTTTAGGAAAAGGGTCCCATTTGTAGCAACTTTTATTGTATGTATTAGTAAATTACTGAAGTTACTATTAGAACCATTAGACTTTGCAAAGTTGTTATGCCTTGTTATATTTCTAGCTTAAAATATAAAAGTATGGCTAGGTGCAGTGGATCATGCCTGTAATCCCAGCACTTTGGGAGGCCAAGGCAGGTGGATCACCTGAGGTCAGTAGTTTGAAACCAGCCTGGCCAACATGCTGAAACCCTGCCTCTACTAAAAATACAAAAATTAGCTGGATGTGGTGGTTGGTGCGTGCCTGTAATCCCAGCTACTCGGGAGGCTGAGGCAGGAGAATTGCTTGAACCCAGGGAGTGGATGTTGCAGTGAGCTGAGATCACACCACTGCACTCCAGCCTGGGTGACAGAGTGAGATTTCATCTCTAAATAAATAAAATAAAACAAAACATAAAAGTACATCAGTTGCTTTAGCCAAGGAAGAAGTTGAAAATTTCAGATTGTATAAATTTTGGATGGGCACAGCAGGATACGGTGTGTGTGGATATTTATGTAGAATTTTTTAAAAAGTCAACCAAATGTTATGGTCAGTATCATAGGGAGTCAACATGTGCATGAATGGAAGAAATAAGCTAAGGTTGATAAGCTGTTTTCGTCAGGTCTCCCATTTGTGTGACTCCCTTATTTTTTCTTATCTTTTTTTTTTTTTTTTTTTTTGAGATGGAGTCTCGCTCTGTCACCCAGGCTGGAGTGCAGTGGCACAATCTCAGCTCACTGCAAGCTCCGCCTCCCGGGTTCAAGCGATTCTCCTGCCTCAGCCTCCTGAGTAGCTGGGACTTCAGGCGCCCGCCACCATGCCTGGCTAATTTTTTGTATTTTTAGTGGAGACGAGGTTTCACCGTATTAACCAGGATGGTCTCGATCTCCTGACCTCATGATCTGCCTGCCTCGGCCTCCCAGTGTGCTGGAATTACAGGTGAGCCACCGCTCCCGGCCTTGACTCCCTTATTTTTTCTAGCAGTGGGAATACGGTGTGGAGACGGGTAGGAGGTAGTGTAGGGGACAAAAGTAAAAAATTGGAAATTGTGGCATAAAGGACATCTGTGCTTTATTTTACCTTCTCTGACCCTATGAAAGTCATCCTTTTTGACAGTTCTTTGGCAATTTTTATCTTCCAAAGCCAAGAGTTAGATGCTGCTTAACAGTTCTTATATAAATTATATCATTTTTAAGATACTCCTATCAGATTATCCTTAGCTTGAAGGTTTGAAATCCTCCCTCAGGCAAAACACATCTTAGAAATTACTGTCTGACCCTGTGATATTTTACTGATACTTTATCTTTTAAAATTTATCTTGTCTTTCTTGTTATTTGCCATCAGACAGACATATGGTGGTAACTGAGAACCTTTAAGGGGAATATAATTTTCTTTGAGCTTATATTCTTGAATTTATTATCATTTTAAAAAGCATTTTTTTCCCCCTGTAACACTCTGGCTTTGCGAAAACTAACTCATATTTTTACACTTTATGTCTGTAATGTACAAAATTTATCAGTTCCTATTCCATTTCTGGATACGTAGGCTATCTACAAATATTTGAATGGATATTTCAAACTCATTATTTCATTATAACCTGACAACTCAGCTGTCAGATTATAATGAAAGCAAGTCCTAGTCCACAGTCTCCAACCAGAATTTAGTAAGCAAGCTGGCACGGTCCAGCTGTTCTTGTAACGTTGGTGGAGTCCTCGTTGTCTCTCTTTTTGGGTGGTGAAATCAAACTTTGTATGAAAGGTTCACTTGAGCCACATGAAGCAACATACTGTCTCACTGTAGATAATACATCCTCAGGCAACCAGAATTCCTTACCTAGTGTCTGGAGTGAGAGTGTGTCAGGGACCAAGCCAGAATCATATCTTTAATGGTCTAGGCCAGTACTAACCAAACTGTGTTCTGTGGACCAGTTAACTATAGATTGTTGGTCTGTGATGAGTACACAAATAGAGACTTTTAAGGCAGTTTAACGTCACTACAGTGAGTTATAATTCATTTTCACTGTATTTTACACAGATACTGGTTTATAAGAGGTTGGAAGTAAAAATCCTGCTCTGTCACTATATATAGTTTGAGAAACACTGATTTAGGCTAGTGTGTGTTGTAAGATTCTTTATTCTGTTTTGGAAAATATTTTACCCAATCTACTTATCTTGAGTGTCCCTTCTTTAACTGAGACCCTATTTCGACTGTCTTTTATGCTATTAACTACTTGTAATTAGTAGTTGACCAGTACTTTCAAAAATGGAAACTTATTATTTACATGCTAATTAGCAAAGCTTCTAGTATTGACTAAAGATAAAAGATAGCTTAAACATACAGAGCAATCTCCTCTGGAAGGTGGCCTTTCTGATTAAATACTAGCTAAGAGTGTGACTGTGCCTAACAGTTGTAGCTTACATCAAGTCACACAATTTATATGATGTTCACTACATTATATTCTTTCAAAAGTAAATGTATAGTTTTCCTAACATGGCTCTCATGAAACTTAAAATCTAGGTATTATAACTGCTATATTTGCACACCGTAAGGTGAGTACAGAGCTGTGGTTATTATTCATGTTCTTCTGTAAGCTTTATGGGTGGCAGGAACCTTAATCTTTGTCATGAGCCGAGAATGTGACACCAGCCTATTCTGGAGAAGGTAGTAGAATCTATAATACATTGGAAAGAGCTCTGCACTTGGAGTTTGTAGTCATAGACACTTTATTTTCTAGCTGCATGACTTGAGTAAATTAGGTGAGATCTTAGAGATGATGTCTTTTCTGGCATGGGTATAGTGCTACCTACTGAATGTATAGCTTAGCACATTAATACATATTTTCTTTCAAATCTTGATGCTGCTGTATCTTCTACTCTACCGTCATTCTCTGAGACCCCTTCTACCCTTGATTTCTTTTTATTCTTTCTATTATTTAGGTAAGAAATTTGCTGGGACTAGAATGTGAGGTTACGACTTTATGCTGTTCAATGTTGGTTCTTCAATTTCCTATTTCACCTGTTCAGTTTTAAGTGAATGTTTGACAAACAAAAAAAATTCATCTTAGTCTCTCCTGTAGCTTTCAGCGCAGTGTCTTTCTCACAGTATTCACTCCATAAATGTTTGTTAAGTATTTCACTTGACAGCAGTGTTTCTTAAATGCAGAAAAAATTTTCTGGCTAACCTGGAATATAGTTCGAATTGCTTCTCTTACTATAGATGATTGTTTTGTAGAAAAGAGAATATGATAGTTTGGACTATGAATGAAGTGAAAGTTATATGAAACAATTAAATGTGTGAAATTGAGGCATTTATGGCAATTGTGAACTGCGTTTTTACTCTTTTGTCCACAAACCAGTTGTCCTAAAATTTGCAGCCTTTTTTATGTCTTCAACGGAATCCCAAAATATCTTATTTTCACTAAAATATTATACAAATGAAATTTTAAAGTAATATTTATTTCTAGTGCATTATAAGACTGTACTTGGGAAAGATCATTCATAGGAACAGTGGATGGCACTATAGGCTCATACCTGCGAAGTAATTATCCTTAAGTTGCAGAGCTTTCAAATGCTGGCTTAGTGAATGCTTTTAAAGAGAGCAGCTCAGTCAAAAAGCTTGGACAGTATTAGGAGTTAATGTTATATTTTGTAAACTTTTTAATCATTATTTGAAATAAACTTTGAAATGAATATGTATATAATTTTCTTAGTTACTAGCATAGAGAAATTACTGATTTAAAAAAACATTTCAAATTCTAGCATGTTGTAGGATTCTATTGCCCTTTCTAAAAAGTACATCTTGCTTATCCGATTTCTAACAAAACTATTTAATTTGAAGAAGGGAGAATGAATTTGGATAAAAAGCAAAAATTTAAAGGTACTCAAATTTAGGCAAACCATTAAAGCAATCTTAGTTTACAGTTAATTGGGTAGAATGGTCAACACTTTCTTCAGGTTAGTTCATGGAGTGGATATGCATTGATAGAACAACTTAGAGATGCTTTTACAGTTGAGAAAGCTCATTATATTTGTTATCTTTAAGAATCAGCTTATTTATTTCATATGTTTGTTCTTTAAGAAGACCAAAGAGCCCTGCAAATGAATGTTGATTTGTTTTTTTGTTTGTTTAATTTTTTTGTAGAGATAAGATCTCACTTTGTTATGTTGCCCAGGTTGGTCCTGAACTCCTGGCTTCAAGCAATCCTCCTGCCTTGGCCTCCCAAAGCTCTGGGATTACAGGTGTGAGCCACCACACCTAGCCGGGACATCAATTTGTTAAACAAATGTAGTTGAACATAAAAAGATGAGTTCATGTGGTATTTGCCCTTGAGAATCCCATAGAAAAGCACAAAACAATAAAGTTATAAGCAACAAGCACAAAACAATAAAGTTATAAGCTCACATTGTATGACGGATTGTTTAGATGAGTTGGAGAGTGCTTCCATGGAAAGTAATATTTAGGCTGTGTCTTAAAATATCTTATAGGTGGATTTAAAGGCAATTTAAGCACTGGTGGGGTGGGGGGAACCAAAACAAAACCCATAAGCAGTGGTTATTGCATTGTGAAAAACCATGTCTTACACAGAGAATGATGAGTCACTGTGGTGGTGTTTTGAATAAGGGAATGGTCGGAGAAAGGTAGCTTGAGAATGCTTGGGCTCCGAACTTGGTGACGCTGGATTTTTCGTGGCCACTTTGCCAACCAGAGACCTCCACAGCCAGTGATGCCCCCTGATCCAGGCCTCACTCAGCCCTGGGCCTACCACTGGAGGCGCCCTGCCCACTCGGTCCACCTGTGCTATAGCATTCGGTGGTTCCCAAGCTCTTGTCCCACATCCAAGAAGCATGAGCTTACACTGACAATTAGAAGGGTGAGGATGGGCAGAGAAGAATTTTCTTGAGTGATGGAACAGCTCTCAGTGGACAGGGGATGCAGGGGGTGGTCCCCCCACCCCTGTAGTTGGGTGGTTTCTCTCTCTCTGTGTGTCTGGGTCTGGGGCTTTTTAGGGTCTCAGAATGGGGAGTGCATGCTGATTGGTTTGTGAGTACACAAAAAAGGTTAAAATGAAGGCACCATTCAAAGGTAGGCACGACAGTGTAGAAAACCAATAAGGAAAGGGTAGGTTAAAGTAAAATTGGTGGAGGAGGGGGGATCAATCAGAGGGAAGTGTGCCAAATGAGAAGACAGGTTCTCAATCCGGTCCGTGGATTTGACTTGTAGCTTGGCTTTCAGGCTTTAAACTGTCTTTGGTTTGAAAGTGGGGTTTCACTGGGGACCCGACACCCTCTGCCTAGGCATTTGTCTGCCTCCTGCTGCTATCATTGGCATAAGTTATTCAACCTCTCTATAGGTTTCAGTTTCCTCATTTATAAAGTGATGATGATAATAATAGTGTTGTGAGAATGAAAAGAGGTCACAGGTTTAATCAGCACAATGCCTGGCACATAGTATCTGTTCAATATATAGTATTATTAACTTTATTACTATGATAGCTATGAGAAGGCAAACCTCAGGCTTACGTAGACTGCTATTTGCTTAAGGCCACAGAGCTAGTAAGTGGCAGAATTGTGACTCGAACCACATCATCTGACCAGTTTTTTTCAATAAACCATAACGTCAGTGGCCTCTAGCCTCATTTTCTGCTTCTGGGTCTGTACTGTAGTTGTTTAGTTAATTGAAAGGAAAGCCACTTAGAGCTAAAGTTTGAGACTCATCTGGAAGATAGCCTATTAAATCTGAGAAACATGCCGTACGCAGCAGAGTTTTACAGAGAGAATGGGGAATATGGGGCTAATGTAGTGAGTCTGTCAAGTGGAGGTAGGCTGGGAGAATTTCTGCTGTGTATCTATGTTGTATTGTCAGATGACTCCTAAGATGCATCCATTTTGTCCAATGGAATGGAATTTGAAATTCCTATTATGGTTATTTTAAAGGAGGGACTGCTAAATCATATAGAGATGTATGACCATTGTGCCTTCCTTTCTTGCCTTTTTTTTTCCCACTTCTACTGGAGCTAAGGTGCATGAAAGTGAGTTGCACTTGGAAGGGCACAGTAGGAGCAGATCATTGGATGTATCCAAAGAGCCACCATCTGTCAGCTTTCCTGTTGCTTTAAGAAAACTTGTTTTCCAGCCCTATCAAGAGAGAGAAAAAAAAAAACCCTGAAACTTGTGTAGCCCAACTTTAATTAAGTATAATTGAACACACATGTGATTGTGGACGAGGGCCTGTCAGTTTTTTCCAATACAAGAATAATATATATCCCATATTTATTTTTGAAACCACTTTGCTTTTATTTGACTGCATCTCAGCATGGTAGCACCAGTTGTTTTATTTTTTTCTAACCCTGACAAAGCAGAATGTTTTGTTTGGCTTTTTAAAAAGGCAATAGTGCATGTAGTTAAGACCTCATTTACTTTATCTGATGAAACAGTCTCTGAGGAGTGTCTATTTTTTGGTAAATCCACTAAGAAAACTGGGTTTAAAACGAGGTCATTTTTAAAAATACTGGTTTCAGTTTTTAAACAATGTATGTACCTTTGTGATTTGTAATGTATATTTTTGTGGTTCTTTTTAGGTTAACCTTAAAGTAAGTATTAATTGTGAGATCATATAGGTTTACAAAGTTCTTTCTCCCTTGTGAAATATATTTTATGTACTGTTCTGTTACTGCTCTTGCGGAAAACATAAACTTTCTGAAATGGAATTTTTAGTCCGTTCTCCTCCCCCACTTTCTCCTGTCTCTGTTATTTTTTTCTATATAAGTTTATGAGAACAAGATATGCAAGTATGGATTTATTTATTTAGGACCAGGAGCCCCTTGTAACTGGAAGATATCCTCTATCAAGATTGGTGGTCTGTTTTATTCATTGGTTTGTTTTATTCTCTACTCATTCACTCATTTACTCAACAGAAATTTGCAGAACATCTCTATGTATCTGAAAATGTACTAAGTGCAATAAAAGAAACAAGACCTAGTAATGTATCACTGCTCTTGGGAGCCTTACAGTCTAGTGTAGTTTAGTTAACTGGGAAATAATTTTGTTTTAGTCTACATGGAATATAATAGTAGTTTTATATGTGTAGGACTTAGAGTTGTGTACCTAGAAGTTTACCACAAATATGGGGAATGTATCAGACTTGTTTCAAATGTGATAGCTGAAAATAGGCTCATACAATAATGGTGTACAACATGTATGTCATGTGAACCAGCAGCACGTTCTTTGGTAATTTGCCACTATTGAGAATTCTGTCACTAGCATCACATATTGTTCTCACTCTGGAATTCAGTCAACCCGGGATCCTTTGAGTGTAGATTTCTGTGCTTACTCCTAAAATTAACGCCCCTAATTTCACTTCCAAAAAAGATTGCAATTGTTAAAGCCCCTTTCTGTCTACTTCAACTTTCTCATTCTTATTTCTACTATTGGTCTTATTTTTAAAATTTTCCTACCTTAATTCTCAATTATATGCAAAGGAAGAGGCAAAGCAACAAAAATAATGACAAGGTGTCAGTAGCGGCGTTGATGTTGACACATTGCACGCATCTTGGAAAAAGAGATGTCAAATGCCCATGAGGATGGAGTATGGTTGAGATTCTGCTACTGCTGAAGGCAAATTTTCCTGTTGTTTCCATGATGCCTAATAATGGCAACGTGATGGTTGGCATAATGAGAGTCTTCTGTATAAGTGAGTTGACTTGCACTTAAATATTTTGCAGTTATTTGTCAGTTATTTATCAAATGATTGTTTATCAAATAATTTATCAAATAATTAATTTTCTTAATTTTATTGGAGATTTGTCATCCAAATGTTACATTTGGAATATAACTAACATACTTTAATACTCCATTAAGTTTCAATTTGTATGGTAGATATTCAAGGATGAGTGATGGAAGAAAGAATAATATAGACATTTCAGGGATTGTTTTTTTTTAATTTTAAATTTAATTCTTTCAGATATATATTATATATATATATATCCTAATTAGGTTATATATAATATATATATACATATATAAATATATCCTAATTCAAAATCTAACTGTGACTGAGACTCATGCATAGAATATTTTCTGATGTACTTTACAAATGCTTATTTGAACAGCATCAGTATGGCTTGCCTAATTTCTTAGTTTCTTTTGTTTATCCCAATACTGCTTTGCTTATACATATATATCTTAAAGGTTTCTAAACTTAGAGACCTGTAGATCCTAGACGGCTTTAATTGACTGATCTTTTAATGTCTGTATTTTCTGTTCCCTTATCTTGTAGTTTTTTAAAATCCTTCTTTAAATTATTGTTTTGTTCTCTTATTTTTCCATTTTCTGTATCTGCTTTTTCTTTTGAGCCCACACTTTTGACTTTTATGTAAGAATCATGTTTTATTAAAAGCCTCTTTTTTTGGTATAGTAGGTGAGAAAGAAGTAGTTGAATTTAAATATATCTACTGTAAATATATGGATTTGTCTTTTGTAACACTGCCTTGCCAAGTGTTTGGATAGATAGTAGAGTAGCATGACAGTTCACACAGTGAGCAACAGTTTGATTTAAGCTATTTGTTTATGTGCTACACTGCTTAAAATCTCTTACCAGCTAATGAGAATGATCTGAAGACTTTTTTTGTAAGAGATGGGAAAAAACCCTTTTAATTAGGGGTAGACTTTGTAAAATACTTAATAAGTTTCTTTATTATTTGTAGCCCCATGGCCAAATACCTACTACCCACACACTTTCTTAATACAAAACTATTCATAGTTAATTAAAAATCTTTTTGGCAGATTCACATATTCATAGACTGTTAGAGCTAGAAAGGATTTTAGAGATTTAAAATCTTTTCATAGATGATAAAACTGAGGCCCCAAGGACTAATGTCCGAAAGTTTGGTGGCCCACAGATTGTACTCACTTTTAGGAGAATAAGGTTCATGACAAACAGAGGTTACTCTCACAGGTGATACACCTTCATCTTTAGGATTTTAGGGGTCAGTGAAAGGATTAGAAAGCAGATTAGATTTTGTTTGTGGTCTGCAAGACATCATAAAATGATATTTGATGTTAGTTTGTATTGAAATATATGTAGGTCAAAATACCAGAAACTGGTATCACTGTGACCAATACTGTTTGGTGGATCAGAGGAAAACAGTGAGATTATCTGTCAAGTGAATTTGATTACATGGGATAAAGGCACTATTGAGACTTCTGTTTTGGTGTGAGAGCACCTTTGGAAAAATTCTGGACTTCATATCACCTTGTTTTCCTTTTCTATTCACTCATTATTTACCTTTCCCATCCACACTTCTGGTTCTGCCATTTACCTTCCTTTAATTCCTATAGGTTTATATGTTTGTATTTCTAGTACCTAATAGTTACTAGCTCATAGAAGCTCTCAATAAAAATGTTTTTACGACTCAGTTTCTAAATGCTAATGGTATGTTTTCATTCTAAAGTCTCTTTTGCTGTTTCTTGAGTCTTGAATCTCTATTCCAGCCTTTCTCAGTTCATGTTTTCTGAGAGAATTAAGCCTAAACATATGTGATTGAATGTCCTAAGGCATTCATTATTTAGTGAATTAACCTTCTCCCAAGCATCTAGAATGATATTAGCTGCATACTATCCTTGAGAGAATTAAAAAGTAGTCACTCAGATTATTTTCTGCAGTGCATAATTCTCTTGGAATAGTGGTTGAGAAAGGCTGATTTATTCACTTTATCAGATATTCCAAATAACCATCTTAAAGCTTACTTTTCTAAGAAATGCCATCATTGATTGACTTCATTTTAATTGTTCTTTTACTTCACATTTTCTTAGTACATAGACTTAATTTTTACTAACGGCTGTTGCCAAGATGGTGATATGCTGAATGGGTTATAGTAAATTTGGTTTATTCTTTAAAAAGAAACATAAACAAAAAGTATATAATAGATTTCTCATGTTGCTATTTTTTCTCTTGAAAAGCATATACTACCTGAGTGTCAAACTGGCCAGTGCTTGGGTGAACTTCTATGTAAGGCTTGTTAGGTCTGTGATGACACAAATTCCAAGGGCAAAGGAAAGAGATTGGAACTAGTAGATGCAACATGTTTAAAGCTGACTTGGCCAGTATAAGTGATCCTTGAGAATCAGCCCTCTATTTAGGCATGGCATCTAAGGCTTGTAACTGCCTGGGTTCTTATTTCCAAAGGAGTCAATGTTAGATATACCAGGGCCCAGATTTATGAAAATACAGAAAGAAAACTGTGCCTATTCACAGATGATATGACTGTCTACATAGAAAATCTCAAGGAGTCCATAATAAAACTTCTGGAACTCATAAGTGAATATAGCAAGGATACAACATAAACCCATAAAAATAAAACATCTTTCTGTATACCAGCAATGTGTAATTGGAAAAGGAAATACAGAAATTATTTATGTTATGCAATAGCTCTAAGAAAAATGCTTAGATAAAAATCTGACAAATTATGTATAGGATATGTATATGGAAATTTACAAAACAGAAGAAATCAAAGAAGATCTAAATAAATCATGCAATGTTCAGGAATTGGAAGATTCAGTATAGTAAATGACAATTCTCAAGTTGATGTATAGATTTAAAGTAATTTGAATACAAATTCCAGTAAGATTTTTCTTGTAGAAGTGGAGAAATGGATGCTAAATTTTATATGGAAAGGCAAGGGAAGTAGAGTTATCTAAAACAGTTTTGAATAAGAATAAGGTTGGAGGAATCACACCATCCTAGTTTAAGACTTACTGTAAAGTAGCAGCAATCAAGAGGTGTGGTAGTGGTGAAGGGATAGACACATTAAATCACTGGAAGGAGACTAACAAGTCCAGGAAGGTCAGACCCATGCAAATATGGGCAGTTGATTTTGACAAAGGCGCAAAGTTCATCCAAGGGAGAAAGCAGTGTTTTCATCAAATTGTACTGGAGCAGTTGGGTATCCATATGGAAAAAGAACAAAACTTTGACCCAAATGTTAAATGTATATGAAAGTTAACCCAAAAGGGATCCAAGTTCAAAATGTAAAATGTAAAACCTTTTTTCTTATTCAATTCATGAAAATAAAAAATAAGAGGTAAAACTTTAAAAATTGTAGAATAAAACATAGGAGAAGGTTTCTATATTTATGGTTAGGCAAAGAGTTCTTAGACCTGATACCCAAAAGTATGATCTATAAAAGGATAAAAGATGGACTTAATCAAAATTAACAACTTTTGCTCTGTGAATGAAACTATTAAGATAATAAGAAGCAATCTGCAGGCTGGGAGAACATATTTGCAGATCACATACACAGCATAGGACTTGTATCCAGAATATATAAGGAACTTTCAAAACTCACTAGGAAAACAACCAGATTAAAATACGGGTAAAAGACTTGAACAGAGACATCACAAAAGGGGATATGCAAATGGAAACTAAGCACATGTAAAGTTTTTCGACATCATTAACATCAGGGATCCTATAACTCACCTATTCGACCAAGTAAAATGAAAAATATTGATAGTACCAGGTACTGGAGAGGATGTAGAGCAATTAGAGCTCTCATACATTGTTGTTGGAGATGCTAAATGGTACAGCCATTTGGAGAATGAATTAGCAGTTTCTCTAAAAAGTTAAACATGTACTTATCATATGACGAACGTCCTACTTTTAGGTATGAGAAATGAAAACGTAAGTTCACCCAAAAATCTGTGTATGAATGTTTATGGCAGCTTCCTTCCTAATTAGCCCAAACTGAAAACAACTCCTGTATCCTTTAGGGAATGAATGGAAAAATCATCTGTGTTGCGTTCACTTAATTGAATACCACCAAACAAAAAAAGGAATGAATGATTGACATCCCCAACATCTTGGATGGATGTAAAAAGCTTATGCCAAGTGAAATAAGCCAATCACTAAAAGGCTGTATGTATGATTGATTGCTTTATTTTATTTTATTTTATTTTATTTTATTTTATTTTATTTTATTTTATTTTATTTTATTTTATTTTTTCTTGGAGACAGGGTCTAGCTCTATCGCCCAGGCTGGAGTATAGTGGCGCAACCACGGTTCGCTGCGTTCTCTGTCTTCTGGGGTCAAGCAATCTTCCCACCTCAGCCCCCGGAGTAGCTGGGACTACAGGCATGTGCTACCATGCCTGGCTATTTTTGTATTTTTTGTAGAGATGGGGTTTCACCGTGTTGCCCAGGCTGGTCTTGAACTCCTGGGCTCAAGTGATCTTCCCACCTCGGCCTCCCAAAGTGCTGGGATTACAGGTTTGTAAGCCACCTCACCTGCCCTATATTATTTATTTATATGACATTTTCAAAAAGAAAAAACTATGGTGATGGAGAAGAGATCAAGGATTTTTAGGGGTTAGAGATTGGGAGGTGAGGAGGGCAGAGAGTGTTTGGGTAAGGGTATAGCACAAGGGAATGTTCTAGGGTAAAAGAACTCTTCTGTAGTCTTTTGATGATGGTTGCACATACCAATACATAGGCTAAATTCATAGAACTGTACACCTTCCAGAAAATGAAATTTATGTCAGTTTTAAAAAAATTATTCTGTGAAGAAAATAATATTTATTAAGAAATATTTAGGTAGAGAACCAGGGTAGATTGAAAATTGTGTTAAAAGCATGCACACGTATGTTTATTGCAGCACTATTCAGAATAGCAAAGACTTGGAACCAACCCAAATGTCCATCAATGATAGACTGGTTTAAGAAAATGTGGCACATATACACCATGGAATACTATGCAGCCATAAAAAATGATGAGTTCACATCCTTTGTAGGGACATGGATGAAGCTGGAAACCATCATTCTGAGCAAACTATCACAAGGACAGAAAACCAAACACCGCATGTTCTCACTCGTAGGTGGGAATTGAACAATAAGAAGACTTGGACACAGGATGGGGAACATCACACAACGGGGCCTGTAATGGGATGGGGGGAGGGGGGAGGGATAGCATTAGGAGATATATCTAACGTAAATGACGAGTTAATGGGTGCAGCACACCAACATGGCACATGTATACATATGTAACAAACCTACACGTTGTGCACGTGTACCCTAGAACTTAAAGTATAATAATACAAAAAAAAAAAAAAAAAGAAAAGAAAATTGTGTTAAAAGGTTTGCATCTCATTTAAATTGGAACAAAGTCATCTGGACTGAGAGGAAAATGGGCCTGGGCCCATATATTTGAAAAGAACTGAGTTTTTTTTTTTTTTTTTTTTTTTTTTTTTGAGACGGAGTTTTGCTCTTGTTGCTCAGGCTGGAGTGCAATGGCATGATCTTGGCTCACTGCAACCTCTGGCTCCCGGGTTCTAGCAATTCTGCTGCCTCAGCCTCCCAAGTAGCTGGGATTACAGGCACGCACCACCGCACCTGGCTAATTTTGTATTTTTAGTAGAGACGGGGTTTCTCCATGTTGGTCAGGTTGGTCTCGAACTCCCAACCTCAGGTGTTCCACCCACCTTGGCCTCCCAAAGTGTTGGGATTACAGGCGTGAGCCACCGTGCCCGGCCTAGAACTGAGCTTTTGAACTGTTGCTAAGGGTAAATTAGGTATCACTGAACTTACCCTCAGTAATGAATGGAATATGTCACCTGTGGGTAATATGCGACGATTAATAAGACAGTTACCACACCTACTGTATACCACTAAAATAATAAATAAGAATTTTTAAAAAGACAGTTATATAGCAGGATTATGTCGTGATTTGACTTATTATATAAAAAATTTAACGTATGATTTTCCATTAGAGGAAATACTCTTTTGTTTTGGCAATTCCTGCCAGTCTCCATTTGTTGATCAGAAGACATCTTTCAGTAGTATTGTATTGCTACTGGAGGTAGGATTGGGCCAAGGTGGAATCTGGTTAGAACAAAAATGCCACAGAAGAAAATCATTTGGCTTACCAGTAAGCTGATGTGTGCATCCTCCCCTTACCTTCGTGCACATGTGTACACCAGACTTGCAATTTGTCTTGATGCTTTGAGTAGAGAAAGAAATAATTATTGCTTTGGAACTTGTGCCTATAAAAACTGTACAAATCTAAAAGTACTTGGTCACTTGTACTCATGATGATTTGTTTAAATTTACCCTTTTGCATGTTAGTAGATACTGCGAAATCTTAATCAGGCCCTTATATTTACCATTGAATCATCTTAGCCATATATTTGGAAGAATTGCAAATCCCCCCTTTGCAGGGCTGCCTATGAAAATCTATACAATGGAAAAGCAACAGCATGGATTCCCTACAATATCTCAGAGCACCCAGCCCTGCTGGAACTGCTGGACCAGCATATACATGCTCAGCAGCCTTTTTCTTTTCTTTTCTTTTAAAGCAGATTCTCATAGCAGCTTTATTTGCAATAGCCAAAAATGGGAAACAACCCACAGTGTGAGATAGGGTTACAATAGAATATTCCCCAGCAACATAAAGAAACTAACTCTGGGTACATGCAAAAGCATGGATGAAACTCAATTATGCAGAGTAAAAGAACCCAGACAAATTTATGACACACTACATTATTCCAACTAAACTGTAGAAAATGCAAACAAATCTCTAGTTCCAGAAAGCAAATAAGTGAATCCCTGAGGCAAATTGGTCTGGGAGTGGGGAAGGGAGGAATTGCAAAGGTACACAAAGAAGCTTTGTAGGGTGACATATATGCCCATTGTCTCTTATGATGATGTTTTCATATATATGTATGAAACACTTCTAAACTCTCATGCCCAGCTTTTAAAATTCTTTTGATACTTACTAGGAATTTTAAACTAATTTGACATCCTTCTTTTTTGAGGGTGGTGGGGGATAGAGTCCTGCTCCGTTGCCCATGCTGGAGTGCAGTGACGTGATCATGGCTCATGGCAGCCTCGACCTCCCATGCTCAAATAATCCTCCCACCTCAGCCTCTTGAGTAGCTGAAACAACAGGCGTGTGTCACCTTGCCTGGCTGATATTTTATAGAGATGGGTCTTGCTATGTTGCCCAGCTTGGTCTTGAACTCCTGGGCTCAAGAGATCCTCCTGCCTTGGCCTCCAAAAGTGCTGGGATTATAGGCATGAGCCACCACACCCAACCAACTCTTTCTTTCTTTTTTGGGGTAAACAGGTCTTGCCCTGTCATCCAGGCTGGAGCATGATGGTGCTTTCAAGGCTCACTGCAGGCTTAACCTGCCAGGCTCAAGCAGTCCTCCTATCTGAGCCTACCAAGTAGCTGGGACTATGGGCATATGCCATCACACCTGGCTAATTATTTTTATTTTTATTTTTGTCAAGACAGGGCCTTATTATGTTGCCCAGGCTGGTCTCAGACTCCCGAACTCAAGTGATCCTCCTACCTTGGCCTCTCAAAGTGCTGGGATTACAGGCATGAGCCGCCATTCCTGGCCCCTTATTCTTTCATCTTGGGTTTTTCCCTGAAGAAATTTTCTATCCTCATCTACCACCTTAGGCTTGCTAACGAGGCTCTGCAGATGAAACCATAGCAGGCTTTTACATTTTTTCCCAAAATTTTATTATGAAAAATTTCAAATGGACAGCAAAGTCGAAAAAATTTTACAGTGCACACCTGTCTACCCACCATGAAGATTGTTATTAACATTTTACCATCTTTATTATGTCATATCTTTCTTCATCCATTTCTATTCATCCATCAGTCCAACTTATTTTTTTAACATGTTTCAAATGAAATTGCAGACATCAGAACACTTCCTCTAAATACTACATCAGACGTGACATTATAGACATCAGTATTTGTAGGATTTTATGTAAAATTTTGAAACCATGGAATATATACATCTTAAGAGCAAGCACATGGCTGAGTTTCGACAAATGCGTATGCCTGTGTAACTCCCATCTCTATTTTTTAAAAAACCTGTGACCAGATAGTATTTACATAATTTCGCAATGGAAATATAGTAATCCCCCTGATTTATAAGGATGTGTTGGTAAATAGTCTGCATTTTCTGTGTTGAGATCAAAGCTGTAATCCCCTCCCTGTCTTTGTCCCTATAGTGATGGAAATAATAGATTATTTTAGCCCAAT
Organism: Homo sapiens; assembly: GCF_000001405.40. Classification (NCBI taxonomy): domain Eukaryota; kingdom Metazoa; phylum Chordata; class Mammalia; order Primates; family Hominidae; genus Homo; species Homo sapiens. The sequence continues at coordinate 20,801,880 of NC_000006.12, forward strand.
GTGTAACATCCTTCTTAAATGTATTAAGAATTTTAAGTGTGCTATTATGCAACAACTTGATAAAATATTTTCTTAAAATATGTGTTTTTAACCACATGCAATATTTGCTGTTAACCTTTAAAAAATATGAATGACGGCCGGGTGCAGTGGTGGCAAACGCCTGTAATCCCAGCACTTTGGGAGGCCGAGGTGGGCGGATCACAAGGTTAAGAGATTGAGACCATCCTGGCCAACATGGTGAAACCCCGTCTCTACTAAAAATACAAAAATTAGCTGGGTATGTTGGTGCACGCCTGTAGTCCCAGCTACTCGGGAGGCTGAGGCAGGAGAATCATGTGAACCCAGGAGGCGGAGGTTCCAGTGAGCCGAGATTGCGCCGCTGCACTCCAGCCTGGCAACAAAGCAAGACTCCGTCTCAAAAAACAACAACAACAACAATAATAATAATAATAATAATAATAATAATGTGAATGAGTTATTTTTCTTTAGCAAATCATTTTCTTCATATTACTTTCTAAAATACTGAAAGTATATGCATGTCCTCACCCTATAGTCTCAAAAAGAAAGAAAAACATCATTCCTACTACAGTACTCTCAACCTTTGTATCTATTGTTTGATTAGGCAAATATATATATTTTGGAGATATATATGTGAAATATATACATACACATATACATGCATTCTTATATGTATACACACACATATATAAGAACATATATATGTTCTTCAACATAAGCATTCTTTCCAGTTGGATGATTGCAAAGGGGTACCACAAAACAGGCCTTACAGTGATTTAAAAATGCTTTGAGTCACAGGCATTTACAGGTAGTTCAGTAGAAAATTTTGATGTTCGTTTCAAAAATGCAAAGCATTTCTCAGAGCACAGAAAGATGATTGTGAAGAAATCTGACCCTGAAGGCCAGTGAGTGGGTGGGGCTTAGACATCTTAAATGTCTTAGATTACTCTGTGTCTGCAGAAAACTTTTTTAATTGGATTGCAGGAAGGAGAAGAGTACTGCTGAAATTACCAGGAAAGAACATGCATTTTTAAAATGCAGAAGAGACATCCTAACATGTTATCTTGACAGATGTCAGGATTATTTGGGGACAGTAATGGGCTTGACCTACAAGGAACTGACAGAATGTCTGAACTTAATCTGGAATTATATTAAATAACCTGAAGCCACGTTTGTTGCCATCTCTCAAGTGTATAGGATTGAAATTGTGAAAACTTTTTTACTTAATATTTGCTTATATGTGGGTATACATTTGTGATAGGGTTCCAGAGAGTTTGCAAACAAGGTAGAGGAACAGTGTTATTAGGAAGATTACCAACTCCTTAGGGTGGTATAAGAGTCCCATGGCTTCTTCCAGCCTTTTCTCTCCTTTCCCTGTTACAACTAATACTCATCAATGCCAGCCTGCCTGTCTCAACATACCATTCTGTAACATGTGTTAATGCCCTTGTGTATGCCATTACTTCTGCTAGGCCTGCTTAGCCAACTATAGTCATCTTTCAAAACTTTGTCAAATATCGCCTTTTCCATGTCAAGTGTCACCATCCTTCTCAAGGAAGAGTTGTTAATCACGTTTGTACAATTTTTATCATAATATATTCTCAGAAGATGCAGAGAGGAGAATAATTGAGAACTAAAAATAAGCCATTGGCGGTGATAGTAAAGTGTTCATGGTAACCTGACAGCAATTCCAGGAGAGTTGTTTAGGTTAAATGCAGATTGACGTAGGTGGAAGAGTGGGCAGGAGATGAGGCATAGGGACAAGATAGTATCTTTTAAGAAGTTTGTTGCCAGTGGGAAGAGTAGAGATGGGGCTCTAGTTGGGGAGAATCAGGGGAGCTGATGTTATTCTTGTGGTTTTAGGAATGGCAGAAATAGAAAATAATTTTATATTTAAAAGAAATAGCTACTGGGAAAAGAGAGAGACCAAATAAGAAGTGAGACTATTTGGTAGAGTAAGTTTCCGGAGCATATGGGATCGAGAATGTAGGTGGAAGTGCTTAGGATAATATAACACTTCTACCTTCAAGGCAGGAAGATGTGTTGACAAGGGTGGATGAATTTTCATTATTTTTGGTCCTGTTTAGGGAAAAAGAAAATGAAATGTGATATTTATATCATTGGTCAACAATTTTCCAATATTATATATTTAATTATTTTCTCTTCTACTGACATTTATGGTATTCTGTTAAATCTTTGAATATAACTACACTATAACATTTTACAATGACTATCTACCAATTTGAAAAATAACTTGAATGGTTTAAGAATTACTATTAAGTCATTCAGTAAAAATGACTTAATTGAGTGCATACTATTGTGCCAGCTATGATGGTAGGTGTACGGATACAATGATGAAATACAGAAACAGTTGTGAATTAGTTGTAAAAATTCAGAAAAGAAACAATGGTAGTATGAACTCAGAGAGAGAAAATAGAATGAGAGAGGCAAGAATAACTGGGACTAAGAATACAGGTGATCGGTTAGTTCAAGGATTAACAAACTACAGCCTGTGGGCCAGAGCTAGTCAGTTGCTTTTGTTAGAACAGCTTGTGATCTAAAAATAGTTTTTACATTTTTTAAACAGCTGGGGAAAATAAAAAGAAACATAATAATTTGTGATACATGAAGATTACATGAAATTTAAGTTTCAATATCCATTACTATTTATGGATATTTTTAATTTTATCAGGAAACAGCCACATTCACTCATTTTAAAATTGTTTTTGACTGGTTTCATGCTGCAGTGGCAGAATTGAGCAGCTGCAGCAGACAGTATCTATGATGTTGTACAGGAAAGAGTCAATAGAGCAGGTCTGGGCTGCCATCTTTAGAAGGATCTGCTTGGTACTGGGGCCATGGGGGTGAGGTTAACCATTGAGTAGTATCTGGGAGCCTGACTCCTAGAATTTTCCCTAAGCTGATAAAAGCATTTTTCCTGCCTGGAGTACAAACGCCTGCTTTCCTTCTGCTAGTCTACTGTTTTGATAGTTGTGACTAGTCATCATAACTCTGTGACCAGCCCAGAATAAAAGTCCTGTTGTTTGAGCCCAGGTGTTTGAGGTTGCAGTGAGCTTTACTTGTGCCACTTCACTCCAGCCTGGGTGAGAGAGTGAGACCCTGCCTCTAAAAAACAAAGAAAGAAAAATTAAAACCTGGGATTCTGAGTCTCTAATGACCTGCTCTAGGTAGAAAGATCATGTATGTGTGTTACTGCATTTCACTGCTGGATGGACTGTGTTCTGTATGGCTTCTCCTGAGAGGTAAAGCACAGGAAGCCTGTGCACAGATTCCTCCAGATTTTACCTGATGTGTCTTTTTCTGTTACTAATTGCTGTACTAAACTATAGCCATGAGTGCAACTGTCTCCTGAGTCTGTGAGTTCTTCTAATGAGTCACCGAATATGTGTGTTAGTATCTAGAGACCCCTGAAACTGGAGCTTTCATTGTTTGCAATGCTGGTCAGCACACTATAAATTGCAGTTACAACTAACTCCACAGTGTTTTCAGTGGATGTATATCACTGTTTTTATTTTACTTTATTTTTTATTAGCAGGGCATACCCATCATGCCAAAATAAAAGCATAGTTTGAATATCTCACTTTTAAGGCACAGTGGAGTGAGGATTACTTTGTTATCAAATTAGATGGCAAAGCGTTGTGTTTATTATGTGGTAACTATAGCTGTGGTAAAAATAATACAATATGCTTTAACATTAGCAGACTAAGCATTCATCACAATATTCCCAATTCACAGGAGGGCAACAGTCAGAAAAATTAAGACAACTTAAAATGGAAAATCTATTCTCAGCAGAAATTTTTTGTAAGTATAAAAAAACGAAAATGAGACTATAACCACTGTAAGTTTCTGATTGGCACATTTGTTACCCAAGCAAGGAGATCCATTTATCAGTAGTGATTTTATTAAATCATGTTTGATTGCAGCCGCTGAAGAAGTATGTGCACTGAAAATAAACTTAAGACTATTTAATGGCGAGAGCAGTTGCTCAAAGAGTTGAGGATATGGGGAGATACAGCAATATTTAATTTAAAAAACAAGGCATATGATTTCAAATGTTTTTTGGGGTCTTATTCTTTTTTAATTTTCAACTTTTAGGTTCAGCAATGTGTGTAATATGTACAGGTCTTTATGTAGGTAAATTATATGTCACAGGGGTTTGCTGTACAGGTAATAAGTGTAGTACCTGTTAGGTAGTTTTTGGATCCTCACACTTCGCACATCCTCTACCCTCAAGTAGCCCCCAGTGTCTGTTGTTTCTTTCTTTGTATCCATATGTACTCAATGTTTAGCTCCCTCTTATTAGTGAGAACCTGTGGTATTTGGTTTTCTGTTTCTGCGTTAGTTCGCTTAGGATAATGTCCTGCAACTCCATCCATGTTGCTGCAAAGGACATACATGAACTTATTCTTTTTATGGCTTTGTAGTATTCCACATACCACATTTTCTTTGTTCAGTGTACCGTTGGTGGGTATTTGGATTGAGTCCATGTCTTTTCCATTGTAAATAGTGCTGCGCTGAACATACATGTTTCTTTATGGTAAAACAATTTATATTCCTTTTGGTATATATGCAATAATGAGATTTCTGGGCTGAATGGTAGTTCTGTTTTAAGTTCTTTGAGAAATCGCCAAACTGCTTTCCACAATGAGTGAGCTGATTTAATTCCCACCAGCATGTTTAAGTGTTCTCTTTTCTCCACAATCTCACCAGTATCTGTTAATATTAGACTTTTTAGTAATAGCCATTCTGACTGGTCTGAGATGGTATCTCAGACCAGTTGTGAGTCAACAGATTTTTCTAGTACTATTCAATTGTTGTTTATTAGAGGAGGCAATGATGAGTTTGAAGTGAATGAAGAATTAGCTTATCTGAATACCTTATGTGGAACAACTACAAGCGAGGATATTTACAAGGAAATTAATAAAGCATTACTTAGTTCAAGCTGAAGTGGAATCTGCTAAGATGTGTTACAGCTGATACGGTAAAAATATGTGTGAAGCAGAACAAGTCTTAGATTTACAAATCTGTGAAAATGTAGAGTGTTTAAAGCATATGTTCATTGTATTATTCGTCACTAGATACTGATGAAAGTATTTGTATCTGTCATGTGCTGAACTGAAGTGTCATTGGTGAACTTCATTTCATTTACTCATGAAGACTTAGCCTTTGTCAGTTCTGGGAATTATTGTCAGAAACTGAAGCTGATTATTTTGACTTGCTCTACCACACACAGCAGTTTGGTGGTTTAGTAATGGCAAAGTTTTACTGTTATTTATTTATTTATTTTTGAGGTCAGGGCCAAAATTGATTTTTTTTTTTTTTGAGACGGAGTCTCGCTGTGTTGCCCCAGGCTGGAGTGCAGTGGCACGATCTTGGCTCACTGCAACCTCCACCTTCTGGGTTCAAGCGATTCACCTGCCTCAGCCTCCCGAGTAGCTGGCACTACAGGCGCATGCCACCACGCCCAGCTAATTTTCGTATTTTTGTAGAGATGGGGTTTCGCCATATTGGCCAGGCTGGTCTCGAACTCCTGACCTTGTGATCGGCCCACCTCGGCCTCCCAAAGTGCTGGGACTACAGGCGCAAGCCACTGTACCCGGCCTGAAATTTTTCTGAATGAAAAGAACTGCCCTTCTCTACTGTTTCTGAACACTAAATGGCTTTGGAAATTAGGTTTTACTGGAGACTTTGATAATATTTCCTAATAAAATTAATCCAAAATTAATCCAAAATTAAAAGCAAAATGGCACTTATATGTAAAACATATTACTGTAAAGTCATTTTGATAGCAACGAATATTCATGTCATATGTAATATCAAGCTGCTTTCTACACTTCATGTGCCATCAAAAGTTAAATGAAGAAGCAAGCTCTTTATTGCCTTCCAAATTTGCAGCAGATAAATATTCTGAGCTCAAACTACAGCAACAGTTTTTTGGACTTCAATAAAGAGCAAAGTAAATTTCTGTACTTCAAAATCCATTTAAGGGGTGCAGTGAGGAACTCACACCTAATCTTCATTGGGATTGATTAATCTGTATTGTAAATGACATGCTGAAAGGTAAATATGAAGAATAGAATACTATAGATACCTTCCAAGTGATGAATTTGCTCAGTTAAAATCACGTTTGTTGATTGCTATCAGTATTTGCCATTACTTATCTGTGTGAAAGACATTTTAAAAAATGAAATAAGTAAAATCTCTTCATATGTCAATATTAGCAGATTAAAATTTGTAATTAATTTTGTTGCTAGGGCATTTTACCTTTGAACCCAAATTAAGTAAAATATTATTCTTCCACAGAGAAAAAATTCTATTCTTCTCCTTAAGAGATTTGTATTACAAAAAATTGCATTTATTATTTTTATTATTTTATTTTGGATGTTGTCAATGAAAAGCTTATGGTAATTGTTTTCACTCTTATTATGTAAGTACCTACATAATAACCTTGACATTGACTTTTGGCCTAGGAAGTCTGGTGATGAAAAATATTTACTATCTGTTTCTTTAAAGAAAAAAATTTGCCATCTTTTTGTTAGTTGATTGGATGTGCAAAGGGGGTTGATGGAAACAGGGAGAGATGACGCCCACAGTTCCTGGCTGGAGCATTATAGCAGTGTTCTTGCAGACAAGGAGTTCAGAGGGAAGAGGAATTTTGGTAGTGGGACAAAGATAAGTTAGTTGAATTTTGGATCAGTTTTTGAGATGCCTATGGGAGATTTTCAACAGTTGGTTGAAACCAACTGTTGAAAATTTGGTTCTGGGTTTCAGGAGAGAAGATGGGATTGGATGTATGTATTATTAGTATGAGGTAGTAACAGAAAATATGGATGCTATTTTGATGTATCCTGTACATTATACTTATTTCGTTCACAAAATAAGTATATTTTTCTACTGTGTTTTCTATTTTGAAACAAGGCTGATTTTTCACTGGGCTCCTGAAATAGACTCTGGTCACTAAGTAACTGCTGTCTTTGATTTTGTGTTGAGGGAGCTGTTTCAGATTCTCTTCTTGACTACATGGCATAATTCTCTTTTACTACATCAAACTTTAATTTTTAGCTATAACACTTGAAGTAAATCTTTTTTGAAGGCAAAGACCATACATGCATTTTGGCTCTATTAATATTGCTTGCAGAAACCACAGTGTTTTTATCAGAGGGAAAGCAAAAACTTGTTTACAGTGGAAAGCATAACAAAATCTGTGATCTTTTTGCCTGAGGACTCTTTCCAAAACAACTTACTGTAACAGACATCTAAGGTCAGTATTTCCTAATTAAGACTTTTCAGCTACAGCTCCCAACCCCAGTCATCACTCACAGGGCCATTCCTTCCTTAACGCAGTGGGTATTTCAAGTTATTAGCACCCAGGGGCCATGCGTTTCTTCACTTAATATGTTGAAGAATTTTGTTCTACTTCATATCACTAATGATTTTTAACTTTTTTGGGTGTCTGTTTCCAAAATCAAATTTAGAAGTACAACAAGCTGATTAGGTATCACTTTTTGTAGCCATCTGAGAGCAGAGGTATCATTTTTTGTAACCATCTGAGAGCAGAGAATTTAATGTATTGATATTTTACTACACTTGGAATGATTTTTGGATCTGGAGTAGTTGGGAATGAAACCCTTGCTTCCTGGCCTTAGAGGAGGCAACATACTTTTTTCCTTTTTTTTCTGTTCTCATATGCTTTCCCCAGAATGCATCATTCTAGTGAATACTCAGTAAATATTTGTTCCATTGAATTGAATAAAATGAGCAAAATAGAAGGCTAACAATTGAAGAATAAGTAAACGTAGAAAGGAAGAAGTCAATTCAAAGATGAGTTGCTCTACTTCTTGAAGAGTGTATCAAGTGACAGAAAATCAGAGATTGATTGGTGTATCCTGACTTTTTATTGTATTCTTAGCTGGTTTTTGTCTCTTTTAAGATATGTAACTTCCTTAAGATATTTTTACTTTTAAGATCTTATGAATAGAAATTATTCAGAAGTATTTACTATATTTAGTATTCAAATTTTAACAAATACAAAATGGAAAAACAAGCATCAAGTTGGTTTAAAGATAGATGAAGACATTTCTAAGGAGGCTGAATCACATCTAAACTTTTAGATGGACAGCCCCGCAGACTGATAGTGATCCTTCAATTGTGTCCTATTTTTCTACCCTCTGCTCTTCCACAGTTTTAACTCTTTTAAACCATTATAGAACACTTCAAACACATAGAAAGAGAAGATGGTATAATGAACCCTCAAGTACTTACCTAGCTGCAGCAATTATCAACTCATGGGCAATCCAAATTATTTTATCTGTCTTCCACCACCCTTGCCCCTTCTCTTGCCCCAGCACAACTAAATTGTTTTGAAGCAAAGTGCAGGAGTTGTTGTATCATTTAATTAGTTAATATACCAGTTATGTGTTTGAGACCAGCCTGGGCAACATAGTGAGAGTCTCTCTCTCTCTCTCTCTCTCTGTCACACACACACACACACACACACACACACACACACACACACACACACACACACGTGGTGTCATGTTACGCACCTGTTGCCTGTGGTCTTAGCTACTCGTGAGGCTGAGGTGGGAGGATCGCTTGAGCCCAGGAGTTCCAGGCTGCAGTGAGCTATGATCATTCCACTGCAGTCTAACCTGGCTGACAGAGTGAGACACTCTCTTTTTAAAAAAAAGATTATGTGTGTATGTATGGGTGTGTGTGTGTGTGTGTGTGTGTGTGTGTGTGTGTGTAATATATTGCTAAAAAAAAAAAGTGTTTATTCATTCTCTCTCCTCTCTCTGGAAAACAAAACAACCCAATAACATTGTCACATCTAAAATAAAATTAATTAGGTTTCCTTAATATCATTAAACATCTAGTCAGTCTCCAAGCTTTCACAGTTAGTGCTCTTGTTCATTCGCCCTCTTTATCTCCTTTTCTCACCCACCCTACCCCCAGTATTTACAATTCTTTGTTTTGAATTAGGACCCAAACAAGATCCCTGCAACGCTTTGGGTCTGTGCCACCACAGCTCTGGTTCTTTGTCCAACTTGGCCATCAGACTTGTAAGACTGAAATGGCTTCAATACTATTTTTATTTAGATTCATGTAAGGAATATGAGCAGGAGACATAGCAGGTACAACGTCTTCATCTCAGGAAACCTAGCAGTTACCCTAATGTACAGCTCTTTTCTCATCTAAATAGAATATTTTGACTGCCATGGACAAGAGCCAAGGTGTGTGGATGCTACCTTATCAAGCAAAGACCCAGCCTTGATTTTTCACTGATTTTTTAGGTCATTTTAGTTAAGTAGGCCCAAGGCCTGTGTACCATTTCCTAGCTTTCTCCATCCGGGGCAATTCTATACAGCAGATGAGGCTGACTTAACATTCTGCATTTATCTTAATTCTGTTGTTACCAAGGAGATAAATGTCGAGACGCTGAGGTCATTCCCAGGAAAGTCTGACTCAGCCCTGGCGAATGTTAACCCTTTACTCACCTTGTGTCTTAAGTATCTTTTTGTCTGTTGTTTCATTTTTTTCTTTCTTCGTTTTTTGCAGTTTATTTAAGGAAACCATTTCATTTGTCCTGTAGTTTTCCACATTCTGGATTTTGCTAATTGCATCCTCATGGTGTTATTTAATGTGTGTCTTTATCCCCAGATTGTGTTGTAAACTGGAAATCAAATCTAGGCACTTGACCAGAATTCAGCATTATGGCAAGCATGCTTCATAGCTGGTGCTGTACACTGCATATTACATCATAACAGGGTCTCATGTCTACTCCTCTTACTTTTGCTAATCTGCGGGTTATGTGTTGTTAACTTGATCCAGCCTTTGTAAGATTTTATCAATTTTTTACCTAGTAGTAAAAAAAAAAAAAAAAAAGCCTGGACTGTTGGCTCAATTAGGGGCAGACAAACATATTCTGTAATGGGTGAGATAATAAATATTTTAGGCTTGCAAGTCACAAAAATGTCTATCAAACAATTTTGTTTCTTTTTACATCCCTTTACAAATATAAAAGCCATCCTTAGATCCCTGGTCATACGTAATCAGGGTATAGGCCAGATTTGGCAAGCTGGCTATAGTTTGTCGACCTCTGGCCTGGATCCATTATTTTATTAAGGATTGCAAAATTTTGATATTTTAATTTTATTGCTTCTTCATGTTTTAGTTGGAATTCCTCTGAAAAGAATTTTTTTAAAAATTTGGTTACCCTGCTTTATAGTTTCTATAGAAAGGTAGGACGAATGCCTAATTCCTTTGGTTTTATTTAAGATATTAAAAAATGAATTGGTTCTCCAACATTCTGCAAAGGTAATTGTTAAGTATTATGGTTTGTTTTTGTTTTAATTTTTAACCATGAATCATTATGCACTTGGGGGATTTTCTTTAGAAAAGCATTTCTAATGTGCTTCAAACTATTGCTTATTGGCTAGTGGAGGCTCCTTCAAGTTGGCTCCTATTAATAGATTATTTTGACATGCTGTCAGTAGTCTTTCTAGAGCGTTATTTGAAGAGTCCGACTTACGTATACGTCCATGAAACCATCACCATAATCATGATAATGAACGTTTTCATCACTTCCAAATTTTTCTTTTGCTATTTTATAACTCATTCTTCTCTGCATCCCCATCTGCAGAGAACTGATCTGCCTTCTGTCAGTATAGATTAGCTTGCAGTTTCTAGAGTTTTACATAAATGAAACTATCCAGTACGTTCCCCTATTTTTCTGGTTTCTTTAATACAACCTAACAGCCTAGATTGTTAGATTCATTTGTATCATTGTATATATGATGACTGAGTTCTTTTTATTGCTGAGTAGCATTTCATGGTAGGGCTATACCAACATTTGTTTATTCGTTTACCTGTTGATAGATACCTGGTTTGATTGTGTTTTCTGATTTACAAATACAATTTTTTTAACATTTATTTGTGAATCTTTCTGTGGACATATGCTCCCATTTTTCTAGGGTGTGGTATGGCTGAATTGGTTGTACCATTTTATATTTACACTAGCAGTTTTTGAGCGGTCCATTTGCTTTACCTTGGCACCAACACCCAATATGTTCTGTCAATATTAGCCATTGTAGTGAGTATATAGTTATTATACCTCAGTGCAATTTTAATTTGGATTTCTTTAATGACTAATGATGTTGAACATCCTTTCTGTCTCTCTCTCTCTCCTTGTCTGTCTCTGTCTCTGTCTCTCTCAAGAGAATCTTGCTTTATAGGCCAGCTTGGTCTCAAACTGTTGGCCTCATGTGATCTCCCCACTTTGGCCTCCCAAAGTGCTAGATTACACAGCCATGGGCCATGGTGCCTGGCCTCAGGTATATTTTTAGGTTGAGTGCCTACTCAAATCTTTTGTCCTTTTTTATTGGTTTGTTTGGCATACTATTTAGTGCTAGGATTTCTTTTATATGCTAGATACAAGTTCTTTATTGGCTATGTGTTGAAAACATTTTTCTCTCATTAGGTTACCTGTGTTTGCATTTACTTAACATTGTTTTTTGAAAAAGCAACAGTTTTATATTTTGATAAAGTCCAGTTTATGATATTTTCAAGTATAACTTGTACTTTTTGTGTTTCACATCCAACCTAAGGCCACTAACCCTTTCTCCTGTTTGTCTTTTCTCCCTAGAAATTCTGTAATGTTAGCTCTTATATTTAGGTCTGTTATTTGGTTTCAGTTAATTTTTCCATGTTGTATGAAATAAGAGTTGAGGTGCTTTCTTTTAAATATGGATATGGAATTGTTCCAGCACCATTTGTTGAAAGATAATCCTTTCCCTTTGTCTTGGAACACTGTCGATACTCAACTGACTCTATATATGTGGGTCTATTTCTGAACTCTCTGTTCTGTTCCATTGTTCTGTATATCTCCCTTTACACTAGTTTCACACGGAGTTGATAAGTGTTGCTTGAAATCATAATGTAAGTCTTCTAACTTCATTCTTTTTTCAAAAAATTAGTTATAATATTATAAATTATTTACATTTCTATAGATTTTAGAATTACTTTTGCAGTTTTTACAAAAAAATGCCTCTTTTATTATTGTCATTTGGATTCCATTGAATTTATGGATCACTTGGGGGAGAATTGGCATCTTTACAGTATTGAGTTTTCTCATTCATGAACATGGTATATCTCTATTTCATTTAGGTCTTCCTTAAATTCAACAGTGTTTTGTAGTTTTTGTTAATAGGTCTTGCATATCTTTTGTCAAGTTTACTCTTAACTATTTCATATTTTGTCATGTTATTGTGAATGATATTTTAAGAAGTTTTAGTTTCCAAGTGTTTGTTACTATTATATAAAAATAAAATTTTTTTTTAATGTTAACATTGTATTCTCCCACCTTCCTAAACTTACTCATTATGTGCAGTTGTTTAATAGATTTATAAGAATTTTTTTGATAGTCATGTTGTCTGTGAATAAAGACAGTTTTACTTCATTCTTTATGACTTTTATGCCTCTAGTGATCCGCTTCTGGGACTATAGGCACTTGCCACCATACCCAGCTAACTTTTGTAATTTTAGTAGAGATGGAGTTTCACCATGTTGGCCAGCCTGGTCTCGAACTCCTGGCTTCGGGTGATCCACCTGCGTCTGCCTCCTAAAGTGTCAGGATTAAAGGCGTGAGCCAACATGCCTGACCTTTTTCTCTGATTGCTTTTAATGTTGTTATGCAGCTATTGAACAGCTTTTAGTTTACAGTTCATTTTCCTTCACTACTAAGTCAGAAGGCTTTTGCTGACTCTGCTCAATGCCCTATGTATTAGGAAATCTTTTTCCTCTGACTAGAAAGGAATTGTTTTGCCTATTTCCCTGGCCCCTGTAGTTCCTGTACATGTACAGTTTGGTCAGTATTCTAGGGAGCCTTTCTATCATTCTCCAGAGTTCTTTTAAGCTTGTTCATCTTTCATACTCTGCCCTACAAATTTTCACTGACTTAGTGTTAATGATAGCTGAACTATTTTTACATTGCTAAGGCTGCCATGCTTTCTTGGGGTTCCCCATCTATATGTTGAGATCTGGAAACTCTTTAGGCACCATGTTGGAGAATCTGTGAGCTCATCTTGTCTGTTTTCCTCCTCTCAGTTATCACTGTTTTGCACTGCCATTTGTCTAATATCTGAACATGTTTTTCATATGTTTTGTCACATTTTAAAATTCCTTAATGTAGGAGGGTAAATCCAGTCCCTGTCACTTTATTTTGGCCAGAAGCAAAAGTCTTCTGCCAGTTGCATTTAGCATTTTTGCATTGGTATTCTTGAGAACGGTTGCAGGCTTTTAAAAAATTTTTTGTCAGATTTCAGAATTATTACCATGTTTGTTTCCTAAGAAAAGTATCAGATACTTTGTTTCTCTGTTTTTAGTAGTTTATATAGTACTTGTATGATCTAGTCTTTAAGGGTTGAGTAGAAGAAGTGTTTTAGGTTCTCTGTTTCTCCTGTGCTAATTGAACTTCTTAGACTTTTCTGGGTTCAGTTTTGGTAAATTGTATTTTTCTACAAAATTATCCAGTTTAACTGGGTTTTCAAAATCACTTACAGAAGTTTGTATAATCTCTTTTTCTCCTTTTTTTTTAAATAAACTTTCTCTTTTTTGATGGTTATCTGTTTTTTGCCCTTTCTAATTTTTCATGTTTTTTTCTTTATGCTTTGCTTCCTGATTAGTTTAACTGACTACACTTAAAAAAAAATTAGTCATCTTTATTGGATTTTGTTCTGATTATGAAAGTAAACATGTTCATTAAAAAAAGGTTTAGAAAATTTGAAAAAAGCACAAATAGTTGGATAAAAATCAGCTAGTCTACCACCCAGAGATAACCACTGTTAACAGTTTGGTAACTTCTGGTATGTTGGTATGCATATAATTGCATGTTAATTTTAACACAACTGAGATCAGTTTTCTGTGCACATTCTTGTATTGATTTCCTGGGGCTGTCATAATAAAATATCACAACCTGGGTGGTTTAAAATAACAGAAATTTATTCTCTGGCAGTTCCAAAGACCAGAAACCCGAAATCAAGGTGTAGGCAGTACCATGTTCTCTCCAGAGCTATAGGAGAGAATCCTTTCTTGCTGCTTCTAGCTTCTGCTCATTGCTAGCAATCCTTGGTGATCCTTGGCTTTGGCAGCATGACTCCATTCTCTGTGTCCATACTGATATCTGGACACATGGCCTTAATATGTCCCCCCCCCCGCCTTTTTTTTTTAAGGACAACAGTCATTGGATTAGGGTCTCACCCTGTTCTCATCTGACTTCATCTTAACTTAATTATATCTACAAAGACCCTGTTTTCAAATAAAGTCACATTCACAGATTCCTGGCAGATGTGAATTCTGCAGGGATACTAGTCAACCCAATACAGCATTCTATTGTTACTTTCCTTTCTGTTAATGTCAAAGCTTTCTTTGTACTTTCATTTCTATCAGTGAATTTTAGTGTCTGCTGCTAGGCAAAATTGGTACTAGAGTGTATCAGCATTGCAATGTGCTAGCATTTAGTTATACCTACAGTTTGCCCATAAACACAGATTTCCATCATGACCTGACAGTGCTTCATCATAGAAAAGCAAATCAGAGGTCATTAAATTTTCTTAGAGCTTATATCCTGGTTAATTTTAGAAAATGAGAATGCTCTTTGTTACAATGTTCTTGAAAATAATTTAATTGTATTATATCTCTAAGTGAATAGAATATGTTTTCAGACCCAAATTGTGAATCATAAAGAACTGAATAATTAATCTAATTGGATCAGAAAACTAAGAAAAAAAAAATAGTGGCATGAGTGTTTTTGTTTGGTGTGGTATATAACAAGACATTCCTGGTGCTCATCCTGGTCCTTATATAAGCTAGAACATATCTGGTCATTTTTCTCATTTGTTGAACAAATGTTTACCACCTCCAGTTTTATTTTTGTTATCTCAAGAGTCAGTAGCTATTCTCTATAATAATGGTGAATTAAGTATTATTGTGGCTGTGTTTAATTTAACACTTAGATTAGTTTCAGATTTTCACTAATCTAAACAGAGGATTGTGGAGGGCAGGGTTTGGAAGAACACCCAAAATTCTTTGAGGACATTGTGTGTTATGCACTGCGCTATGTTGCATATGCTATTTTTCTTTAACTCCTGTAATGCTATGAAAGGTAGGCATTAAAACCATGTTAAATACTAGAAAAATGAAAACAAAATCATATTACTAGTTATTGGTATAGTTGGAAGTAGAGCTCAGGCCTTAATTTCCTGAGATTTTTGCTTGTAGCACTAGTTCTTTTATTAATATACGTACCTGCAGGCTCCAGTGTAAAAAATAGGAAATATGTATGAACATCTTCTATGAAGTTTTCTATATGGCAGCCCATTTAAAAAAATTGAAGTGGAATTTTGCTTATTTTCTTTTGTTTACATTTGTTTACATTATTGTATTCATTTGTTTACATTATTAATACACTGTCTCTTCGTAGTAAATTACAGGCCAATAAAAGTTCTTTATTTGTTAGAAGGTCAGAGAAAGTAGATTTTATGTTTTTTTCTAATTAAATAATTTTATTGGGAAAAAAGAAACACTTTGAACATGAAAGCATAAAGACTATTATTCAGTCAGTTTAGTAAATCATGTGCCATGAACACAATGTGCGGGGTGGCCCTGGCAGACTGTTCACAACCTGCAGGAAGATGTCATGTTTTTATGCTACTCATTTTTTTATGTTATTGCTTTAAATGACATGGAGAATTTTAGGTGTTTAAAAAACTATCTGAAAAGAGTTGACTAATTATTGTTGTTTGAAGCAATAGTGATATGGTGTCTTCTACCTCCGGCAAGCATACAAACACCATTTGTCTAAATAGCTCTGTGTGATCCAAGATATACTATTATTTACTTAGAGTTTTTATGGTTTACATCAGTAAGGAACTTTTATCATAGGGTGTTTGTGAAAAAAGAACTGCCTGATCTCAAGGAATGCTTTATGATAATAATGACAGGCTGTATTAGCATGATTGTAGCCTGAAGCCTCCCATTCCTGAAGAAGGGGCCACTACTATTTCTTGAGCCTTTTCCTTCCACTCTGACCCCCATCAGTCCTCTTTACCAAGTACTCATTTACATTATAGTTCATAGTGTGGTGTCAGCTGTTCCCAAAGGTGCTCTCCTCAAGCGAGTGAATCATTTCTAGGATAATGGCTTGTTTCAGAACTTACACAATGTCTTTTTTGGTCTTGGGAGATCAAATGACAAACTATCACAATCAAGGGCTAGATTATGGTTTTTTGATAACATGTCTCAAACTAGGGTTAGCAGTTTCTTC
The DNA here is from genome assembly GCF_000001405.40 of Homo sapiens. Lineage (NCBI taxonomy): Eukaryota > Metazoa > Chordata > Mammalia > Primates > Hominidae > Homo > Homo sapiens. The sequence goes on from NC_000006.12 coordinate 20,818,240, forward strand.
ACTTGAGGTATATTTCTGGATTGAATTCTATAAACTGTTCCACAGTAGTAATGTCACGTGGCTCACATTTTTGCTTTTGTTACTCACATACTATACAGCAATAAACTCAAATTATTATGCATTATCAGATTGTATTATAAATAGCAATCCAGCATCAATAATTATCTCTTTTGAGTGTTTTGTCTTGAAGAAAAGTGCTAAGATCCTTCTTAGTAAAATCAAGCTAACATAACTTTTCTGTCTCCTATAATTGAAATCAATTACTTCAAAAATAAATATAGTTCTATATTATGACCTAAAAAATATAGTTCTATATTATGACCATTGAAAATAATGAAGTGTGGTTATATAGTTGCCCAGTTGGGACATAACCTTTACAAGGCATCATTCATAATGAAAGAGTAGGTTTTGTTAGGACAGATACATTAATCTTAAGTAAACATTTAAGAATTTATAAAATTATTATAAATATATTTGTATAACTATATAGTTATATACTTAATAATTATATATATACACACACTAATATGTATATATTTAAAGTGCCTCTGTTGTCATGGAGTCACAGTGAGATAATGTAATACCCTGGGGAGTAGTAGAGAGGTTCATTGTTCACCCTCTTATGGTACCTTTTGATTATTGCATTATGTTTAGAATTTAGGTTGTACAAAATGTTTTAAAAAGCTCTGTGTGTTATTAACTGTTATAGGAGTGTATTTCTTTAGTTCATGGATAATACAAGTGCTTGGTTGATTTACACTTTAAAATAAAACAATCATTTTGTTGAACTAGAGTTATTTTGTTTCACAAGGTACTCACTTGATCTGGTTGTAAAGAACAACTTCTGGGAGTACCATTTTCACATGGTATTTTTGGTTTTTTTCCCCTTCCACATAGTTAGCATTACACAATTGCAAAACTTTGATTTAATGTCTGCTGCTTTATTTTCACTATAAATAAGCTTAAATGCTTATTTATAGTATTTTTTTTTTGACCTACATTAATGGATAGTTTTGGCCAAGGTGACAGTCTTCTGGGATGTCCTAATAATTTTTAGCTGAGTTTTACGCAACCATCTCTCTTACTTTGATAGGCAAAATAATTAGAGTGTATTTTTTGAGAATCTCTGCTAAGGGTGCCTTAAAGATTCTTCTAACTCCAGGCCTCTATGAATATGATGATTTTCCATTTTTAAAAGATGTGGCAGTATATTCTTATTGGCAAAATGTGTTTTTGCTTGTATTCATTTAGAGCTCTGTCTCCTGTTTTTCTGATGATCAAATGGATTTCTGAACTTTACGTCACACCTTTAGTGACAGAATAAAATTAACCAACTAGATGTTATCCTAAGATGACCAAGTATCTAGGCATGAAGTGTTCTGAAAATCATTTCACACATTTATCTTGTGCTATATCGAACGCTTTGGTCATTAAACAAATGGGGTGCTTTTCTATACTTCGAAATAAATGTAAAGTGTGAAAATATTTTCAAATGTGTTTGAGTTCCTTTGTATTTTACTTTACAAATGGATTTTTATTATAGAGATCAGAAGATAGCAGTAAATACAGTGTCAAAAATTTTTGTTAAATATTTATTTTTATTTATTATTTTTATTAAATATTTAAGAAATACATTGTGGGCCACACCCTCAGCTAGAAGCTTCACAGAGCAGTGCCAACCGCTTTCAGTGATGCCTCGCACAGATATGGAGGCTGCGTAGTAACCGCAGCAGCACTACGTAGAAGAGGCTTTCTCTGTCTAGAACTCCTATAGGCTTAGGAAACCACTTTGCATGGCTGAAGTCTCGTGTGTAACCTACCAAGGGGGCCAGTGGATTCCCTCCAAGTTCTTGCTTCTTCTTGGTCCTCCCCAGAATTCTCTAAAGTAAGTGGAGGGTCATGGGCCTCAAAGTATGTAGGCTGCATTGTCACCCACAGTTCCTCCCACACAAGTTGCTAGCGGAAGAGGGTGTAGGCTTCTAACTCTAATCAGAGTCACCTGTGGTTATGTCCATACATTCAGTCTGGTTGGAGTCAACTTTTCATGCCTGGAAGTCATTCTGCTCTAATGATAGTAAACACTTAATGAACACCTATACTGTTTGAGGCCTTTTCTGAGTAATTTACAGACATTAGCTTGTTTCTTCTTCCCACCCACCCTGTGAGGTTAAGGACTTATATTATTCTGAATTTAAAGGTAAGGCAAATAACTATTAAGTAATTTATTTGCTTAAGGTCAAAAAGCTAGTAAAATACCAGGTTGGAATTCTTATCCACCAGGCTAACTTGCTTTTGATGCGATTTACCCTGTCCATGTGCATAGTGAATGACTTCTCTATTTCCAGTTCCATGAGGATTTGCCCTAAGAGATTGTTGATGAGGAGCGTTGGCCCCAGTGTCCTATATTCTTAAGTTCAAGTCCTGGTTCGGCTACTCTTTTGCTGTGTGACCTTGAGAAAGCCTTGATTCCTCTTTTATAAGGTAGTAGTACTTTCTTTCATATATTCAAAAATGTTTATTGAGGGCCTACTGTGTACCAGGCACTGTTTGAGGTGTTAGGGATATTGTGGTAGGGATAAAGTTCCTGTCTTCATGGAGTTTCAATTCTAGTGGTGGAGACAGACAGGTAAACAGCAGACTAGATTAAAATGTCAGATAGTGAACAGTGTAATGAGGAACAATAAAGCAGGAGATGTAGAGCTGTTTTGGACAGAGAACTTTTAGGGGTGGCCTTCGAGATAGTGATGTTTGGTCTGAAATATGCAGGAAGTGAGGGAGAGAGCCAGGAGGATGCCTAGAGAAGAGGGTCTCAGCGAAGCAAAAGGCCTTGGGGTGGAAAAGCAAAGAAGCCACTATGAGCAGAGTGTTTGGAGGGAGAGCGGTAGGAAATGAGACTGGGAGGCAATCAGGAACCAGAGCAGACTTTGCATTTTATTCATCATGCAATGGGAGTTGGCATGAGCAGGGGATTGGCATGACCTGATGGAGTTTTCAGTCTTGTGTGGCTGCTGTAGGGACGATATCCTGTCGTGAAGTCCGAATGGAAGAAGAGAGAATGGGTTGCTCCCGTGATAGTCTAGATGAGACATGGTGGAAACAGCATCCTAGGGTAAGCCCCTCCTCTGGAGGCTTGTAGTCCAGAACACTCTTCTGCCAGCTGTCCTGGGCCCAATCTGATCACATTATTTAACTTTACCACTCCCTTCCTTCCCTGGCATCCCAAAGCCTGGTTACTCTTCTGTATTTCTTTCCTCCATAGCACTTATTGCTCTCTAATGTGTGGTATCATTTGCTTATATATTAGGTTTATTTATGACTTTCATCGCTTACCAGAGCTTAAGCTGCTCAAGGGCAGGGATTTTTCTATTTTGCTCTGTAATGTGTCCCAGATGCTTTGGAACAGAGCCTGGCATAGAGTGTGTGCTTGGCAGGTATTTGCTGAATGTATGGCTTAAGTGCTGATGGAGGAGGTGAGAGGAGATGTAATTTGAAGACAAAGCCAACAGGATTTTCTTCTGGATGTTCTTGTCCATTTCTGGAAGTTATTCTAGTAGACTGGAGGTAATAAACTTAACTTGGTACCTGACATAAAATACAACCTCAATAAACCATTAATATATCATTATAAGGCCAATGTGCAGTAAAGGGCTACATTTTACTCTTTCATGGGAAAATAAATTAATAGAAGAAAGTATAGATTAGAGGTCAGCAAACTCTGGCCCATGGGCCAAAATAGCCCATTGCCTGCTTTTGTAAATAGAGTTTAATTGCAACAGAACCATGCTCGTATGTTTACATATTGTGTATGGCTACTTTTGCTCTATGACAACAGAGTTAGGTAGTTGTAACAGAGACCTATGGGTCCTCAAAACCTGAAATATTTACTGTCTGGCTCTTTCCAGGAAAAATATGCCAGCCCCTGATATAGAGAGCATTATACTGAGTATATGGTATTATATATTTTGCAGTATAGATCATAATGCCATTTGACAAGTTGTTATAATGAAGTAATGTTGATGAAAGCAAATATTGAACAACAGGAAAGTAGTTGGTTATGAATTAATATAGACTTATCTTCACCAAATCAGTTTATTTATAAAATATCAAAAGACAGAATCTGAAAGTCCTACAATTAATCAAGTTGAAGTATCACTGAATATTTTAGGTCATCATTCACTCCCATACTCGATAATCAGAACATGCCACAACATAAGTCCAGACCTCGCGATACTTCTCGGATAACAGTTCTTGAATCACAGCACCAGGCCAGAGTGGCAAACAGCATCGTTTTCTTTGGCTCAGCGATAGGGTTAGGCTTTGTGTCCTCACCCAAATCTCATCTTGAATTGTAATTCCTGTAATCCGCATAATCCCCATGTGTCACGGGAGAGTCCAGGTGGAGGTAAATGAATTATGAGGATGGTTTCCCCAATGTTGTTCTCATGATAGTGAGTGAGTTCTCACGAGATCTGATGGTTTTATACAGAGCTCTTTCCCCCTTCACTCAGCCCTTCTCCTTCCTGCTGCCTTCTGAAGAAAGTGCCTTGCTTTCCCTTCACCTTCCACCATGATTTAAGTTTCCAAGCCTCCCCAGCCATGCTGAATTGTGAGTCAAGTAAACCTCTTTACTTTATAAATTACCCAGTCTCTGGCAGTTCTTTATAGCCATGTGAAAATGTACAAATACACTCAGTGTGTTTAAAATTTTTCTGTGAATCTTGGATAAATTAAATACAAACTTCTCAGCCTGGTGTTCACTTGCCTTTCTAACCAGACTCTGTCTTAATAACTCCTACTCTCTAATAAGCACACGTACACATTCTCGTTTTCTCTCTCTCTCTGTCTCTCTCACATACATATATACGACAGTTGATGTCCGTCCCTTTCTGAAGAGAGATGTTGTTTCTTTCCCTACCCTTGGTATCCATTTGTGAAATTCCACTTTCTTACTCAAGGCCTGTCTAAAATGCTGTCTCCTTTTTGAAGGCTTTTCTGGTTCCAGTTATGGTTGTTACCTTCCTTGATTTGGCCATTCATATGGTCCTTGTCATGTTTCCTTACAGTTACCTGTGCATTTGTATTATTCTACCCTATTAGATTCTAACGGATGACATAGTGTTTTGCATAGAATGCGTCTTCAGTAAGTATAGAATTTAATTGAATTGATACAAATGTTTGTGTGTGATGCATTTTAATATTTGCTAATCTAAATAATAAAAAGTAAAATGCTGATAACTCATAATTTAGAAAACTGCCTTTCCTGTTTTGAAAAAAAGAGTGCAGCTTGCTGCCAGTGCTCATTTAATTTTACATAAACATGCTCTGTGAGGCTGAAGCAAATCTGACTGATTTTCAGTGTGAAAATAAAACATAAAAAATGTTCCTGGAGTTACTTCTAAACAGAATTAACATCAGAACTGTCTGAATTATCAGAATCGTCTATTTCAGAAAAATTGGATTCATCAAATAACTCTTCGGTGAACAATTATTTGAGAACAATGTTACCATCATACAAACGAATGCTGCGTTTTCTAGGATTTGACATTTTCAGCGATTGAGAATTACTACATTTTGTAAATGGAAATACCACTACTAAAAACAGAATGCCATAAATAGAATGATGTCTTTTGCTTCCAAAGTCGAGATACTAGAGTGATGTGAAAATAATAATAAAAGCAAGATACTTCGTGGCAAAGTTATCTCGGGGTGAATGCTCCAGTCACAACCACCACTGGTGGATGTTCTTGGGGCAAATGGGACAAAGGTTAAGGTATTTTTATGGTTGGCCAGGATGGACTGTTATTATTATGAATTTTGGGATTCCCTTAAAGTCTACTTTCAAGTGGATTCAAGCATGGATAGAACAACCAAAGGTGTTGTGTCTTGCTACCGCTGCTTCTACTCTTACTACTGCTTTAGGCTGTCTAGTCTGTAGTGCAGTTAAAAGGATATGAAGCCTCTTGAACCTCTGGAGAGGACCATGTTCTTTTGAGCCACAGGTAATCATATAAGTAGACTGGCTTGACAAGTCTAAAGGCCCTGAATTAGTTATCTATTGCTGTATAACTGCGAACGTTGCTGCTTAAAACAGCACACATTTATTATCTCACAGCATCTGTGAGTCAATAGCTCGGGCATAATTTAGGGTCCTCTGCCAGGCTGCAGTCTAGGTGTCTGCAAGAACTAGAGTCTTACCTGAAGGCTTGACTGGGGAAGGAGATTCTTCCAAGCTCACATGGTTGTTGGGAGCATTTAGTTCTTTACAGGCTATTGGATTATGGGCCTCAGTCTCTTGTTGGCTGTCAATCAGAGGCCACCCTTAGTTTCTTGCCATGTGGCCTGCTCCATAGGGCAGCCTACAACATGGCAGCTTCTTCAAAGCCAGCAAAAGAGAGAGTTTTCTAGCTAGATGGATGTTATAATGTTATATAATGTAATGATCCAAGTGACATCTGTCACTTTTACCATACTTAACTGGTTAGAAGCAAGTTACAGATCCTGCCTACACGTAGGGGGAAAGGATTCCGCAAGGGCGTAATTCCAGGAGTCAGGATTCTGGAGGCCATATTCCAGTCTGTTGTTAAGAGGCTCATATAACATTTTTATTAGAGCTATCTGTATAGAAGTGCTATGATTTTCTTATTTGTATTTTAAAAATTCTTGACTGTTAAAATGGCATGTTTGTGATAATTAGCTAATATATCTTGCTTCTTTTTCCTCTTATAGCAGATAAGTTGTAGTTAATTGGTAGTTCATGTTAAAGTTTTATTTATATTTCTGCTTTTTCCTACCATTTCTTCTCATGAGTAGGCTGGAGAGAGCATGTGCCAAATCCCGACTCCTTGGTATTATCTGAAATGATTGATTAGTTCTGCCATCTTTAACTCTTCCCTTACATTCCAGGTAGCTCCTCTTCTGGTTCTTCCTTTTTCCTTTTTCTTTGTTCCTTTCCATTCTTCCCCTTTGGATCATTTTCTATTTCACTCTGCAGTTTAATGACTTTTATATTCCCCATATATATTTTATATGCTCTATAATTGTGTGTTGAAAGTATGGTTTAAATGACATAATAATTTTGAATTTGCCTTAGTAACCTGAAGTTTTTACAGTGGGTTCTGTTGAGACTGCAGGGTTCTTAGGGGTTAGAAGTGAGAAGATAGGCAGATAAGCTATAAATCAGTTCTGCTCAGTTCTGCTCAGAATGTGGACTGTGCTGGCTTGTGAAAGATTATTACGAGTCAAAGATAAGATATAGACAGAAATAGAAGGTAAGTGTTTAGAAACTTTTGTAGGGTTTGGTGGGGTTTTTTGTACTTTATTTGTTAAGTATTAATGATAACATTATGTCACACACTGTGCTTTTACAACAGCTCTCATGAACTTTTAAAGTATGGTTTGATTCTTCCTGATAGTACTTGTGGCATCGAAGCATACCCTGAATGACAGGCTGTATTTACTGTAAATACTTTAAAAAATTGTTGCTAACAATATGAGTGTAATTAATGAATTTTAAATGGTCCCAGCTTATTGATATTAACCCGTTGATTATTTGTTGTAACTTAGTAAATTATTGCCAGATTCTAAATATGGGTATGCTACTTAGAGAGGTCCCCAAGACCCCTGTAGTCTTATTAAGGCATTTCTTTGTTGGGTTTGTATCTCCTCTCCATTCTATTTCTTATTCTGTCATTTTGGGGGGATTACTTTATTACATTACATATTTGGGAGATTAGCTACTTTTTCTTTACTCACAAATATGACCTGAATTTGGTCCCATCAGGGTTTCTGCTACTTGTAATTATATCATTTCCTTTTCAAACAGAACCTTGCTTAAATAGATGTAGCAATCTTTAGTCCAAGTACAGCTTTTCTCCTTTGTAGGGGAAACTGGAGTTTGGAGGAACAGTTTAAGCAGAAGCCACTTTTCCACTCTCATGGGCTCAACCTAGGTGTCTTCACAAGAGAATGGTTGGCTTCACTGGGTTCATGTTAATACAGGGAGGAGGGGAGCCCACTTAAAAATACAGTCAGTGTCACAAAAATCTTTTTGGTTTTTTCCTCCCTAAATATAGTATTTCTTTTTGTAATAGTTTTATCCTCTGATTTTTAAAGCATCTTTTTAGTTTTTCTTGCTTGCTTTTCTTGTGAAAGTTGCTATTTTCAGGTGTTTTGAATTGTTTTGGAAGTTATAAATGGAATTGTGTACTTCAGAGAAGGTCAAGTTTAGAACTCATCATGTGTCATGTGCCTATCTCCCTTCTTTATTTTTAAATGGCACACGAGTGTCTGACTCGCACATGGTATTTCTTGCTTTTTAGACTGGTGCCAGACTCAGTGTCTTTTGTTTTTAATAGATAAACGTCTGGTGGTTTGTGTTTTGCTGCGAGATGCATGTGAGTCATACTAATCACGAACTCCGTCCTTCCTCCAACCTCTGATTATTTTTGGACAATTTACCTATACCTCAACATCTTGAAGCTTATATGTTGAAAATCTCAACTGTATATCTGTTTATAAGTATTCTGATTAATCACCTGCACTTTTCATTTCCTTATAGATTTATGTATTTACTTTTTTGGTGAGCAAACTACCAGTCTTGTTGGCTTTGTTTTTATACTTGTATATTGTTCACAAAATTAGCAAAAGACTTAAGATAATTGGCCATTAATCTTTGTGACTTACTTTCTTCATAGTCATGGACATTACCAAAAATCTTAATTTCATTAGTATATCTAATTCTGTGAATTACACTCTTCTAGCACAGTGGCTCATAGTTAAAAACAAACAAAACCAACAATACTATGATCAAAAAGACAACTGATATATTTTATGTTATTATTAAAGAGCTTGTTCAGCATTATCAAAATCGTCTTTATTTCCCCAATATGTTATGACAGGTGGTATGTGTAATGGTTAAGAGCATAGATGTTGGAGCCAGACCGTCTGGATTCTACCACTTAACCAGCTGTGTGATGTTTTTGATATTTGGCAAATCACTTTACCTTTCCATTCCTTGGCTTCATCTCTGTAAAATGAGGAATAGTAGTACCTACCACATGGGGCAGTTTTCAGTATTAGCTAAATATATGTAAAGTGCTTGTAACAGTACCTGGCGCTGCCCTATAAATGCTATGTATGTTCTTAGCTGCCATTGTTTATCTTTGTGATGGTCTCTATTTGTGTTACAATTTTTTTAACAATAGCAAAGAAACCTTTACTTATGAGATATTAAAAGTATGTACTAAGATTTAAGTTTTTTAGGCTAAAAATTTCTAGTAAAGCTAGTTTCTATAACTCTTAAGAGATGAACAATTGAAGCTAAACACTTTTCATTATCAAGGGCTATTACAAAGTGATGTTTTAGACATAAAAAAAAAGGTCTATGGAGTTGCATGGAAGACTAAGTTATGTGGTTCTGCCTTTTTTAGCATTCTGGCCTTCTGTGTTCGTTTAACATTTGCAAAGTTCCAAATTGAAGACATAAAGATAGGTGATTTGTCAATGAGGTAGTATAAAGTCCTACATGTCTTATATCTAGAACTGAGGTTTTCATTGAATTACCACTTACATTTTCTTAAGACTGTCGATATACTTCTATGTTATTGTTTTAGTTTTTTTTTTAATTGGGAACATTTCCTTGAACATTCACTTAGAGTATCAAAAGAAGTTTTTGTTTGTGGTTGGAAAAAATGTCTTTAACCTGCCAACAGAATTTAAAATTGCATAAGAAAATGGGTGTTGATGCTGAGAAATGGTGTGTAGGCAGCAGATCTCTTGTTCTGTCTGAAAACAGTGATGAAATACAAACAACAAATGTGGAATTACTGTTGCTCTATTTTAGTGTGGGAAAGATAACTTCAGAGTAGGGAGAACAATTTCTGCTGTTTTAATAAACTTTTATTATATTTAAGCATGGGATTTAGTTGGCAATCATTATAGGGATAAAACAAAGCTAATTTCTATAAATAGTACTGTAATGCCTGTTTCATTATTATTATTATTATTTTGAGACAGAGTCTTGCTCTGTCACCCAGGCTGGTGTCCAGTGGCACAATCTCGGCTCATTGCAACCTCCACCTCCTGGGATCAATCAATTCTTGTGCCTCAGCCTCCCAAGTAGCTTGGATTGCAGACATGCACCACCGTGACTGGCTAATTTTTGTATTTTTAGTAGATACAGGGTTTTGCCATGTTGGCCAGGCTGCTCTCGAACTCCTCACCTCAAGTGATCCACCTGCCTCAGCCTCCCAAAGTGCTGGGATTACAAACATGAGCCACTGTGCTTGGCTGTGTTTCATTATATTTATGTTGAAATTTAATAGGTATTTATAGCTTGGGTTTCCTTGATTATCTTTAGGTAATTGGTGAACTGTTGGAATTGTCCATAGAATTATATTTTCCTCTTGAAACTTTTATGATAGATTAGCATTAACCAGTCTGTCGTTCTTGTGGTAAACTAAACATTACGTAAAGTTGACCTTTTTAACTATTTTTAAGTGGATAGTTAAGTGGCATTAAGTACATTCGTGTTGTTGTACAAACATCACCACTATCCACCTCCAGAACTTTTCCCTCTTCCCAACCTAAAACTCTGTACTCATTAAACAGTAACTCCCCATTCCCTGCAGCCCCACCATTCTACTCTCTGTCTCTATGAACTTGACTACCCTAGGTACCTCATATAAGTAGAATCGTATAGTGTTTGTCATTTTGTGACTGGCTTTTTTCAGCTCGCATAATGTTCTCAAGATTTATCCATTGTGTAACATGTCACATTTCATTTTTTAAGGCTGAATAAGATTCCATTGTACATATATAGTAGTTTGTTTATGCATACATCTGTTGATTGACATTTGGTTTGCTTCCACATTTTGGCTATTGAGAATAATGTTTGCTGTGATCATTACTATACAAATATCTGTTTAAGTCTCTGGTTTTAGTTCTTTTGTGAATTTCACTAGAAATTGAGGGATTTAACCAGAGATGGCTAGATCATATGGTAATTTAATTTTTATTTTGTTTTAGTAGCTGCCACACTGTTTTCCTCAGCAGCTACACACCATTTTACATTCCCACTGTCTGTGGAATTTTGTGTTGTTTATATTTTTCTTGAGAATCAGTCGTTAGATTTCATTAAACCTCAGAGTGAACTACTGTTCTAGTATTTAGTTCCTAACAGATTCATTTCGATTCCTATATACTCAATACAACAAGTATTACAGATTCGTTATATTAGGCCTATTTACTTGCTTCCTCATATCACGAAAACTTTCTTGGGTAGATGCAATGCAAGGCATTACCCTTCACCTTAGTCATATGGGTTAAACAAAATAGGTAACTCCGGAATTAGGCAAAATCTTGTGTGCAGGAATCTTGAAAAACTGTATTATTTTTCAAGCTCTCCAAAAGATTGAGTTGACAAAAGAAAAAGTAGCATCAAATGTTTTATTTTAGGTCCTTCTGTACTGCAAGAGCAGAAGTAGACCAATGTTAATAATTTTGATTTCTCAGATTCACTGAAGAGATGTGGGTCTACAAACACTTTAGGTACTTGGATCAACTATTCTCAACATGAATATGATACTGAATTCATTTATGCAAATGATTTTTACAGTAGGTTTGCTGTTATTTACTTTTATTATTATTATTTTTTGAGACGGAGTCTCACTTGCAGTGGCACAATTTCAGCTCACTGTAACCTCCGCCTCCTGGGTTCAGGCTATTCTTGTGCCTCAGCCTCCTGAGTAGCTGGATTACAGGCATGTGCCAGAACAGCTGGCTAACTTTTGTATTTTTAGTAGAGACGGGGTTTCACCATGTTGCCCAGGCTGGTCTTGAACTCCTGGCCTCAAGTAATCCACCTGCCTCGGCCTCCCAAAGTGCTGGGATTACAGGTGTGAGCCACCATGCCTGGCCTGTTATTTACTTTAACATGGGTTATTTTCTACCAGTTACATGATCATAGCTGAGCCTTTTGTGAACCTAAACTTTAGAATAACCATCAAAACAAAATAAATGATAGTAGACATATGACTCTCTTTTCCCTTTCTTCAAACCAATAAATTAACTAAATTAAAAACAGAAATGCAACAATATGTTTTGCCCTATATCTTTATAGCACTTTACAATGATTGTATGAAGTTGAGAACAGTAACATGAGATACTATTCAAGATGATTCACCGTACTCTGTTTCCTCAGGTAAAGAATTTGTATGATATGTTTCAGAAAGATATTTTTTAATAAATAAATTTTAGAATTACATATTTTGGGACCAAATTTAAAAATATAATACAAACTAGTGGTAACATCTAACATCTAAAGTAATAAGACCACAGTAAATAAAGTTATCTCCCCCAATAGCATGGGTAATGTTCTACCACTGCACCCTGCAGGTCCTCCTTCCCTTTTCTCTACCCCTTCTCCCCTCCCCTGTGCCCCTACACCTCTCCTTCCCTCCTTCTCTCCTCTCCTATTAAGAATTACTGCTATTCACAGGACTGGGGCATATCTCAGTGTTGTCTTTGGCAAGGAAAAGTAGTTGAGAACTATTGGTGTGGAAGTATTAAACCGCATTTCAGAAAATGTGGGTTTTGCTTCTTCAAACTAATTAGCTGAATCACTTGGTCTGCATTTCTTACATGTAAAATGAAAAGGTTGAACTAGACAAATATATGTTTTTAGATTTTTTTTTTTCCAACTTTGATTTTTTTTTTCTTATGATTCTTGAGTCTTAGCAAAACCCAGAATTTGGAAGCCTAACAGATTGTCTGCATAATCTATTTTATATAGTCTCTATATTACGTCCACCCTATAATATTAGGTTGGTGTACAAGTAATTGCGGTTTCATACCATGAATTTTAAATCATTATAACTAGGCTCAAACACACCTTTATTAATCAAAATAGGAACCATTACAATCAATACATTTTTGCCAACGAGAAGTGTGTTTATTCCAGTAGCATAAAAATCTGTGCTTCAGGGTGTGATGAACTCTTGGAAAACATTTTCTGCATCCTGCTGGTGGTGGAAGCAATTTCACTGCAAACAGTCGTCAAGATACTTAAAGAAGTGGCAGTTGGTTGGCAAGAGGTCGGGTGAATATGGCGGAGGAGGCAAAACTTCATAGCCCAATTCATTCAACTTTTGAAGCGTTGGTTGTGCGATGTGCGGACGAGTGTTGTTGTGGAGAAGAATTGGGCCCTTTCTGCTGACCAGTGCCAGCTGCAGGCCTTGCAGTTTTCAGTGCATCTCATTGATTTGCTGAGCAGACTTCTCAGATGTAGTGGTTTCACCAGGATTCAGAAAGCTGTAGTGGATCAGACCAGCAGCAGACCACCAGACAGTGACCATGACCTTTTTTTGGTGCAAGTTTGGCTTTGGGAAGTGCTTTGCAGCTTCTCCTCAGTCCAACCACTGAGCTGCTCCTCATCAGTTGTTGTATACAATCCACTTTTTATCGCACATCACAATCTGATCAAGAAATGGTTTGTTGTTGTTGCATAGAATAAGAGAAGATGACATTTCAAACAATTTTTTTGATTTCCGGTCAGCTCATGAGGCACCCACTTATCGAGCTTTTTCACCTTTCCAATTTGCTTCAAATGCTGAATGAACGTAGAATGGTCGACGTTGAGTTCTTCGGCATCTTCTCATGTAGTTGTAAAAGGATCAGCTTCAATGATTGCTCTCAATCGGTCATTGTCAACTTCTGATCGCCGGCCAGTACGCTTCTCATCTTCAAGGCTCTCCTCTCCTTTGCAAAACTTATTGAACCACCGCTGCGCTGTCTGTTCATTAGCAGTTCCTGGGCCAAATGTGTTGTTGATGTTCTGAGTTGTCTCCGCTGCTTTAAGACCCATTTTGAACTCAAATAAGAAGATTTCTCAAATTTACTTTATGTCTAACATCATTTCCATTGTCTAAGATAAACATAAACAGCAAGTAATAAGTCATTAGCAAAAAAATATAAGGTGAGAAATGCCCATTAAAATGATTTATAACATAACCATATTTATGTAAGAATGTATTCCAATATCAAATGGCAAATTCCAACAATGCAAAAATTGGAATTCCTTTTTCACTTTTCTAATTTTAAGGCAGGGACTATCTATTTATCTTGTAAATCTCAAATGATCAAATGAAAAGCATTTTGCAAAGTTGACACCTAGAAAGATTGCAAATTCAAAGCAATTTGTTAGCCTGGTTAACATAGTGAGACCCTGTCTCTAATTAAAAAAAAAAAAAAACAAAACACGTGAAAATAAATTAGCCAGGTTTGGTGGTGCAAGCCTGTATTCCCAGATTCTTGGGAGACTGAGGCAAGAGGTTAGCTTGAGCCCAAGAGTTCGAGGGAGCACTGAGCTGTGATCACGCCACTGCATTCCAGCCTGGGTGACAGACTAAGACCCTGTCTCTAAAAAAAGGAAATTGTTCAGATTAAGGAGGATATAAAATTATTTTGGCAAACACCATTTACTTGGTTCTTTGAAGTTCTTATTGCCTTTAATAGGTACAGTTTTTATTTAGATGTATAAATTTCAATGGCATATCATAAATAACTTAATGATAATGACATATAATGACATAGTTGAAGGTAAGAAGTATACCTTAATCCAGTGGCTTTACCACATTTTCCTGTAATTTTCTTGGCTATATCTCCTCTGACTTTTAGTCTGAGGATTAAATGGTCCTGAGTGCAATTTTGTCTCAATCTCTAAAAGAAAAGGTCACTATTTTAAAAGCAAAGCAGTATTTTCCCCAGAATTCCCAGCACATTTCATTGATACGAATTTTATCTCAGGCACATTCCTGAATGAATCCCAGTTTCCACGAAAATGCTACATTCTGATTGGCTTAGGTCTGAGTTCCTGATGTATTTATTGGAATACATTTATTGAAGCATTTATTGGAGAATGAAAAGGTATTTCCCTTTGATTAGCCACGCTCTATTCTAGAACTGGTTCCAGCGTTAGTTTTTTGTGAGCTTTACTGACTGCGTGAGAGAAGAGTTGATTCCTGAACAAAATCAGTATTCTTTTGGAAAGAGAGTGGGGTTAAGTCCTGAGTAGCAACATGCACTGTAGTTCGCACCTTTTGCTCCCTAACATTCATACACATCCTTTTCCTATACGTGTTCTTAACTAAAACTTGCTCTTAAACAAACCATCCTCGCCACTTCCCTGAAGAGGGATACTCAAAGTCTCATTCAATTCCAAGACCAGGATCTTAGATGATACATAGATTATATATCTGGGTGGTATATACTCCTCTCTGTGGGATCTAGTGTAGCTCTTTATGGTCTTGCAACCTGTAACTAAAAAGTAACTCACCTATGTCTATTCATAATACTGGAGGAAGAACAGGATGATGCAATGAAAAAATCTCATCGTAAAAGGAAAATAATAGAAAACAACACATATTGGTCATTCTTTCATAATCCAGGAATGGTAAACACCCCCTGTACTTGGTAGGAAGTTAATTTCTTAGCATATTTGATAGCAAGTGATTTTTAGCTCTGAGAATCTCTCTCCTTTCCTTGTTTTTTAATGCCACATCTGGGGTTGCTTTTAGGAAGGACCATTCATTTCCAGTAGCTCTCTCTCAGTTAATGCAAGGTTGGGTAGGAGAGATCTCAGGTTGCTTTGGAACAGTGGTTCTCGGCATGGTCCGGAGACCAGAAGCAATAGCATCATTTGAACGGCAAATTTTTGGGTGTCAGCACAGACTTCCTGAATGAGAACAGGAAATCCAGCGATCTGTGCTTTGATAAGAACTCCCAGAGCATCTGATGCGTTCTCTAAGAATCATTGACATAGACATTCAGCAGGTTTTTGTGGTTTCTTTGGAAAATCAGCTCCCTTAAGTGGACTAAGTGGAATATCAGTCTGTTTGTTATGGTCAGTTCCATTTACGGTGACAATAGCCAGAAACCTTGCCTGGTCATCCTTTCTGCACCTGGGAATTTTTCTATTATAGCGAGAAGCCTCTACCTAAACTTCAGGACCTTAATTGAAAGGCCAATACCATGTTTTGGCCTCAGCTTGTCCCTTGCCTTTAGGCTACATCTCAGCTGCATTTTCACAATGAACTGTTTTGTCTTTGTTAGGCAAGAGGATGCTTAGCTGTGCTTGGGAAAGGACAACTGTGGGGGTGGGAGTTAGATGTCCTCTGGGTTCCAATCTCATCTCCTATGGAATTTCTAACATACCAGCTTCTGTTTTCACGAACCTAAGCTTGGCTTCTGGGATTTGGCCTTTTGTTTGGTTGGTTTATTTTTGTTTTAACCCTATTGGAGTCCACATTACCAGACTTTTAGCATTTGGGGGTTATAAAGGCAAAGAGGACCTCTCGTATCAATGCTGTATTTTCTCCCTTCTCTTCTTTCAGACTAAGCTTATCTTTATCTAGACTAGAAAAAATAGGCAACACATTTCATCATTGTTAATTTTTCTACCATTTAAGTTTCTTTTAGTTGAAGCAACTATAGTATAATGTTTAGAGTAGTCATGAAATTTAAGGCATTAGCTTATTGTTTGAGAGTTCTGATGTTACCTTCTCCCACATCGGAGTTAGAAATTGGCATTATGGATGAGGACAGGAAGCAAAATAGAAAAGGCAAGTCCATTCTCTCTTGTCTAGCCTTTCTGTCTCCCTCTATCACCCCATAGTGCCATAGCTTCACAGGAAACAGCTAGCAAACACAAATCCATGGAGTAGTGCTAAGCAATGTGCTATTGACACACTGTGTAGTGTTGATGAAAAAAGCCAGACAAAAAGAGTACGTACTCTATGATTCCATTTATATAAAATTATTGAAAACCAATTTATCCTGCATACTAATTTATAGTGAAAGAAAGAACAATAATTTCCTGGGCACTTGGGTAGAGGGTTTAGAGGGAGAGGTGACAGAGAGACACAAGGAAACCTTTAGGGACAATGGATATGTTCATTATCATGATTGTGGCAATGTTTCACAGATGTATTCATATGTCAACACTTACCAAATTATACTTTTTAAATATGTACAGTTTATTTTGTGTCAATTTTACCTCAATAAAGCGAAGATTATTAAAATAATTATTTATTAAAGTAATACATACTAAGCAATAAACAAGGTACCTCCTTCCCCACAAAAGGAGCCTTTTGAGTCTTCTTAGAATTAGGAAGAGGTAGGTGCAGACATGAAATCTGGCAGTTAATTAGCCTGTGTACTGGAACTCCTTTGCTTTGCTTTGCTTTGTTTGTCTTGTCTTGTCTTGTCTTGTCTTGTCTTGTCTTGTCTTTTGTCTTGTCTTGTCTTGTCTTGTCTCTTTTCTTTTTTTTTGAGGTAGAGTTTCATTCTTGTCAGCCAGGCTAGAGTGCAGTGGCATGATCTCAGTTTGCTGCAACCTCTGCCTCCTGAATTCAAGTGATTCTCCTGCCTCATCTTCTCCAGTAGCTGGGATTACAGGCGTGCGCCACCAGGCCCAGCTAATTTTTTTGTATTTTTAGTAGAGCCAGGGTTTTGCTGTGTTGGCCCAGCTGATCTTGAACTGCTGACCTCAAGTGATCCACCTGCCTCGGCCTCGCAAAGTCCTGGGATTATAGGCATGAGTCACTGCGCCTGGCCTGGAACCCCTTTTCAACTTCAGTTTTCATATCTGAAAAATGGAGCTTCTACTACCGGCACCAAGAATCTGCTGGTTGTGCTTATCAAAATGAGATGTATATGAGGGAGCCCTGCTTTGTGTACTTTACATGAGCAACTACCCTTTCTCTTCTCCTTCCTTCTCCTGGCTGTTGTAAAAGGGACCCATGGGTTTCTGCTCCCTCAAGCCTCCTTTTTACTCCCTCCTATGTAGATGAAAAAGGAAAGCAGGAGTGTACCTCCTATGAATAGCCCACACCTGCACTTTTCGATAGTGACTCGGTAGAGTAACTATTTCATTCACTTGGACATGACCTCAAGATTTAGCAGTGGGAAAAGAAAAGCATCGAAGTAAATCAAACTGACGATTATGTTACAAAGGCTATCTGATTTGCTGAGTTCCAGCCATCATATTACCAAAAATATAATGTTTGCATATTATACAAACATTTTCATTTTTAAAAAAGCAGCACCGTCACTAAGTTAGTTATATATAAAAATTCAGCGTAAGTTGCAGTTATTCTGTAGCATATTCAGTGGCATTACAGTTGAAAAGAATAGAATCTGGGAATCCAGGTCTTTCTTATGATTCACTTTTGTCTCTGTCATAGGTTGGCTTTTTAGGGTTATACTCCATGAATATCACCACCTCTTGGGATGGAAGTTCTCAGCTGGCACATTCCTTGCTCATCTCTGAAATACTGTTCTTTAATGTTCTTATTTAAGTTCTTAAATTGACGTATTTCCTCTGTTGAGATGCATTTTTTCCCTTTTCCATCCAAATGTTTCTGAAAACAGCACAATTCTTTATAAAGGAATATACATTCCTTTAAATACATCTTGTATTTAATGGGGGTAGTTTTTATCATTCCCTTCTCCTGTTCCAATAAAGAAAAGAGCTCTCACTGAATTGATAGGGATTCTATCCATCAGTCAAGGAAAAGAGGTGTAATGTGTATGTAGGAGAAGAGGCACTAAACCACTGTGCAGCTGAGGTCCGCGTGGGAAAGGTTTCTTCTCATGGATATTTGGGTAGTCGCCTTGATAGCCAGTGGACTGTGTGCTAAGGCCCTACCAGTTCCCTCATTTTCTCTCTCTGGTAAATGCTACTTTGTCCTGGCCCTGCGTTAGGTAGTAATCTCCAAGTCAAAGATGGGCAGTTGAATTTTACTGAAATTATTACAATGTTGATTAAAATTGTTAGCTCTCGAATTTGGAGAATTTGTTGAAGTTAAAATGGTGGGTAATTACATAAATGCTTAGGCACTACTTTTTCATTTCACTTTAAAACATGTCATCTCTCTTCCTTATGTGATTGCTCACACCATTATTTGACCCAAACAATTTAAGTTTTTTCCCACACAGGTTAGAAATTTAAGTTTTATCTGAATTTAGCTTTCTAGTTTCAATGCCCTTGAAATATAAGATTTTTTTTTTCTTTCCCAGGATGTTTTGACTCATGTTAGAACAATACCTTTTATCCCAGGCGCCAAAATATGGTACCTGTTACATGTTATAGAATTAGCCTCAACCACTGTTTCCTGTGAGATTTCACCTCAGCAGACGTCAGCCTCCATAACCACTGAGAGAACAAAAACAATAGTTTTGTTCACTAATACTCCTTTGCTTTTAGAGTATATTTTATGGTCCATTATTCAGGTTTTTTGGTTGGTATATTTTGCCTGTGGCTTAGTCAGATTTTCAGATTAACCCTTAGGTAAGTCTTTGCTAGAGACCACTTTCCCATAAGTTGACCTTTAGAATATCTGAAAGTACAGATTTAGTTTTGCTTAGTTTAACAGCAGACGAGTGTTAACTATTAATCTGCAGAAATAAATATTTCTAATACTAGCATAAATTTGGCTTCACTTCAGCATATAATAATAATAATAATAATACTTTTTATAAATATATATATGCCTTGTTTTCATTCCTGCAAATTCTAATTCAGTAAATCTGATAAGGGGGCCAGGTATGTGTACCTAAAAAGAAAAAACAAAAACAACCTACAACCCCAAAACCAAACAAACCAGACATAGAGAACAGTTAGGGGTGGAGCTGGGAAGAAATTGTGTGTGTGTGTGTGTGTGTGTGTGTGTGTGTGTGTGTGTGTGTATACTTCTATGTATATGATTTTTATATATGTATACATCTACTTGTATATATGTATACATCTACTTTTATATATGTATACATCCATTTTTATAGATGTATACATCTACTTTACATAATTTTAAAACAGTATTTGTTACTGCTTTTTAAACTTTATGGTATATTAGGAATATATCTTACATGGCAGAATTATATTCTTAAAGGATAAATTATATGTCTATTTATATGTATAATGTATACATATATTATGTAAATAAAATCTCCTACTATGGTAGGAAGTGTATAGTTGTGTTCACAGTTCCTGTTTCGTTTTCAGCTTGGACATTCGTAAGTTAGCTCAAGTCTGTAGCACAGTGTCACTTTGTCTGGGTCTCAGCTTGAATGGCCAACCAGGTGTCTATGTCACAAACATTATTTGACAATTACAGCTGTCTCTACTGCTGTCTTTGGAAAGTATAGATAATATCTTAGCCTTAATTTTTGTCTGCTGTCATTGCTTTATAAAACTAAAAATAACAACGAAGGTGGAACAAAAGAAAATTTTCGGAAAAGTATGTACTTTATGGTTGACGGAATTTCATTATCTTTTACCATGCTATTTTAGTAAACACATTTAGAAAACAGTTGTTGCTATTAAGGGTGTGGGACTTTGTCTCCCAGGGAGTAAGCTGCTAGCTACAAATAGAACACATTGAAAATCCAACTGGAGAGGCCCGGGTGCAGTGGTTCACGCCTGTAATCCCAGCACTTTGGAAGGCTGAGGTGGGCAGATCAGCTGAGGTCAGGAGATCGAGACCATCCTGGCTAACACGGTGAAACCCCGTCTCTATTAAAAATACAAAAAAATTAGCCAGGTGTGGTGGCGGGTGCCTGTAGTCCCAGCTACTTGGGAGGCTGAGGCAGGAGAATGGTGTGAACCTGGGAGGCGGAGCTTGCAGTGAGCCCAGATCACACCACTGCACACCAGCCTGGGAGACAGAGCGAGACTCCATCTCAAAAAAAAAAAAAAAATTCTAACTGGAATGATCACTGCTACTTATTAATTATATTTATTCTACATATTGTGTGTCAATTGACATATTAGCTGATTCAAACCAATATTCAGTTAAAAGAGGCCATTTTCTTGCTTTTTTTTTCCCCCTGTACATCTTTAATTCTAAAGATCAATATAGAAATGTAAGGAAAACTTAGGAAGATGTTAAAGAATCACCTACAGCAACAGTTTCTGTAGAACTCGATGGATTTTTTTGCTGGCCTGTGATAAAATGAGAAATATAAGGAAAATATAATGAGATTTTTATGAAGCTACATTTGTGAGCCTTCATTATGACATTCCTCCTGTTTTGTTGTTTAAAATGTGCTATTTTTTGAAAAACAGTAATGATAGTACAAGATAGTTTAACTTTTTTTGTCCTATCTTGGCAAAATAACAAATCGGTAGCCTATTTGATGTCCAGTTATGTGTGTGTGCATTTTAAGTGTGTTGCTCTGTGACATCCCAGCATCGGAAACTACTGATAGAAACTGGAAAAATAGTTACTATTGAAAATGGATGGTCTTTGATAGACTATCAGGCCCTTTATTTCTCTTGTTGCATAGTCTGCTTGGAATGGTGTACAGATTGTAGTGTGTTTATACCCTGTGTAGGGTCCCTTGTCTTACAGCTCTCGTCTCCAAGCTTTACTTTCCTGTTCCCAGCTTCCTGACCTCTAAGACAAGATTGTTGATCCTTTGTCTGGCAAGATCTGCATTATTGCTCTGTACCTTCTCGATTCCTGACTTCCATTTCCCTGCTTCATTGTATTTTACTGGATACCTTTCTGCCTAGCACTCCTCCTAGCTGTGTAGCCCAGTATTGGCTTGTCAACTGGTCTGTCCATTATGAAATCACCAAGAGATTTGTGTATTTATTGTTATTCTAATAGTATACAAGTCACTGTGTTAAATGCTATAGCAGATAGTAAATAAGGAAGATAATACCTGTTCCTTAAGAATATTGAGATAAGCATGCAACTAATCATGTATTCTTACACAGAATAAGTCAGTGTTTCTTAAGAGAAGTACAGAGTACAATTGGTGATAAAGGAAATTCAAATGCAATTGGAAGGATCTTTGACTTGGCTGGCTGTATAACTTTGAGCAAGTTTCTTGATCTTTTTGAGCCTCAGTTTCCTCTACGGAAGAATAATAATGCTTATATCAAGATTGCTGTGAGGGTAAATGAAACAATTAATGTAAAATGCATAACTGAGTTTCTGGCAAGCATTTGGCAGCTGTCTTTTACTATCACTGGCCACTTCTCCCCTCAAACTATTTTAAAGATTGTGATGATTTTTTACAGGGATTGAGAGGTGATAAGTATAATTCTTTCAAGTAAAGTGAATAACAAAAAAAGGTACAGAGTTAAAATATGCTGGAACAACATTTTGGAGCAAAGGATGTAGCTGATGGGAATAGAGTAAGAGCAAATACAGCTGCAATTGTGTTTCAATTTAGTACACATATTTTAATGCAGGGGAAACTAACTCCGAAAGTTCACAATTGAAGATAGAGACAGGAGAGACGATTGAGTCAGTCACCCAAGTGGAGGGATTTCATTTTAGGCAAGAGGAGTTTTGGGCACAGGAAGCTTAAAGAAGGTAGGGTTTTGGAAGTATATTCAGCTAATTTTTCAACTATGTCATTTTTCCATTGCTTGTTGAGAATTTTGATCTTGACAAACAGGTATTATGTTATCATTTGAAGATCTTATCAGATTCTGTTGGTATGAGTATCTCCTGTATTCGTTTGAAAGATCAAAAAGTAATTTTCCTGGAAAAACAGTTAAACCAAGATGAGGGCTCACAGTAGGCTATATTTAACAATGAAGTCTGGCACAGCCTACATTGTGTGAACTTTTGGTTTCTTGGGTTTTTGTTTTTTCTTCACTTGATGGTGTTTCAGTTTGGAAGAATGTGGCTAGACCACAGTATGGCTTTTCCAAGATTTAGTTCTTGTTAAGGGCTTATTATTTTGTAACATTGGTTTTTTGTTTTTGTGGAGACAAGGTCTCACTATGTTGCTCAGGCTGGTCTCGAATTCCTGAGCTCAAGCAACCCTCTTGCCTCAGCCTCCCAAAGTGCTAGGATCACAGGCGTGAGCCACCATGCCTGGCCATTTTGTAACATTTGAAGCTTTGAGAAAGATCATACTCTATCAATTTATGAAAAACAAATCATGATTAAATTATGTGAGTGGAATGGAAAGTGGAGGCTGTGAGTATTAATGCTTGAGTCCAAATGGTTTTTGCATATTCAGGTTATCTTTGACCTGAAGCAGAGAAAACCAGAAGACTGTGTCACATTAGTCACCTTTTTTCCCCCATTAAAAAAAGATACCAGTATGAGTGACTTTTTAAGAGTATAACTCTGATTTTTAAATTATTTCAGAACTTGTAATATCTAAAGATGCTCTTTACAAAAAAAGAATAGGTATGTTAAAACTTTTAGTTTTCACTTGCTTTATGTGGTTTGGATATTAAGTTGACCATTATGTGTTTACACCCTTTGAAGTATTTTAATTTGTGAAAATTCATTGTTATTTCATTTGTTTAGTCTATGTAATTTAAAAATATTCTACCATAGGTGTTTCTTAAGACTTCAGGGTTGAACTGGGCGTGATGGCTCACGCCTGTCATCCCAACCCTTTGGGAGGCTGAGACAGGAGGATAACTTGAGGGACCCAGCCTGGGTAACATAGTGAGACCCTGTCTTTACAAAAAAAACCTTTTTTACAAAAATAAAAATAATAAAAAATAAAACTCTCCTGGGTTATACTGCCAGATTAAATACTTAAGCTCTCTCTGCTTTTGAGGGTTTTAGTCATTCTTGGTCTCTGGCCATGTAACAACCTGTGCAAAGATTAGTAGGTATTGTGTGCTAGCTTTATCCTTGCATCAGGACAGTCTAGGCCTATTTGGATTTTGCATCTTCCTTGTAGTTCAACAGCCATCTCATTTTGGTTTTGGCTTTCTGCAGTCAACCTTCAAAGATCTTTTGTTTTCTGACAGTTGAAGAAACTGGCTCAGTGTTCTTTCTCCTAGACAATTATTTAATTGTTTACAGATAACTGAAACTATCTTCTAAAGGTTTCTATTGTGAATTTCTTTATTTTATAGGAAGCTTCTTATGTTGAAATGATTGGTCAACATAATTCTTGGTGATTAGAAAAACTGTTTTTCAACCAAATAGCATCAAAATGCTTATTCTTTCTTTTCTGATTTTACACTGCATGGCTTTTTTCTGTGTATTATAACAAATCTCTTCTTTTTAAAGCTAAGACAATAGCAAATTAGATGCTTGAGTTGGTACTGTTATAGCAAGTTTAAAGAAACGTACTCTTGTACCCTATAAATATATACACTTACTATGTACCCACAAAAATTAAAAATAAACATACAAGCAGTCAAAAAAATGTGCTCTTAAGAAATTTTTACTTTCTTAAGATAATATACAGTATTATTTTGATAACTGTGGATAGGATGAACCCGTCTTATACAATAAAGAGTTTAGAACTTCAAAACTATCATGTTGGCTGGGTGTGGTGGCTCACGCCTGTAATCCCAGCACTTTGGGAGGCCAAGGCGGGTGGATCACCTGAGGCTGGGAGTTCGAGACCAGCCTGACCAACATGGAGAAACCCTGTCTCTACTAAAAATACAAAATTAGCCAGGCGTAGTGGCAGGTACCTGTAGTCCCAGCTACTCGGGAGCCTGAGGCAGGAGAATCGCTTGAACCCGGGAGGCAGAGGTTGCAGTGAGCCGAGATCACGACATTGCACTTCAGTCTGGGCAACAGGAACGAAACTCCGTCTCAAAAACAAACAAACAAAAAATCAAAAAATTATCATGTCAACAACTATAATTAACCCCAAGGGAACAATTTAACACAGAGTTTTTTGAATTCTTCATGTAATATTCTTAGTTGCTTATTTTGAGCATTATAAATGTTTCAGAATATCACTTTGTTTATTTAAACTTTTTGGTACAGTTTCATGAGTGATTTTCCGTGGGGAATACATTTCCATCTTTATTAAGTGAAACAGTAGGAAAATGTGATTTGGTTTCCACAGTTGACTTTTAAGCCAACCTGTCAGCAACACATCTGTCCATAAAGTTGAGTACACCTGGGACATGATAATGCATAATTATTTCCTCACAGAATTGTTTAATAGTCACATTAACCTACCAGTAGCCAACACTTACTGATTGCTTACTAGATACAGACACCATTCTGAGTATTTTACATGTATCAATTCATTTATGTTATAAATTTTAAAATATGTTTCTTTTCTCTTTTTCTTCCCCTGCCCTTTCCCCCTGCTAGTGTTCCTTAAGACAGTTACTTTTCATAAACAGCCCAAGTCAGAAATATTAGCACAGATTGAATATCCCTTATCTGAAATGCTTGGAACCAGCATTTCAGATAAGGGATTTTGAATTTTTTTTTTCTTCAGTTTTTGTAATATTTGCAGATAGATAGATAGATATCCTGGGGATGAGATCCAACTCCAAACACAAAATTCATTTATGTTTCATGTGCACCTTATACGCATAGCTTGAAGGTAATTTACATAATATTTTAAAAATAATTTTGTGCATGAAGCAAAATTTTGACTGCATTTTGATTGCAACCCATCACATGAGGTCAGGTGTGGAATTTTTTTCTTGTAGTGTCATGTTGTTGCTCAAAAAGTTTCAGATTTGGGAGGATTTCAGATTTTCAGATTAGGAATGGTCAACCAATAGCTTCCATTAAGATTGTTCACTTAATTTATGGAGCTTTCCATTGGTTATAGGACAAATAAGGGAAAGGGATCACAAGAAATGAGGTAGTATTAGAAGGAGAGATGACAGGTTCCCTGGAAGGGTACTGATTTAACTTGGGTGAATGCCAGTCATACGTGGGAATCACAGCTTCATGACAAGGCCTGCTGCATTGACTGGGCCATGGAGACACTCGAGGAAAAAAAAACAGAGAGAACCCTGGTCTTCCAGTGTACCATAAACAGCTTTGAGAACCTGAGCTATGGAATTTAAAATGACGTGTCAAGTCCGATGAAGTGACATGTTTTCACACAGAACCAGCAGGAGGATGAAAAACAGAAATTGTAAACAAGGATGAAAGTGACAGGTTTAGGACACTGGATGGACAAGAAGCCTGGCCTTAGATTTCCAAAGAATAAAAGAGAGAAACACATATTTTAATTAAATAGCTTCATATTTAGCTTCAAGAAGATGAGTACTGGCCATATATTTGAATATATATGCTATATTAGTTTAAATCTCATGTCAGATGATTTGCAGGTCTTTTTATTTGCATGTTTATGCAGCTAAGATGTTTGGCGCTCAGTTCTTGTGGGAGGGGGCAGCTTGGTATGGAAAGAACTTGGAGTTTGAAATCTCACTGTCCTGGATTTGAATCTCAGCTGTTACATGGCCTTGAGCAGGCTACTTATCTGATTTTTTGAGGTGGATTCTTGTCTGTAAGATCAAGATAGGGAAACCCAACTCTGAAAGGGTTAAATGAGATAAGGCATATAAAATATCAGTAACAGGCTCACTGGCTCACACCTGTAATCCCAGCACTTTGGGAGGCCGAGAGGGGAGGGTCGCTTGAGCCCAGGAGTTTGAGACCAACCTGGGCAACATAGCGAGACCCCGTTTCTATTAAAAAAAAAAAGAAACAGAAAAACAAAAACAAAAAAAAGAAAATATCGACAACAGTGTCTGATGCTCAGTAAGGGCTAAACAAAATTGAGTTACTCTACCAAGGAAACGACAATAGAATGGTTTTCCCTTTCCCCTTGTTATAGAAAGGGCAGAATATGTAAAGAGAAGACATAGAACAACTGGGAGACTAGAACCTCTATTTGTAAGAGAAGCCACAATTTGTGTTTATTTTAAAAATGTAAATTACTTAGGAGGAAAAGAGTGTTAGCAGTTCAAGATTATGTGGTCGGTTAAATAGTTAAACACGTTTTAAAATGTATGTTACTTTACTTAAGGATCCCATGCGAAAATTCTCAGAAATTAAGCATTGCATATTTGACTGCTGAGTACAGTGATTCATATGTATCTTAAAGTCACATATTCATAAAATTACACATGGATCAGATTCAATTGTTAAAAGTACAATTTTTCTCAATATGAAATTTTAAAGCATTTGTGTACTATGGTCTTTTTAAAGCCTTGCTACTCATTATAGCAATCGAATCACTGAAGAAATGTTCCTTTTTGTTTGGTTCAATGTTATTGAGTCTTATCTTTTTGATATAGGACTATTTTTTATTTTGTAACTGTGTCTTTTATTTTGTAATAAATTTGTTTAAGGTATATTTTAATATTATAAGAGTAGAACCAATATTTTAGTTTTAAAAAGACAATTCTATATCATGTCTAAATACTATTGGGAAATATGCCTATTTTTTAATTTTTTAAAGCTAGTATTGCCATTCTACTTTTTTTACTTTGATTAATGTAGTCTCAGAGAATTATTCATTGAACATGCTTTAATATTTTTTCCTGATTTCAAGGAGTGAAAAAAGATTATCTAAAAATTTCTAAGGTTGTATTTTCTTATGAGAATGCTATATTATCTACTTATTTATTCTTATATCATTAGTTAAAAGTTAAATGAGTATGTGTTATCATTTCTGAATACTATAGTGTGTATAAGGAATACCAGAACTTTCTAGTTATGATGGCCAAAGTAATGTCAGTAGTTTATGAAAAAGTAATTTAGGTCTTGAATTTCTTTTGATTAGTCATTGTAAGCATTTTTAAACTTTCTTCCTCATAGATTTGTGCACTTTTAGATAATGTGTGATTTGTACAGTCATTCTTGAGTAGTTGAAACTTAAAAGAATTGCAAATTTTTGTGCCTGGTGGAGATAAAATAACTCTGAGGCATGGTAGATACTTGGTTTTTGAATCTCTTGTATAAACCAAGCAAATGTTTCTGAAAGAGCACTTTTGTGTATGTTTTGAGGTATCCCCATGTTAAGTATATGCTATCTTTAGAAATTTGAGTCTTATTTATTGTTATCATTTGAACAGGTGTCTCAATGCTTGTACCTACTGCAAAACTAAACACGCCAGAGGAAATTTGGCCAGTTATCCAATTGATGAACTAGTAGATAGAGCCAAACAATCTTTTCAAGGTAAGAGTTTCTAGAATTATATGTGAAATTAGTCTTCTTAATAAATTATGTTAGCCTTCTAAGTAATACTTCAGTTTAGAGACCAACTTCTTTAGTTTTCTGAAGAGTTTTACAAATATACGAACTTAATTAATAAAAGATGTGACCAGAGTTAATCACTTAGTTTATTTTTACATTAATGACTCTTCTTTTACTACGCTTCTGTTTTCTTATCACTCTAAGGTAAATGACATATTTTGAACTTTATCACCCACCTCTAGACTCCATGGAAAAGACAAAATTAAGATAAAATGAAATCCATGAGCCTCTGATGTCTGTTAAGATTTTTGTGGACAAGTGAAATACTCAGATTTTTCATCTCTTTCTTTGACATTTTTGGACCATTTAGAAAATAGAGCTAATTAGGGTTTGTAGACGTCTTTGAAGAAGATAAGTTTTCATATCAGCCAATAAAGGAGGCCACCCCTTTTAACCACATGACTGTCAGACCACTAAAGATTGGTACTGGGGGAGAGGCCTAATGAGAATGATTTGTGTGGGGTGGCCAACTACTTCTGAGTCATCACTTGCCGGGAAATGTGATTATCTAGGTCTCTCTCAGCATATATAGTAAGACTTATCTTTAACATGAGTGACAGTTGTGTGGACATATAACTGCTCAAACCATAAACTTCCTCTTTTGTCTTTGTTTATAGTATGTGCCTGTAACAGTGGTGTGTTTTTACTCCCAACATGAGATAATCTATTGTCTCATAATCTTGCAGGTTAATAGTTATTGGCAATGTACTTTTCTTTTTGTCAAGTAACTTGGAGTGCTAGTTTCAGTATTTCATACTCTGGGTCTCAGAAAGTATGAGTTCCAAATTCATTTTTTTGTTTAGTCTGTAGAAAACTTTTAGAAACATGAATTTGTAATGTTTCTCTTAATAGAGAAAAATATCTCCTTGTTTGATTTATTGATGCCTCCCAACAGTTTTTCTCTACTTGTATATTCTTAGCTCAGTCCCCTCCTCCTTTCACATTCAACTAGTATTGAGAGAGAAATAAAGGACATTTACTGACTCTTGCTAGCATTCTCCTTTTACAGCCAGATTATTGTCTAATCTAAGAAAAAGCCTGGGTGGTTGTCTTTACTACAGCATAACCAATACTTCCAAGGATTTTTTAAAAGGAGAAAAAATTTTCCCAGAAACTAAATCTATTTGAAAAAGTCTTTGCTGGCATTCTTAATTAGTGTTTGTTTTTCCATGTATCTGTCAGATAATGCGGATATTAAACATAGATGATCTATCTACCAAACACTGCAACTTAGAAGGCATGAAATTAGTACTTTTTTTAACATCATGCATTTCTAAGTGCAACTGCATATAATTTTTTTAAAAATCTATTTCATTTTACTTGAAAACGTTTTTGAAAAATGTAAAGCTGTAAAATCACCATGTAGAAAGTGAAAATCTCCTCTTCACTCGCTTACATCTATTTTCACCTGTAACTTATGCTAACATTTGGATATGATTGCTTCATGGCTTTATATGGACACATTTATGAATTATATGTGACTTGAGAAAAAAAGAAGACAGAACAGAAATATTACTGGTGGATGGTGTCCAGGTTCTTTGCGTTTTAAACAAAGAATTGGACAAAATGCACAAACAAAGCAAGGAAAGAATTAAGCAACAAAAGCAGAGATTTATTGAGAATGAAAATACACTCCACAGTGTGGGAGCAGGTCTGAGCAGTGGCTCAAGGGCCCGGATACAGAATCTCCTGAGATCCAAATACCCCCTAGATGTTTCCCACTGGCCATTTGGTGTTCATCCCATGTAAATGAAATGGTGGTCCATGGTCAGTCTGATTGGTTGTAGAGAGCAACCAATCAGAGGCTGAAGTGCAGTTACAAAGTTCATACTCCTATGCAAACATCCGATTGGTTATGGAAAGCTGAAGTGAAGTTACAAAGTTACATGCTTATGCAAACGTCTGACTGGTTGCAGAAAGCAAGCAATCAGAGATACTTTCAATTTGCCATCTGCCCTGCAGAAAAGATGGGGGTTTGCAAAGAGAGTAACCTCTGGTCCTTTTGTTACTTGCTGGAAAGTTGTTTTTTTTTTTTTTCCAATTTAGTTCTAGGAAGTCAGGGTGAATTGGCCTTAGGTTCCCTGCCTCCAGACCCTGTTCTCCTGCCTCAGAAACATAGTTTGTATAAAGTGATTATGACTTTTTCTAACAATATCCACCTTAGCTCTGTGATTTATCTTTAGAAATGCCCTCTGAGTAACCAATTTACAGCGTATTGCTTCTGTAGATCTTTAGTAAGTTAACATTGTCATATCCAGGTGGGTTGGACTAGTTAAGGCGAGTGATTCAAATAATGTATCAGAGGTTAGCAGTAACGTAGCTATTTTTAGAGAACGTATTAGAAGATTACTCTTATTAACATCAGTAAGATCTTTTTATTCCCAACCATGGAATGTTTGCAACATCAGGTTTTTCTGTTGCCTTATTATCTGTGTATTAGAATTGAAACTAAATGCTAGTTTTTGGACTGGTGAGCTAATTTGTGAGATAATCCAGTGTGTTCAGGAAATGTGGTTGTTTTTTTCTTTCTTTCTTTCTTTTTTTTTTTTTTGGTGACAGGGTCTCACACTGTATCACCCAGGCTGCAGTGTCATGGTACAGTCAGAGCTTACTGCAGCTTCAAACTGTTGGGCTCAAGCGATCCTCCTGCCTCAGCCTCCGCAGTAGTGGCGACTATAGCCATGCGCTACCAAGTCTGGCTAATTTTTAAATTTTTTAGAGAGAAAGAGTCTCCCTGTGTTTGCCAGGCTGGTCTCGAACTCCTGGCCTCAAGCCACCTTGGCCTCCCAAAGTGCTGGGATTACAGGTGTGAGCCACTGCACCCAGCCAGGAAAATTTTAAGTCCTCAAGTACTTGGTGCTTTTTGCTATAAGCAGTTTGGATTTGAAATACTGCTCTGTTGCTTACCAGCCACATGATGTGAACGTAGTATCTCACCTCTCCAAGCTTATGGCTTTCTCATCACTATAATATTTAATGTTTTTATTTTAAGAATTTGAGATAACATGTATAAAGTAATTGGCTATGTCAATATTATGAAGAAGAGACCAGGTGCCGTGGCTCACGCCTGTAATCCCAGCACTTTGGGAGGCCAAGGCGGGTGGATCACAAGGTCAGGAGATCGAGACCATCCTAACTAACACAGTAAAACCCCGTCTCTACTAAAACTACAAAAAATTAGCCGGGCGTGGTGGCGGGTGCCTATAGTCTCAGCTACTTGGGAGGCGGAGGCAGGAGAATGGCGTGAACCCGGGAGGCGGAGCTTGCAGTGAGCTGAGATTGCGCCACTGAACTCGAGCCTGGGCGACAGAGCAAGACTCCGTCTCAAAAAAAAAAAAAAAAAAACATTATGAAGAAGAAATATTACTTAAACTAAAATCCGAAGCCAGGAAGAGAAGTCTAATTTTGGGTAAGAATATTGTAACATCCATAGCAAAAACATTAATGACTAAAATCAAATGATGGATTTTTCTTTTGAGTCCAAATTATGTTTTATGAAAAACTGCTCTGTAGATAGATGTTTAGTATGACAGTTACCTTTCATTTTCTAAATTTGAGAAGTGCAAATTTATGCTACGGGCGGCCTTATAATCCCTTTCAAAAATAGGAAGTATCAATCTATAAGCTAATATTTTTAAGACATTTTAGTAGCATTGTCTTTTTTCTGCAAAAGACATTGAGATTTTAATGCTGTTATAGAAATCCTAAGTTTGAGCTTTAAAATTGCAAATAATAATTATGAAAGTAACCATAATAGAAGAAATGACTCATTTTCTTATTACTATGACTTTTGCACATTTAGTTATTTAATAATTCAGGTGATAGGAATATTCTTTGGACCAGAAACTCTTAAGTTCTGCATTCTACCATGATTAGATTGCCTGTCTTATAATGAATAAGAAACATGGTTTTATGAAAAGTTACTCTATAATGAAAAACCTAAATATGCCACCAATAAATTGTAGTACTAGGTTTAAAGCCACTCTGTGGATGGGAGTTAAATTTCCCATCCTTAAAGCGGCATTTTCTTTCTTTTAATTTTTTTAATGGCTCCTGTATGTCAGAATTAAAAAATGATTTTTTTAAACTCTATATCAACTGTGGAATGAGGATTAGAACCCAGGTTTCCAGTCATATGATAGAATATACAATAGGATCAAAATTTTATTCCAAATAGCATATTTATCAGACATTTTATTTTATTTTTTATTTTTTTGAGGTGAGATCTCACTGGAGTGCAGTGGCATGATCTTGGCTCACTGCAGCCTCCTCCTGGGCTCAAGCAATCCTCCCACCTCAGCCTCCTGAGTAGCTGGGACTACAGGTGTGCACTACCACACCTGGCTAATTTTTCTATTTTTGATAGAGACAGGGTTTTGCCATGTTTCCCAGGCTGGTCTTGAACTCCTGGCCTCAAGTGATCTGCCCACCTTTGCCTCCCAAAGTGCAGGGATTACAGGTGTGATTATGAGACATTTTATATTCATAAAAATTTATTTCTTGTTAGTCTAATGAATGAGGAGACTAAAGGCTAACCCAAAGGCAAGGAAGCATTCAGAAGAGATTCTGAAATAATCATGAAGTCATTCTGAATATAAAATGGCTTCCCACAATACTAAAAATATGCTGACTATGCATTCAGATGTGAAAAAATGAGAGAGCTCATTAACTTTTGAATGGACAGCATTAAAGTAAATATTTCTATGTTTAAATAGAAATGTAATTTCTTTTGTATATAAATTACATCTTACTGGTTTTCTGGCGTTTTTTTTTTCTCTCTCTCAACCTCCATAATTGACTATCTTTACCTTCTCAGTGTGTGTTTTATTTTTGAGGAGACTGCTGCATGTGAGTTTAAGATTTACCAGGTAATTTCTGGGTATCATTTTGTTGTTCTCACAGACTGTTGTGAAACCTTCCTTCTCACTTCCTCCTTTCTGATGAGATTCAGGTTTTAAAAATTCCTAGGATTAACAGTGTTTGGGGGCTGAGTTTGCTGGGTTTGACACGGTTGCATTTTAGATATCTAGAAAAACATGTCAAGTGGTGACCAGGACTTTGTTGGGGCCAGAATGAATTTACAAGCTAGTGTTTTCTAGGATATTTGTATTGATTTTTCTCTAGCAGCTAATCAATCAGTTTCAGTTGTATAAGTGATGGAGCAAACCTTTTTAAGTGTGCAGGGTGAGTGGTGTGGAAACAACACCTTTCACCGCACTGTCTCTGGAATCAAAATGTAGAGATGATGGATGAGCTGTTTTTATAGCTATCGTGTGCTTTTCTAGATCTCATTTGTGGGTTACTACTTTTTGGCTCCCTCATAAATCTGAAAAGCCCCTGCAAGATAAGTGGCATAAACTGGTTATGGAAAGGTAAAATAAATTAGGATGAAATATTCAGAACAGGGAGAAAATTTCTTGATGCCTAGTGATTTCGATTAATTTCGATATTAATGTTGGAATTTTAAAAAATGGATTCTGTATTTCAAGACTTGCAAAGATACTATCTAGTATGTATAAGATTAATTATGAAATGCAACTGTAGTACATTGCTTCCAACTTTTTTAGATAGGAAACAATATGAGCAATATTTGATTTTCTATTGTATAAGCTTAAAAGTGTTCAGTTGTACACTTTATATCAAGTCCCATTTGACTGTAATGATGATTAGTATACACTGATTTCGACCCAAGATTAAAAGGGGGCCATAATTGTATTCTGTTGATTTATATGGCAGTTAAATTAAATGTCTCTTTAATTCCTTTATCTTTTCATATGTGCTGTATTCAATTGAGAAATGCATGTTATCTGTAGGATTAATGATGCAATTTACATGTTTGTTATAACAATTGTCAACTTCCAAAAAGGATTTTAGGCAGCTTACATTAAATGATTGTATGTAAAAGACCATGGAAATAAGAACCATGTAAAATGCTGTATTGTGTTTTGAAAGAGGGAAGATGATTTTACAACTGTTGAGTCCTGGCTCTTCAGAAGAATAGTGAAATAGAGTGATTTATATAATCTGATAGGAGTATGTAAAAGAAAGTATACACTGTACCAAGAGAAGTCTACATGTTTCTAGGCACTGAACCCTCAGAATTATTTTCATGCATTCTTTCCTAAGAGACACTGAATGATATAGTAGAAATGTTTTTGACTAATGATAGAAATTGAAGATATATTTTCTACCTGGCTTTTTCTTCTGTTGATTCTTGCAAAACCCAAAAATATAATATTAAAATGTAACCTTTAAAAGACATTTTTTGGGAGAACTAAATAAATGTAATGTACATAATACACATAACTGGATCGTGAACACAGTGCCTAAATAGCTATTTATCAGATATTCAGTTTAAATAAGCTAAGATTAATCGCTGTGACTTCAGGGACTGTTAGTTTAGACTATCAGTGGCAGAAACAGAGTATAATTTATGTGGCCTTTGCCTATTCAGGTCTCTGAGTTTCTGTCAGTGGTGTTTAAACTTTTCTTAGCAACAAAGGGTACCCTTTTTACAAAGGAAACTTGAAAAAGTAGAGGCAGACCACCGTGGTTGAAGTAGAAGTGGGGCCCTGTTTAATGAGGCCTTTCCTCAGAACTTTGAGGATTCAGCCAGAATCTGCTGGTTTAGATGAGTGTTTCTGATTATTTAAGGTATTCCTGAACACTGCAATCCAGGAGTGGTGAAGGTTTCCTTCAAGGACAAATAGTAAATATTTTAGGCTTTGTGGGCCATAAGGCCTCTGCTGCAACTATTTAGTTCTGCCCTTGTAGCATGAAAGCAGCCACAGAAAATATGCAAATAAATGGATATGGCTGTGCTTCATTAAAACTGTATGATAGACCAGTCGTGGTGGCTCACGCCTGTAATCCCAGCACTTTGAGAGGGTCTCGGCAGGCAGATCACTTGAGTTCAGGAGTTCAAGACCAGGCTGCCACACAGGATGAAACCCCTTCTCTACTAAAAATACAAAAATTAGCTAGGCGTGGTGGCGCACGCCTGTAACCCCAGCTACTTGGGAGGCCGAGGTGGAAGAGTCATTTGAACCCGGAAGGTGAGGTTGCAGTGAGCCAAGATCGTGCCACTGCACTCCAGCCTGGGCAACAGAGGGGATTTCGTCTCAAAAAACAAAACAAAAAAAAAACAAAAAAAAAAACCCTATATGATAGGGGTTATTGATGAAGGGGTTCCATGGTCAATTCTGGGGGAAATTAATTTAAACAAATTAATCGAGATTCTTCATGGCAGAACTTCTGGTTCTGTGTCTAATATGTTAATACATATTGTCAATCCATAAAAGAAGGATTTAACCTTTAAGAACTAATATAGATGTAAAATAGATTAATGTTCTCAATCTGGCCATTTAACTCACTTGTCAGTCTTATAAAACCAAAACTAAATGTGTCTGCGTCATAACCCTAACAATTACATCACAATTTCCATGGATGAGGGCTTTGCGTTTTCTAAAATACAGGTGACTGCAATGATAGTCAGAGGCGAGAACTACAATTAAGAACCACTATTCTAGAAAATTTTTTGGTTGAAGCTGTAAAATGAGCTGACCCTCTCAATTCTGTAGTGAGAAGGAGTCTGAGGAAAAACCCTGGTTGATTAGTAAATAATGGCCATATGGGGAAGGTGGAGGGGCAACACAATCGTTGTTAATTTGCTATTACCGCCCTAGATAGTGAATGGATGGTTTCAAAGTCCAAAGGTACTTATTTAAGTTAAAAGGCTCAGCTGTTTTTGTTATCAACCAAGGCATCACAAAAGGATGGCTGACATTTATGGAGTACTTACAGTGCATAGATAGGAATTACGATGAAAACCACATGGTCCCTGTCTTTAAAGATCCCCTCCTAGTTTAGGAGAGAGAGTAGCAAGTTGGACTAATGAAAATTGAAGTATGCAGAAACAGACACCAAATTTGGGATAACAGAAGTCATTCTTACAAATCAGCCAGGTTTCCTCCTCAGAATCCCTCTCACTAAGTTTTTGTTAGCCACTGCCATTGATTATGCTGAGTATTCAGGATGAGATCTACTTGCTGTTCTGAATCCCGAGGCTTCTGTTATGCCGAAGTCTCTGAAAGAAAGAAACCAAATGGTGACTCTTTAACTAAGGTAACTATTGGAACTATGTAGCTGTTATTTTTCCATTCATTCAACAAATATTTATTGAGCATTCATTAGAAGCAGTTCTTATTTCTGCTAATAGGCACATGCTTTAGAAAAGGTATGATAACAGTACATTATCACAATCAATAATTGATTACTTCTGCCAGTAAGGAGGACAGAAAGAGAGGTTTGCTGATAATGGGGCAGACAGCTTATCCTTGCCATCGGAAACAAGGATGTGATCCCAAGTTTGTTACATTTGTTCATAATTCTGAGTTTTCATAGTTCAGAGTATGTATAGTCCAACGCACAGAAAATCTGCTGCTTCTGGAAATACCTTGTTAAATCTATCCTTAATGAAAATCATAGTGCAGTCATCCCTCACTGCTATTGGTGAGTTTTATTTACGTTTTACTCTTTTGTGCTCTATAAAACAGTTTACAAACATGCAGTTAAGTATAAAAGTTATTTAAAATAATGAGGCTCTGGGAA
This sequence comes from Homo sapiens, assembly GCF_000001405.40. Lineage (NCBI taxonomy): Eukaryota > Metazoa > Chordata > Mammalia > Primates > Hominidae > Homo > Homo sapiens. The sequence goes on from NC_000006.12 coordinate 20,854,867, forward strand.
AACAGATAAGAATAGAAAGTCCAAAACTTGGTGGAAAATTGGAACACAGGAAAGTTGGCCATAATCACACATGTGGTTTTTAAAATCAAGCAACAGTTTTGACTCTTAGCTTCTTGAACACTTATTGTCTTTAAAGAAAAGTAATACCAGCTTGGCATTAGGTTTGAAAGAGTTTTCACATAGGGAGTGGTGAGGGATAGAGTAGGTCCCAGCAGCGTCCCTTTAACACTCACTCACATACCATGTTTCTGAAAGTTATATATTTTGGCATTTCTTGTTAGAACTTGCAGACATGCTGGGCGCAGTGGCTCATGCCTGTAATCCCCAGCACTTTGGGAGGCTGAGGTGGGTGGATCACCTGGGGTCAGGAGTTCTAAACCAGCCTCACCAACATGGCGAAAACCCATCTCTACTAAAAATATAAAAAATAGCCAGGCGTGGTGGTGCATGCCTGTAATCTCAGCTACTTGGGAAGCTGAGGCAGGAGAATCGCTTGAACCCAGGAGGCAGAGGTTGCAGGGAGCCAAGATAGCACCATGGCACTCCAGCCTGGGAGACAGAGCGAGACTCCGTCTCAAAAAAAAAAAAAAAAAAAAAAAAAAAAAAGAACTTGCAGACATGTCTTGAAAAGCATAACACCCTGAAGGGATTTATTGGGTGCTAAGACAATACAAAGTATACTACTCACTGATAATCTGGTCTACTTCCAGATTCCACAGCCATTGGGGGCTGTAAAGGACTCCTGTTATAGAGGCTAATACCTTAGGGGTTTGTACACCATAGGTCATTTTGTGAGGTGGTATAGCTAGGTCCAGGAAGACAGCATTAGAATTTGTATTTATTTGTGTTTTCTCATTCTTTAAATTTTTCTTTTCTTTGTGTATGTTTCATATTGTATATATTAGTACAATAGTACATGAGTATAATTAATAAGTATACATCCATGGGAATACTTTTAAAAATTTTTTTAGCTGATTCAGAAAGCGATATGTGGAGACCACTGATTTAAAGGAACAAATAGCCTGCCCATTTTCCACTATAAACATAATTCTTTCAGCGAGACGTTTGGTTTGAATAGGGCAACAGACTTCTGTGTTCTCTATCAAGATCCTGAGGTGCCCATATTCTGCTTTGATTGAGTGCAAATCCACCTGCTTTTGAGATCAAATAAGCAAATAATGAAGTTTATGTCCTTTGGAGGAAAACTGATGTATTTAATGAAGATTCTTGCCTGCATCTGGTGAGAGCCATGCGTCTCTGCTCAGAGGTGGAGAGAAATGCTGCTTACTCAGGAGCACGTGTTTCCCATTGCTTCATCTGTATTTTAGGACATGGGAAGACTTAACCAAGAGGGGATTGGGGTCAGGCGTATGTGGCAGTGTGAATATGGGTTTAGTAGGTGCACAATAAATGTTGAATGAGTGGTTAATCTAGAATTGATTATGCCTGATGAAATTCCATGTATGACTTGGAACCCATAATGAAAAAGTAGTATGGAAAAACCATACTTTTTAAGTGGGCAAGAGATATTGCTTAGTTTCAGCTGCTGTTCCAGCACAATTGAATGCTGTGTCTTATGACATGGGCTTGATTTTATAACACCAGATATGTAGAGGTGGTGGCTTTCCAAGATTTACAACAGAGAAATAATTTACTTTGGGAAATCATCTGATAGTTAATGGGTATCTAACGTTTTACCAAAGGGGTATGTCCACCTAGTTCCACACTTACAGTTATAAGTAATATATATTTGCTTTGATACCTTTACTAAACAAAATTCTACAAATGATTCTTGTGACCAGGTACAAGAGTTAACCAAATGTTTGCGTTTACCATTTGAGCTGAGGCTGATCTGTCTCTGGGATGATGTTGGAGAACTTTAAAGGCTGCAAGTTGGTTTTGGAAGGTTGTTTAATGGAATTTTAATAGCCTTGGAAAGATGTGAAAGTGATACTGCTACCTGGTGGTTTGTAAACCCGACCTTTGTGAGATATTTTCTGGGCAAAAGTACTACTTTGTGATGCCAGCAGCCTTTATTGATTCCGCAGAGTCTGCAGTTTTCTAACACTGGCTGTCAATTCATTCCAGTTGAAAAATTATTAAATTTCTTCTCCTGCTTGTGTGGATATTAAACTGCAGTAAACATACTTGCACAATATCAGGTAAGGCGAGCAAAATTTCCTGCCTGGAAAAAGAAATGTTTGTTAGTGGGACCTTGGCTGTTCTGCAGAGGTTATACGTTTCTGTATTTCTTTTTATTTGTTGTTCTCAGTCATGCTTTTTATTTCTCGTGGTGAGTTCCAACACATTTCTTGTTATTTGTAATATAAGAAAGAGAAGTTTGATTTAGATTGCTGACTTTTAAAAATACGTCCTCTTAGTTAATCATTTCTGGTAGTGTGAACAAGAGGGAAACCTGGGTGGTAAGAGTTTTTAACCTGTGACAATATAATTGGGTAAGAATGAGAAAGAATTGATGAAACAAGGAATGAATAAGGAATGAATGATTCTGTGATCATACAGTCCACATAGATCTTTCTGATTTGTTGACTTTTAGTTAAGGAAGAGGAATGATGATGAGATAGTAATCATTTATAAAAGTAGATTTTAAACACCTCCATCTTTGAGAATAACCTCTGGAGCTGGCAGTTATTGAGGTCATTGGCACTTATTGAGGTATATGTTTGAAATGCAAATATCTGGCCACATTCCCAATTCAGTAGCCTTGCCATAGGCCCAGGAATTTGCATTTTTCAAAACAATCATTTCAAATGTTTGGGAGGCAGATGATACAAAGATCACTTCTAGAAATGTTTGTCTAGAGAACTTTCTTAATTACGTATACCAAAACATTTGATCAAAGTAGTAAAGAGGATTGGGGAAGAAATGTACCATTTATGTGAGCTAATAAAAATCTGGGCCAGTTTTCTCTCTGTGATAGATATAGGCCCCAGCTCCATTCCTCCCACACCAGACCTTTCTTCAGATTCTTTTTGGGGAATTTCTTTTTTGAGATGAAGTCTCGCTCTGTCGCCCAGGCTGGAGTGCAGTGGCGCGATCTTGGCTCACTGCAACCTCTTCCTCCCGGGTTCAAGTGATTCTCCTGCCTCAGTCTCTCGAGTAACTGGGATTACAGGCGCATGCCACGACCCTGGCTAATTTGTATATTTTTAGTAGAGATGGGTTTTTACCCTGTTGGCCAGGCTGGTCTCGAATTCCTGACCTCAAGTGATCTGCCCACCTCGGCCTCCCAAAGTGCTGGGATTACAGGCGTGAGCTACTGTGCCCGTCCTCTTCTGGGGAATTTTAAAATACAGATTTCCAGGCTCTACCTCAAAAGATTTTGATACTGAGCTAGGCTTACAAGCCTGGGAATGTTTATTTTTAAAGCTCTGTAAGTTTGGGAATCAGTAGCCTAGATTTTTTCTGGAATTTAGCTCTTTTTATTCTGTATTGACTTTTTTTTTTCCTGTTTATGTATCAATATTTTGGTACAGTTTGAGATGAGCCTTTCAAAGCAAAATATCACACTGTATATAATTAGAAGAAGAAAGGGACCTTGAACTTCCTTATCCATGTCTTAATAAAACTGATACGCCTGTAATGTGAAAATAATTCTTCATTTTTTATCAACATGAATGAAGTAATTAGCTTATTTGGTTTTATAGATATATAGTAATATATAAATTTGTGTAGTTTTGGAAGATAACTTTATTTCCTTGAGACAAGGTATATCTTTGCTTATTTCTCTTTATTTGAGAAGAAGTGCTAAATCTGAATTGTAGTAGGAATCTGCAGTTCTTCCAGTATGGACAGTGCTTCATTTTGATACATTTACATGATGGAGTGTTATAAAATTGCATGTAATAATGTTTACAAAGTTGATAATAACTCAGAAAATGTCTTATAATGTTGATTTTTAAGAAATGTAATGTATGTAATGTATGATCACAATTACTTTTAAAAGGAAGTAAAAATAAAAATTAAAAACAGAAAAAAAGGAGAAATTATGCCAAAATGTTACTTTTCTTGGGGACAAAGAGTATATTAAACATTTTTGCTAGTTTAATATTTTCTATATTTTTCATAAGTACATATATCACTGTAGTTAGACTACATAAACAAAATAAAATTTATTTTTAAAGAATTGCATATTATCCATTTTTTAGTATAGGAAATTAAATCACATATGTATCTTTTTTTAATGAGTCACTTTTTGTTACTTGACTAAGCTATAAAAATAGAAATTTGACTATTTGAAACATTTGATAAACTAAAATTTATAGATTAACTTTGAAGTTCATGGATTCTCTTTGATCATGTGGTAGCCTAATATTCTGAAAATTTTCTTTTAACAAATAAATGGTGTTCGCTGCACTCCAGCCTGGGTGACAAAGTGAGATCCTGACTCAGAAAAAATAAAAAACTTAAAAAAAAAAGAAAAAAAATGGTGTTATGAAGATCTGCTTCAGGGGAAATCTGGAAGCCACCTGGCTTTCCCTCTTCCATTTCCTGCCTGACTCTATGGTCTTAACTACAAATCTATGAATACGTAAAAGAACTGCGGAATAGGAGGAAGCCTTTGCAGTTACTTCCCTTGCCCTTCATTTCCAGCTGAGGAACATGAAGCCTACAGAGAGGTGACTCCCCAAGCTGCTGTCACCCAATGCCAGTTCTGTCACCACTACACTGTGGCTTCTTCAGCTCTAACAGTGATAGCATTGGTAATATCTTTTTGGAAAGACAATTCAAAGAATATGGGAGGAAAAAAATGATGGTGAGTATGAGAGTTTACAGAAAGAGAAGTTTTGGACTAGAAGATTAAGCAGTGGCTTCTTAGAAGAGAAAGAACTTGAGTAGGGCCAGAAGTGTTCTGCCTTTGAAGAGGAATACGGTTCAACTTTTCATCAAAGCCCATGAGATCCCATGTGATCTGGCTGCACTTTCCATTCCAGATTCATCCTGTTGCACTTTCTCTAACTTGCTAGCATCCAACTGTTGTTTCTTAGTTCCTTGAATATAGCAATTTCCTTTTCCTTGAGTGGTTTTTCCTGTGGTCTTTGCATGGCTGTCTTTTTCACATTAAAGTGTCCACTTAAATATCACCTCCTCATAAGGCCCTTCTTTGACCACCTTTTTGAAGGGAACATTTTTTCTCTTATTCTCTATCATATCACTCTGTTTATTTGTTTCAAAGCATTTATCATAATTCTTTTTTTCTTTTCTTTTGAGATGGAGTCTCGCTTTGTTGCCCAGGCTGGAGTGCAGTGGTGTGATCTCAACTCACTGCAACCTTCGCCTCCCGGGTTCAAGCTATTCTCCTGCCTCAGCCTACTGAGTAGCTGGGATTACAGGTGCCTGCCACCACGCCTGGCTAATTTTTTGTATTTTTAGTAGTGATGGGGTTTCACCATGTTGGCCAGGCTGGTCTAAAACTCCTGACCTCAGGTGATCCGCCTGCCTCAGCCTCCCAAAGTGCTGGGATTACAGGCATGAGCCACTTGGCTCAGCCAAAGCATTTATCATAATTTGTACTTTGTATTCATTTATCTGTTTATTCATTTATTTATTGTCTGTTCTGAGAAGTAAGTGAGAATACCTTTGTTATTCATCATTGCATTACTAGAGCTTGGCATAGCATAGGGCATAGAGTAGGCCCATAATAAATACTTGCTGGGCTGGGCACGGTGGCTCACGCCTGTAATCACAGCCCTTTGGGAGGCCAAGTGGGGGCAGATCACGAGATCAAGAGATCGAGACCATCGTGGCCAACATGGTGAAACCCCTTCCCTACTAAAAATACAAAAATTAGCTGGGCGTGGTGGCACGCACCTGTAGTCCCAGCTACTCAGGAGACTGAGGCAGGAGAATTGCTTGAACCCAGGAGGTGGAGGTTGCAGGGAGATGAGATCGCACCACTGCACTCCAGCCTGGCAACAGAGCGAGACTCCATCTACAAAAAAAAAAAATACTTGCTGAATGAATACATGAATAAAAATAATTTATAAACTAATAGAATCCTATGGAATTTAGATCTGTTTAGAAACATTCTGCGTAGTGTGGTCTATTTTTTTTTTTTTTTTTTTTAGAGAAAGCGTAAGCGTAAATTATGTAAATGGTTCTCTACAACCTCATCCTATTAGGAGGGTAAGAACTTTCCCTAAATACCTTTGCCAGTAGTGAAGTGACAGGCTTCAGTGATGGGGGTAGGAGTAGTAGCCATGTTTCATGAGTCAGGACTGATAGAGGATTTGCACATGGGCCTGTGCACCTGATATGTCAAATAATCAGACCTCAGAAATAACAGTGGATCCCAAAGTCCCAAACCAGAAGGGTAGCCCAGAATGTCATTAAAACAAAGAGATCTGATTCAGAGATCAAGGCCAGAGTGTGAAACCATAAATGTAAGCGTACGTAAACCTAAGCATGTGAAGATTAAATGGGAGAAGGTCCCGTCTGATTAACTGAATGGGTTCTGTTATTTGCCACTTGGAGTGCTGGATTTGACTCAGGGTTCAGAGGCCATGTGTGCCATGGGCAAAGCCCACTTTTGGCATAAAAATTATTTAAATATTTAATTTTAGTTGATTTTATAGGTTGCATTATTGCTTATATATTTCATAAATATATTTTAAAATAATCAAATATTTAACAAATTTGGAAAAGCAACAATTCCTGTTTCCTTCTCTCTCTATAAAAAGTGGATAAACTTGAAAAATCCTTGGTAGACTATTACTTGGTAGCTCCCAGGATTCATGTTCTGTGTAGACAGAACTTTTCCATGACAGCTGGCTTGCACATGTGTCTTGCTTTGGCTAGCAGTACATTAGAAAGTGTGATGCAGGCAGAGGTTTGATAAGCACTTGTGTGCTGGGGCTTGTTCTTGTGGGATGTTGCTGGAGCCCTGAGCCGCCATTGTCAGGAGATCTGTCTACCTTATTGGCAATATCATGTGGACAGAGAGATGCTTAGCCAGCCCACAGAAATTTTAGCTTCCCAGCTGTGACTCCAGACATGTGAATGGAGAAGTCATATTGAATGTTCCAGCCACCACATTGATCAAATGACCTGCCCACCTGAGCCTATCCCAGATTGCAGAAGAATTATTTTAAGCCAGTTATTTTTTGTATGATGTGTTATGCAGCCAGACATATTTTGTTACTTTTTGACATGTATTTTAATAGTAAAATATTATAATACCGTTACATTTAACTCATAAGATTAGTTAGATAAATTGAGGTATGTTTTCCATGAAACTCAATATGTAGTAATATTAGGATTATAGTTTTAACAATTACTGGCATATCACCAGGAACTTTTAAGTGCAGAGAAAGCTAAAAATCACACAGCCAGTGGCCAAGTGGCTTACAGTTTACAGCCTAGCATGTAAGCCGTTATATCACGGAGTAATAAGAGCAGCGATTCAGTTAAGCTTGTGATACTATGACATTTTGATTAAAACCAGAATAGGTTCAATTCTGTTTCCATAGTTTCTAGCTCTGTGACCTTAAGAAAGTTACTTACTCTTATCCAACCTCAGTTTTCCCATTGTAAAAATAAGGATAAAGCATACTTACTAAATACCTGAAAATTAAAATAGTATAATACTAAGTCTGCAATACTTGGAAAATGCTTAATAAATGAATTCTTATTATTACTGTTCTTAATGATATAACAAGAGAGCAAGGAGAAAGGAGGAACAGGAAAAAATAAGTCACCACCTAAGAAATGACTGTTGACATTCTTTCTGCCTTGTCTTCTTTCCAACTTGTGTGTGTGTGTGTGTGTGTGTGTGTGCGCGCGTGCATGCGCGCGTGCGCATATACCCATATACTCTCACATAGCTATGCCTGGGCTTCATTTAAGAAGAAACACTGAGGCCAGGCAAAGTGGCTCATGCCTGTAATCCCAGCACTTTGGGAGGCTGAGGTGGGTGGATCACCTGAGGCCAGGAGTTCGAGACCAGCCTGACCAACATGGAGAAACTCCGCCTCTACTAAAAATACAAAAATTAGCTAGGTGTGGTGGTGGGTGCCTGTAATCCCAGCTACTTGGAAGGCTGAGGCAGGAGAATCACTTGAACCCGGAGGCAGAGGTTGCAGTGAGCTGAGATCGTGCCATTGCACTCCAGCCTGGGCAACAAGAGCAAAACTCCGTTTCAATAAAAAAAAGAAGAGGAAACACTGGACTATATGCATATTTATAAAGTGCATACAGATCCCCTGGGAATTTTGTTAACATGCAAATTTTATTTTGGTGGGTCTTGTATGGGGCCTGAGAGTCTGCATTTTTAAGCTCCCAGGTAATGCTGATACTGCTGGTGCATGGGTCCCACTGAGTAGAAATGGACTGTAGGATGACATGATGCTTGTGGCCCTTTGTATTTTGGTCTCAGTTCTCTTCAGCCATCATCTCTCCTCATTCTGCACCACATAATTGGTTCTGCAATCACCACATAATTTTTTCTTCATACATCATCAATAGTGCTTACTAGATTTAGACAAAGTGATTTGTTTAGATGTTTATATCCTCTACCTCCTCTTCAGTAAAGACCCCTTGGGTCTTACTTATCTTGATATCACTATTAATGTTCAATAAATGTTTTTTGAATGAATGTATGCATGCATGCCTCTATGATTCTCAGAACTGTAAAATGGAAACTTCATCTTTTGCCTTACTAATTGGAAGCAGCGAACATTCTCAGAATGAGCACTGTAAATGTCTGGATGCTGGATTTTGAAGGAATACCCAACTAGCACCCATAATTGGTAATGAGAAAAATGGGTTGTTCACAGATGTGAGGTAATTTAAGGAGGATAATATGGATTGGGCACAGTTAAGACTATATATTTTTATGAATATTAATGTATACCCATACTGTAATATGTAAGCAAATAATGCCAAACTAGGTAATATTTGAAATGAAGGGAATCATTTATATATGAAATGTTGAAGAAAACTGGAATTAAAAAGAAAATACATTTCCTTTGAAAAATTTGATTGTTTTTACATTTATATTTGTTCACTCTGGTTACATCTGTGCTTTTCAGACTTGAAATAACTTATATGCAATGGTCTGACCTTCATTTTATAGTCATACTGACTTGGAGATGTAATTCACTTATGTAATTTGTTTTAGTAAAAAAAGGAGGAGAGGTTAGGAGAAACTTGGCACGATGTTAACTGGAGAATAAATTGAATAAAGATTTTAAAATAATTTCACTTACCGTATTAGCCCAGCATTTGAATGTTTTCAGCAATAATGTATCTGTAACTAAATTAATTAATAAGTAATGCTGTCACATGAAAAATATCCCTTTCCCCATTAATTTTGAAAATCTGTAATGTTTTTACTTAACTGCAACTGACTTAACTTAACTTACTTAACTTAAAATGCAACTGACATTTTGCATTTTATTGTGTTTCTAGACTTAAAATGGTGACATTTAAAATAGCTTACTTTGAGTTAATACAAGCAAATTATTGAGTTTTTTTCTAGCACATTAGCCAAGGTTAGTGTGCCTGTTAATCCTAATTGTTATTACTATTATTTGTTTATTTAACAAACATTTGTCAAGTGCCTATTAAGTGGAGAGTTTCTGATAGTGAAATGATGTTTACATTTTACATATTCTACTATGAATTCTGGAACATTAGAAGAAGCAATTTGTGATTTCTAACTGTGACTGATAGCAAGTTATGAAACAAATATATTTTTCTCTTCATAAAATATAAAATTGCTAAAAAATAAAGTGCTACTTAATGATGGTTGGCTTGTTCAGAATAAATAAAGAGAAAACTAAATGGAAACTTGGACCAGTGTATTTTAGGTAAAATGGTATTTCTCAAATTGAATATCAGCTATTTCTTGACATTTTATGATGTAGTCAACCACTCTATTGCTAAGTATTCTTAAACATCGACTTCAGAAATCAAAATTATCATTCCTAAATAAGTAAAAGTTTATTGTACATGCTGCATGATATTTATTATATCCTACCATCGATAAACATAAATAGCACATGGCTGATTTTATCTCTTTATTTTTATTCTTTTCTTATTTATAATGATTGTTTTCTGTGAGCACAGGTGTGATTATAAATACAATTCAGGCATTTTGCCGTTTTATGGTCCTTATATAAATAAAATTTTCTAAAGTGTGTATCAAATAATTTTCCTTGCACTTTTACATCTAGCTTTTCATTTCATCTTTATATTCACCTCATGAATTATTGCTGCTGGTGCTTGTTATCTCTGTTTTGCTGAAGCACAGAGAGGTTACGCTTAGAGTCTGAAGAAGAGTAGTAAAATTGAGATTTCCTGATTGATTGGCCTCTGCACTTTGCACTATAGCATGCTGTTCCTCAGGGAAAATGTTGGGCTTAAATACTTGGTATTGCAAATGCATTTGTTGCTATAGGTGCAATTTAGTTTATTATGATAACTGGGGTCATTTCATCAGTTTGGATCATTTTGAGAGAAGCCCTTAGTGGAATTGCCATCACAATGCTCTTGAATGGTGGCCCTGACAATATTTCCCCAGACCTCAGTTTCGTTGTCCATAGCTGTTGCAAAAAGATTAAATACCTGTTAAATACAACAGAATACTGAAAATCAGAGCCAAGCAAAACTTCTAGGCTCTAGGAACCTTAATATACTAAGAGAAAAGTGTTTTAATATTTGTATTAGTAAACAAGACTACATTTAAGTGCATTCACTAAGTAGTTCTGTAAGGTACATTTAAAACTAACTCTGCTGAAATTGTAAAAAAAAAAATCTGTTCTTATCAAATTTTGAGATTGAAAATATTTAAAATAAAAGAAAAATCTGCATTTCATGTTTTAGAAATGTGCATAAAATGGATATAGTAATGATAATGATGCAGAAAGATTGGTTCTGCCACATATACTTCCATTAATTTGAGACTTGGGATCCATGAAGATACTTTAGGTCTCCAGCGTACCCATCACAGTAACTTGATTGCCTAAAATCTATGTGCCCCTCATGCCACAGGCTTGCATTAAATGAACTGTGAAGTTTAATTTGAAAACTATTTGCAAACCAATTCCTATAAAAATGGATTTATAGCTGGAAACCGAGTACTTCAGAAGTGCTGAGTAAATGTAGTTGTGTGCCTGATTTTAATTTTAGGCAATTGTATTTGTGATCTGCTCTTGTTTTGCTTTACTTTTTGAGAACCAGTGCCCCAAAGAAAGAAAAAATAAACCTACTTTTGTTTCTAGTTTATTTGCAAACCAGGTCAGACGCCCTTGATTAGCTCTCAGTTGGAGGATAATTTGAACCTTGACAGATTGAACCCAAACAGCAGGGTTTCTCTAGTCTGGCCAACAGATAGAAAAAATAAAGTAAAAGCTAATGCCAGTTCACAAGCTGTACAACAGGACTGAATAAATGTGCAACTGTTAATGAATAGCTATTTCAAATATTTACAAAAGGCCCAAGAAAAAAGAAAAGATTAGCATCTTAGGCAGCTGTTCTAAGGGAAACCTATTAGAAATAAACATGATAAATGATGCTCAAGAGCTAATATATCTGTCAAATATCAAATACACTCAGAAAAAAAACTGTTTCAGACACAAAAACTATTAAGACCCATTTGGGCATAAGAGCCATCTTGCTTTGTGGTTTACACCAGAAATTTATTCTTATACTTTTTAAAATTTATCTTTTCTAACTCCTCAAATATTCACACAGATATTATTTTACAGATTTTAAGGCCAGGAGTTAGTGGATAGAATCATTAGAGTTGTGTCCATCGTGATTAAATTGGTTAGAAATTTAAAAATTCACCCATGTGTCTTTGTATGAAGATACACCATAACTTGTTATTTTACGGGGTTCCTGACTACATAATAGTTTGACTGTGACAGTAACACCATTTTAGCATCAGGACGGTTTTGCTAGGAAATGCTACATAAAAATGGAAATTATTCCTGAAGCAGCGAGGGATTGGTTCCCAATGCAGATTACAGGTACAGTTACTATTGCCTAAACATGCTTGGACATGTTTCTACAAACCCATCCTTGTCTTTTTATATAAAATATTCCTTTTGCACTAAGCTAAAATTAAAGCAAGCTGTATGTGACATTTATTGGTGACTTATACAGTAGACCCTTAACATTCAGGACCAAGCATTCTGTTTTTAACTATTTCTTCATACCGTGAAAGTCTGTGGAGAGAAGCAATTTGAATTTCCTGAGGCTTCAATTTGTGTTTGAATAGCTTGTACTCTTAGGCTCAAATGGAGGATCAAGTCATTTATTTGATGAGGGAGCTTAGCCAGCATCTCGGCATTTGTATCTCAGTGTAATATAGAGTAAATCTCTTACAATTTTTTAGTTGTAAATTACCAGATCTTTGTTTCTGTATGGAAGATTGTCACCGAAAGGAAAGCTAATTATTAATGGCATGACCTTTGTGAATTTGGAGATTTATAGACAATAAGGATCTACTGTGTTAATATTTGAACAGTTGTCAAATAACGGTTATTTTGATTTTTGGTCATTTTCTAACATGTAAAAAGTGTGATTCACACCAGCATGAGTCATTTTGTGAATGTTCAAAAAACACGATTTATGTTTGAAGTGTATCGTGTTCAGTTTAGATGACTGAACTGCTTTATAGTTGCAGCCCAGACATCACTAATCTAACAGATTTCAGACGACTGTCAGATTAGGTGTGTTGTATTATTAGAGACACAGTATGTTTTCAGGCCAATTTCAGAACCAGTGGAGGAGTTTGGTCATTCTTAGCCCCTTCTGACAGGATAAGTGTTGTCACAGAGACCATGGTGAAGGCTGACACAGAATCATGGGACTTCATGGTCTGGTCCTAACCTGTTTCTCTGATTTTACATTTCATTCCTCTCCAAGGATGCACTTATTTCAGCAGTATCTTTGTTGAATAATTTCCCCTATCCCTAACCCAAACTAGCACTATCAAAAGCTTCATAATTACCTGTCACCTGGAATCGCCTTTAATCACCATTAATTCATTGTTGCTCACTAATGTAGAGGTTAGGAAATGGGAGGTAAATGGCCAAAGTACGTATTCCATATATAGTACATCTATATGGATGTATAGAGGGGGCATGAATAGGTATTAAGGGAATGAGGAAGAAAGCTAGGCAAATTTGTCCTTTCTTTTGAGCTACGTGTTACTTCTGTATAATAAACAAATCTTATATTGCGGTTTAATTAGTTCAGAGACACACATAGGCATACACTCATGCATGAGGAGAATTATAATTTGTGCATATAAAAAGGGAAATATCAACACTGTTGATATTTTTAATGGTGACTTTCCTATTTCTGCCGTGTAGAAAAGGTACTAAATATCACCCCCATTCTAAAAGTAGTTTTGGTGAAATCTGAAAGGGTCTGCTCCTTTTTTAGTTGATCCAGACTCCATTGATAACACTAAATTTTCATGCTGTTCTGCAGTTATAGACCCTTAAACTTAGACTCTCTTTGTACTTCATCATTGTAATTTACACACTAGGTTGGTACATTCTCTTCAAGACAGTTTGCCTTGTGCTTCCAGCTGCTCCCCAATAGCCATTGTGCTGAATAAGCACTTATTTCAGTATGTCCTTGATACAATTAATGCAGGCATCTGCAGAAGCGGCCGTGGCAGCAGCAGCTGCAGTGCCTTATGGAAGCCAACTTCTGCTTAGCATTGTGATAAAAGAAATAGTTTTGAGCTGGAAGCTAATGTTGGCTTATTTTTAGCATAAAAAGAGTTGCACCTGCCAGGGCTAGCGGAGGACCGAGGTTTGTTGATTACACGTTCTTGTTAGTGCCATTGTTATTGGTAAAATGGGCATGATGTCATCCTTATCAAACTGAATTGGCACCCTGCAGAGTGACAAATAATTTACCCTCTGCGGTTTTATCAGCATGGGCCGTGTGTTAGAAGTGACTAGAGTGCTGAGTTTTCACAGTTGAATGCTATGGAACTGCAGAGGTGTATGAAAATGAAAGGGATTGATACTTGTAATCAGTGCACATAGTAATGGCCAAGGTGTAATGAAACATAAGTGCACATTTAGGGTAATTATGCTGCTACCAGGTGGGGCCCTGGGGCTTTGCATGTATAGAAGCTGCTTGAGGTGGCGGATGTGCAGCGAGGAATACTGCAGCACCATCTGGTAGATTCTCATTTTCTCATTAATTCTTCTGTCCCCTAAGTCTGGGCTACATTGACTTTGAACAGCACTTCATCTGTTCAGTATCTCATCTCATTTTAGTTGGGAGTTGCTCTCAACAGTGGTATTGATATGATGTAATTCACAATCTCGGCCATGTGAGATATATTAAAACAAATCATCTAATTGATTTTCTTTTTAAGTAAAGCTAACTGTCCCTAGTAACATTCACATGACCATCTGATTCTAAACCATTTACCACTCTTGTAGTTATTTAAATTAAAATAGAGTATTTGTTTGATTTAAATTAGCCAAATGAACTTTGTTCTTCAGAATAATTTATAAATAAAAGTATAATTTAAAGAGTAAATAGTAAACCACATTGCATTTTCCTTGGTCATTTTTTAACGTGTGTGTTTTATTTCTACAGGCCGATGTAGTTTTTGTCTCAAATATAACAAAAACTTGTTTATTAGTGAAGCTTCAGAATAAGAAAGTACAGTGATGGTTGCCCAGCAGTATAAACATACTAAACTCCACTGAATGCACAGTTAAGAATGGGTAAAATGGCTAAAAACAAAAAAATAGTATTTGAGGTTATATATTGTGTAAGGAAGTAAAATTCTTAAAACTTGCCAAATTAATTTTATACGAATGCTTTCACATAACATTAAAAATAAGATTTCTAGCATAATATTAGTAGGTCATATATGGTTGATTTCCTTATCAATATGAATATTAATATCATGAAACATTTTTAAAGATCCATAGTATATATTCATATAACACAAATAGTCACAATGAAGTAGCATCTGATGGCTGATTTTTTAATGCTGTATAATTTATAACGGGGTGCAGTGTATCAAAATAAGACGATCTAGCATCTGTGATTGTAGGTAACTGACATTAGTGATTTCACGATTTCTTTAATAAGTACAAATATAACATTTATATGGTCTGAGTGCTTGAACACCTTTCTATAAATAATAGAAATGTCCCCATTAAAATGTTCCACTTAGAGAATCCCCGTGCATTTTGTCATTTTATTTCCATGAATGTTCCAAAAATGGAAAACGAGAGAAAAACCTATTCGCTTCTTCCAAACACTACATGAATGCTCCCTGTGATGCCCTTGAGGTCAGTGTTTGTCAGTGTAGTGCCACAAAGATGTGGAGAGCTGTTCTGTCAGTGACGCTGCTGCCATCTGAATTTCCCATCACTCATTTCCAACCTATTGTCCAGATACTGCAGGCTTCATGAGAGGATAGATTTATAAGCTACTTTAGTACTTTAAAATGCCCAACTAACTTTTTTCCCCATTTACTTTGAATAACCCTACTATAAGAGGTTAACAAAATGTATCTTATTTTTCTCCTATTATATTTCTAGAAACTCATTAGGGCAGCAACAAGAGTTGGTTGAAAACTCCTTTTAAGTTACATCTTGGGAATTTACTTGATTATTACTTAATATACACTGTGATGATAGAAAGCATACCAGCAGTACTTTCCTTCTTTCCTGACGTTTACTTGTTTGTTTTCAAAGCATTAAAATATCAGCATTTTTTTCCCCTCATACATTCAGTAGACATTTGCTCTGTCATCTGTTTCTTTACAGGCTGTGAGTATAGGAAGAGCCTGGGTAGTGAGATTACACTGTTGAATCCTGGCTTGGCCACTAGCCAGGTATATGACTTTGGGCAAATAATTTAACCTTTGAAATTGTCAATTGAAATTGAAAGTGTCAATTGTTTCAACATGTAAATAATAATTCTTTGCCTTGCATAAATTGTGAGAAATCATCATAATGATTGAGCATGAGCACTCAGTAGATGGTCAGGACTGTTATGGTGCACATTTACCAACAAAAGATCCATAGCATAAAAATGATCAAGAACCCATAAACTCATATTTAAATTATCTTCAAAGAAATCATTACCCAGGAAAAATCCAAGAGTAAGTTGTTATATTTACTAATACTGCGCATTCCTCAAGGGCAAGGGTGGCCTCATACCCACACAATTCCAAGGTACTTATTGCACACAAGTAATGCTAACTGATTGAGTGGCATTAACCAATTAGGAGAAGTACCTGTGGATCCCTTCTCATGATGATATTTTTAAATGTGTAAAATAAAATTCATAGGATTAAAAGAAAGCAAGTTATATTGAAATAGCGTTATCAGTACATGAACATTTTCGTGATATATGTGCTTCTTTATCAATAAGCTGAATAAGATGCAGCTGTGTGTCTAATAATTACCATAATTTCAAAGTATTGTATATTTCAAGATACCTGAAATAATTGTAATATGATATGCAAATTTTTATAATTTCTCATGGGTGAAATCACAGCCACTACAAATAGCTATAACTTGTTGCCTACATTCACAGTTGTAGAATTGGTAAATTTTGGCAAGAAATAAATGAAAACGAAGTTATGATTTTTTATTTTTATTTTTTGCACCCAAGTTCGGTCTCTTCCCACTCTCTTAGTCTGTTCAGTCTCAAATAGCTTTCTTAATGAAGATATAAACAACAACAACGACAAAAATTAATAAAAGCGCTTAGCAACACCAAGAAAATAATCCAAAAATGATTAGGCCAGAAGGTTTGTGCTGTCTTGGCCCTTGACCAAGACCTCTAGTTGATAGATCCTTCAAGGTTACCTCTCTCAGCCCCCTTCTAGAAGATTAACCATGTCTTAGAAATTGGTGCTAAGTAGTTCCTTCTTATTTGATGATGATTTTAAATGCATGTACTATTTTGTCTGAACTAGAATCCAAACTTTCCATGAAATTAACATCATTCCCTGTTGAATCTAGGTGTCATAGCTCTATAACCTTCAATTAGTTTACAAACAATATATATGTCTCCTTACCTGTGAACAAGGAATGCTTAAGAACACAATAGGCTTGGAATTTGCAACTAATTTGGCCCAATCTTGAGTAGATGGCCAAACTAAAATCTTGAAGTTATTTTGCCCCAACATAGAGCAACAGAAAAGACTCAAGCAAGTTCCTTAGAGATTGTAGCTGCATAGTTCTAGATATCTTTAATATAGAAGGGAGTAGCCACACAAAAAATATCATGTTTAAAAACATAACCAACAACTTGTATTATTGAACATATTTTAATTTAAAAATGTATATTTTAGAACAGCAATATGAATAAATGAAAACGTGTGTGAAAATAATTCATTATTACTCTGAATAAGCCTACTTTTCCTAATTATCCCTAAAAAGTTTATTTTTCTATTTCCTGATTATCTCTTTTAAAGGTTAATTTATTCTTATAGCTTTGATTATCAAAATTATACTCAGAACTAAGTAAACAACATCCTAGCAAGGGTCATCAGTGTGTAGAGAAAGATTAATTTGGGCTTTCAAGATGGTACAGGATTATAGAGGAGGTGACCTTAAGTTGGGTTTCAAAGAACACATTGGGTTTAGAAGATGATAGAGTTATATGGAAAAAGACATTCCCATTCTAGTCTGGAGAAATAATATGAGCAAATGCTGAAAGAAATGGGCATGCATATTTCAGTCAGAGAACACTCTGCAGTCTGAATAGCTGGGTGGATACAATTCTGGAGGGGTGAAATTATTGAAGCCTTGTGTCCTATTCGTTTTCCTTTTAATCAAAGAGAACATATTAACAAATCTACATGGTAGGAAGATAATTCAGTTGTAATATAAAGGATGGTGTGAAAAGGGAAGACATTGGAGACGAAAGATTATTAAGGACTGTTAAAATGTTCCAGGTGGGAGTCTTAAACTTTGGCAGTGGTTATTGGAAAGGATGGGTTAGAACCAAAGGATATTTTAGAATACAGATTTTGAAAAACTCGAGAATTTGGAAAAGAACGCAGTCACAAATGACCAAGGATTGTAGCCTGAGTGGTTGAAAAGGGTTGTGTCGGTAATGGAACTAGAGATCAAAAAAGGAGCAGCATGTCTTATAGGGAAGGGTAATTTTAATCTTGAGCTCAGTGTAGTGTTGTCTTTATTTGTAGACAAATACAGCTGCCCGTTCCAAATTCTTATCTGTGGCTCCGTTTAAAAATTCAAGTTCAAATGAAATTTTGAGAGTCAAAAATTGGAGTAAAAGCTGAAGAGGGGACATGAGGGGCAAGAGATGATGAATAAGACGATGTTTAAGAGATCATTGATGTGGCAGTTAGGAACTTAAGAGAGCATTTCAATAGATTAGTTGTTCTCAGTCTTTAGTGTGATAAGAATTACCTAGGAAGCTTATCAAAAATGTAGATTTGGGAACTCTTTGTCATAGGTCTCTAAGACTAGGGCAGGACCTGGAAGTATGCATTTATAAACTCTCAGGTGATGCAGATAATAAATAATGATTATGGTAGCTGATATATATTGAGGACTTCTTACATGCCAGACATTGTGATTATATTTATAATCACGATCACATAAGAACCTTACTGAGTATGTATGTAATTTTCCTATTTTACAAATGAGACACAGAATCACAAAGAAGTTAAACAATTTCCTCAAATTTACATAGCCAGGAAGCGGTAGTTCTGTGGCCCATGATCTTGATCACTCTGTTGTTCCCAATAAGTGCTGATAATCAGTATTTAGAATAGGGGCCATTAGAGATACTTGCAGGAGGGCCATTGTCCCACCCTCACATCCACCAAGGCCCCCACACATTGTATTTATTTCCGTGGGTGTTTTAAAAGGCAGTGCTTTGTTTCATGTTACAATTTTTGTAACCTTGCTTAATTTTTAATATTCTTTGAGCCTTAAGAAATCTAAGAGACCAGGTTTCTCTTAACTTCCAAGAGGTCCTAGTGAGTGATTGCAAAAAAATTGGATTGCAGTGCATCGAGTTGCTAAGGGGAGGTGAAAGAATCGAAGTAGCTAACATTTGGAGGTTAAGGAGTAGTAGGGCAGGTCCGGAATTCTGTGTGGAAGGTGCTTAAGGGTGGCAGTCCCAGATGGGGGAGCTGTGGGTTTAAAACAAGCAGCCTGATTTTACTTAGAATTATGTTTGTTTGTACTGGCTTGAAGGACGTTGGGCCTGGGATATAGAAGTAAATAATTGGGGTTAGAGGTAGAGTTAGGGGGAGATGGCTAAAGCCCCATAAAAGCTACTCTTTGGTGCCCTCAACCATGGAAACAATGGAAATGGTATGGTAGATGATGAAATTGTATGGAGGAAATGGCATTTTTACATTGGGGGCTATTTATCCATGTTTCTAGATGAAAAGGAACAAGGAAATAGCAAGTTTTTTTGTTTGTTTGTTTGTTTTTTTTTTGAGATGGAGTCTCGCCCTGTCGTCCAGGCTGGATGATAGAGTGGTGTGATCTCAGCCCATTGCAACTTCCGCCTCCTGGGTTCAGGCGATTCTCCTGCCTCAGCCTTCCAAGTAGGTGTGATTACAGGTGCCCGCCA
Source organism: Homo sapiens (assembly GCF_000001405.40). NCBI lineage: Eukaryota > Metazoa > Chordata > Mammalia > Primates > Hominidae > Homo > Homo sapiens. The sequence continues at coordinate 20,874,457 of NC_000006.12, forward strand.
CCACGCCTGGCTAATTTTTTTTTGTATTTTTATTTTATTTATTTGTTTGTTTGTTTGTTTATTTTTAAACTTTTTTTGAGATGGAGTCTCACTCTGTAACCGAGGCTGGAGTGCAGTGGTGTGATCTTGGCTCACTGCAACCTCCGCCTCCAGGTTCAAGCGATTCTCTTGCGGAGCTGGGATTACAGGCATAAGCCACCACACCCAGCTGATTTTCTGTATTTTTAGTGGAGATGGGGTTTCACCATGTTGGTCAGGCTGGTCTCGAACTCCGGGCATCAAGTGATCCGCCTACCTTGGCCTCCCAAAGTGCTGGGATTACAGACATGAGCCACCGTGCCAGGCCACAATATTTTAATATTCCTGAAAAGAGGCATCTTAATAGATGAGAGGGCGACTTCAGAAGAGATGGGAAAGGAAGGTAATGTTAGACAAACAAAAGATTAGGGACATTCCTACTCTGATACAAGAAGGAGCAAAGAGAGGTTGTGTCAAAAAACTTGAGATATTTTGAACTGATGGGAGGAGGGTTAAAGAGTTTCAGAATAAATAATGTCTAGCAGGCCGGCGCGGTGGCTCACGCCTGTAATCCCAGCACTTTGGGAGGCCGAGGCGGGTGGATCATGAGGTCAGGAGATCGAGACCATCCTGTCTAACAAGGTGAAACCCCGTCTCTACTAAAAATACAAAAAATTAGCCGGGCGCGGTGGCAGGCGCCTGTAGTCCCAGCTACTCGGGAGGCTGAGGCAGGAGAATGGCGTGAACCCGGGAAGCGGAGCTTGCAGTGAGCCGAGATTGCGCCACTGCAGTCCGCAGTCCGGCCTGGGCGACAGAGCGAGACTCCGTCTCAAAAAAAAAAAAAAAAAAAAAAAAAAGTCTAGCCCTTTTGATAAGTAGGTGGCAAGACATGCTTCCAAGTAAGCACTGAGCATTTGAAGAGATGGTTACATATGACTTGATCATTCTGTATCTTTGTAGACCTTTGAATTGATAAAAGAAAAAAAATAGTGCTTCCCACTCTTATAAAATGTTTCAGTATGTACAGTTATAATATTTCATGTTCACCATTGTCTCTGAGATGTGGGGAGGGGGGTTGGAAGATTGATTCCAGGAGAGGGCAGCAGCGCTGTAAGCATTTAATTTGGGTATATCCTTTCTCTGTTCCCTTGGCTTTTAAAAATTAAGTAATAATGTGTTCTCTGTCTCTATTACCTTCACTAATGAAAAAAAATAGGGTCTGTAAAGCTATTTAATAATCTTACAATTTATTAATTTATTAGTTTCACATTACTAAACATGGCAATTGTGGAAAATACAAAGCTACTGAAAATTATCCTCATATATAATAGATCTATTTGAAACATTTTGGTATGATTTAGACCCAGTTTTGTCCTGACTCTGTGTGTGATTTGTATAATAAGAAATTGAAAAAAAGGCTTACTAGCTTAAATAGCTTTAAAAATATAAACTGTGGGAACATAGGACTAATTGGGCTTGTTGAAAGAATTTTTAACAGATAAACATTAATTTTTATTAAGCACAGACCGAATTGAAAAAGGCTAAACTTACATGTTAAAATAATTTGGCAATCTAACTGCAGATTCAAAATTTCTGAAAATGTAAATAAATTAAAATGTAGGCAGTGTTTTACCATCTGTAATGAATTAGCATTCCATTTTTACCAGCTGCTGCTGGGGTTTTTGAAGCTGACTCAGGATCTGAGCACCCTGGTGGGTTTCTGCTGATAAATATAAGAACCTGTAGTTTAAAACTGGCAGAGCTGGACTGGGGATTAGAAAAGTCACTGCAACTTTAAGCAGCAGATTCTTTCACTTGGGGCAGGATGTAAGGGTGTACTTTCTCTAAAGATGCCGTCAGTACAAATGCGGAGGATAGATTACTACTGCTTGCTGCTAACATGACAGGACATTCAGGGTGCCACTACTGTTGAGTGTGGAGTCAGCCTTGGAGGAAAAAATCCCCAAAACCTTCTTTGGCAATTGTCTCTTATGTAGTGGACATATTTTAGGCAAAATGACAGCATTTGTGCATTGATGGGATTAATGCTTCATTCTAAGGATTAAATTCGTTAATATTTTTTCTTTGTGTACTTTTTTATTCCTAAAACTTTTATTTTGAGCATGCAGGAGACAGGGATTTCTTGGAAAGAATATGAATTTTGAAGTCAGGCAGACCTAGATATGAATGCAAATTCTGTTGCTTCTTAGCCACTTGTAACAGGCAGGCGTAGAATTCAGTGTGTAATCATTAAACATTTTGTTTTCTTTCCTCACATTGGTGAGGATAGTTTTCTTTTGAGTATTTGCTTTAGTGCCTTTAATTAATGAAAAACAACTAGTTAAAAGGTTGGCTAATTCCTTTATGATATACACACACACACGTACACACAGAGCTACCTATCTCCTCTCTTACTTTTTATTGTCAGTCTTTTTATTACAAATTAGTCTTCTACATATTATAAATTTAAATGCTAACTAGAACCAGCTAAAAAGTCAATACACTTGTTCAATCAACACTTTTATTTAACACATAGTATGTGCTGTGTATTGGAAGGTCTGGTGATGATGGTTCCAATTCTGGCCTTCTGAAGCTTATATTCTAAATGGAGGATGCTGTAGACTGCTGTGAATACGGTGGAATCAATAAGCATTTACATTGTGATGGGAAAGACTTTTGTGGTTAGGGAAGCATTCCTGCAGGCAGTGTTGTAAAATGTGGAGCACTTTACAAAAAATATGTTCATAATAGCAATTACGACTGAGGGATATGAAAACACCTCAACTGTTAAATAAGCATGGTGATTCTGACCTGGACAGATTTGTGAACGTCATCTACAAGTCTTTGCCATCTAATATCTGATGAGATTTAGGGATTTTTAGCCTAATATCTTGAAAGTATCCTTGGAGTTTTCAGATCCTCACTTTGTCCAAACTTGCTGTCCTGTTCCTGTTTTCACAGAAACTTCAGGTGTCCTCACAGGCTGACTAGGACCAAGGTATACCTATCTGACCATTATGCGGGCCAGTCTGAGGTCACTGCCCTGGGGCTGAGACCTGTGTCACTGATTTACTAGTGACTCACTGTGTATTACCGCAGCTGGCCCTTGACTCTGCTTCCTCAGCTGTAGTTCAGTATGAACTCAGAAAACTTGTTTGTGACCCGAAATTAGTTCTGTGTTCATTTCTTACTCTTACTCATGCACACATGACTCATGACTTAGTCCTTGTTTTAAACTTGTGCATTAGGGTAGCTCTGAATTATGTCCTCCTTCTCCTAGAAGCAGAACCTCTTATCCTGTTTTGACTTGGCCCTTGACTGCTTAAAATGTCTGTAGTTGGCTTTGTATGGTTATAATCCTAGCCCCTTAGGCTGGGAATTTTGGCCATCTGTGGTCTCTATTTCTAGCCTTAGCCCTAACCACCCCACTTCCTGCTGCTCCTGTCAAATGCACTTACTTATACTTTTCCGTATGTGTCTCAAGCTTTCCTACAAAGATGATGGGTCTTTGCTGACCCTATTTCTTTCGTTCAGGATGAGCTCAAAATTACCACATTAGTTTTGAAACTTGCTCTAATTTCTCCTACCAGGAGGAATTTCTTCCTTCTTGGCAATACTGTGGTATTTAATGGTATTTTACTGTTTTGCACTTTGTATTATACTTATTTGTGTTATGTCTTGTCGCCCCTACTAGACTGTAAGATGATTTTATCTGTATACCATTAAGTGTCTCATACATACAGATTCTCAGTAAAATTTTGCTGGTGGAATGGAGTGGAGACCCAGGCTTTAGATAGTAACTGGGAACAACAAGATCGAATTTCTTATCTGTTCGTACCTAATAAGCTCCTCTCTCCCCTCGCCCATAGGCTTTGCTTACCTGTCACAGAACCTACCCTGCCTTTTTTCCTACATGCGGTATTATTGTCCTGAACTCCTTCAAGTGTTAAGTAAATCAGTAAATCTTTAAAGCCAACCTTAGCGGCCAGGTGCAGTGGCTCACGCCTGTAATCCCAGCACTTTGAGGGGCGGAGGCCGGCGGATCACTTGAGATCAGGAGTTCAAGACCAGCCTGGCCAACATGGTGAAACCCCGTGTCTACCAAAAACATAAAAAATTAGCCGGGTGTGGTGATGCATGCCTGTAATCCCAGCTATTCAGGAGGCTGAGGCGCTTGAACTCGGGGAGTGGGCGGAGGTTGCAGTGAGCTGAGATCATGCCACTGCACTCCAGCCTGGGTGACAGAGCAAGACTCTGTCTCATAAATAAATAAATAGCTAACCATAGCAACTCTATCAGATTTTAAAGAAATATCCCCCTTCGGCAGGGCATGGTGGCTCACGCCTGTAATCCCAGCACTTTGCGAGGCCAACGTGGGCGGATCACCTGAGGTCAGGGGTTCAAGACCAGCCTGGCCAACATGGTGAAACCCTCTCTATACTAAAAATACAAAAATTAGTCAGGCATGGTGGCGGGCGCCTGTAATCCCAGCTACTCGGGAGGCTGAGGCAGGAGAATCACTTGAACCTGAGAGGCAGAGGTTGCAGTGAGCCGAGATCGCACCATTGCACTCCAGCCTGGGTGACAGAGCAAGATTCTATCTCATTAAAAAAAAAAGAAAAAAATAATAAATAAATAAAAGAAGTATTCCCCATTGGTGATTGTACCAAAAGGATATAGAAATACCTGCCTAGTCCCTAGGACTGATGTACAGGTGGACTCTTTGCATTTCTGTAGAGAACCCACAAAACCTCTAGTACCAGTGACAAAGTCAGGCTGCCCCAAAGGGGCAAAGCCACTTTGGTAGAGTGAGGAAGAGGCAGTAAGAGTCTCTAGTTAGTTTTGAAGTCTTGGTCTTCCCTGGTCAGGAGGAGTAGAGTACACCTGCTGGTTTCAGCACTGCTCTCAGATGGTTAAAAAACCACTCTCAATATATAATATCTCCCGCCTGTTATGTAATAGTCACTTCAACAGTTTTTATGTTGTTTAACTTTTCAATACAACCTTTTTGGATTATCATTATTTCCACTTTTATAGATGAAGAACTAGAGATTCAAAGATTCATTCAGGAAGCAAATATGTGTTGTATCCTGGGGTCAGGCTGACTGTTGTCTCTGCCTGCTAGTCTGGAATTTAAACCTTGTTCTCCTTTGTCACTTGATATTGGCAATTTCTTTCCTGTCCTTGCTGGATTTCCTGCATTTCTCACTTGTGCTCTCCTCTGACTTTTCTGACCTCTTTGGTTCTAAAAATTATCCCTGATTCCCACACTTCTGGTTCCTATTCTGTGTGGTGACCCCTGCTGTTTGCTGCCCACACCTCGGAGTGATGCTGAGTGAGGGAATCCAATCTCCCAAACAGGAAGCTTACCAAGTTTTGAAAGCAGAGCCTTTTCTTGCAGTCAATTAAAGGTTCACTCTGACTGTCCATTTTTAAACTATGGTATGAATTTTGTCTGTCATTTTCTTGCCCTTGTCTTCCTGTGAGAAGACTGTGTTTTATTTATCAAGATAGTAGTTTTAATTCTCTTAGAGGTTGGGGCTTTAATAATTGAGTGATTTAAAAACTTTTTATGAACAAATTCTGTGTCTTCCATATCACACCTAGAGAAGCAGTGAGGGACATATTTTACTCTTTAGAATTATATAAGTAATTTCCTCATGCATCAATAGAAAGAAATTAGCTACAGGCTTCGGAATGCTTAGAGTGGGAATGCGAGATAATCGTAAGTAAGCTCTACATAGCTGGTATTACTTTTTTTATTCCATCAAAGAAACTACATTTTTTTTTGCTTTTTTTCGAGATGGAATCTCTCTCTGTTTCCAGGCTGGAGTGCAGTGGCACAATCTTGGCTCACTGAAACCTCCACCTCCTGGGTTCAAGCTATTCCCCAGCCTCAGCTTCCTGAGTAGCTGGGACTACAGGCACGCACCACCATGCCCAGCTAATTTTTGTATTTTTTAGTAGGGACAGGGTTTCACCATGTTGGCCAGGAGTGTCTTGATCTTCTGACCTCATGATCCGCCCACCTCGGCCTCCCAAAGTGCTGAGATTACAGGCGTGAGCCACCGCGCCTGGCCAAGAAACTACATTCTTTAAGTTATTATAATATTTAAATATATAAGTAAAATGCCACCATATATCATAATACTGTTCTTTTTTGTGATTTATAAATTTCTCTATGGCCTGTATCTTATACTGTATACATAAAGCCTCCTGAATTCATATATAATGTGGGTCTGAGAACATATTTGACAGTTGATTATCTAAAAGTCAGATAATTGACATGTTATAAAGGGGTGGGGAGGGTTGCTAAATAAGTTTCCATTAGGCTAAGAAAAGATTATAAAATTTCTTATTATTGGTTCATGCACAGTTAAGCAACTCAGCAAGTGAAAGAAAATTTACAGATGGCTTGAATGTGTTGGGTTTTTGCTTTGTTTTTGGCAAGGGACCATCGGCTCTGAAGATTAGGGAAGTCATCCAGGCATCTTCCTTTCCCACAAACCCACCAACTCTGTTACCTGGAGCTTAATACATATGTGATCTAATACAGTATCCTTCCATGTGATTAAGCTTTTCTCCCATTACTATTCATTAAACAGACTATTGACATCTCTAAGTGTGATCCCCAAACCAACAGCATTGGCATCTTGGTTCTCAAACATTAAGGAACAGCACAGTCGCTTGGCTGGCTTATTAAAAACAAAGATTGCTGGACCCCATCCTCAGAGTCTGCGATTCAGTAGGTCTGGAGTAGAGCTTGAGAATTTGCATTTCTGTCAGGTTCCAAGATAATATGATGTTGCTGGTCTGGGACTACACTCCAAGAAACACTGAAAACAGACTTTGCTTTCACCTTTGATTTATGAATCCCTCTTTGCCATATATAATCATAGCATATATTTTGTATATGTGATATATAAATTGATAAACTTTCATTTTTCATTCTGAATTCTGTATGCTTGTTATTGAGAACTGATTGTCATCTCACTCTTCTGTGAATGGACTCTTTCTGTTTTCTAACTTGATCTCTTTTACATGGGCAAGCTATTGACTTGGCTATATTTAACTAGGCATTTGATTGACCTTTCCTATTAATTATTAATCTTGTAGCTTTTTAGTTGATTCTTTGGGCTTTCTAGGTAAGCAACCATATTATTTCTATTTTTCCTCTTTGAGCGATTCCTAAAATGGCTGTCTGTGAAATGTCTTTCATATTTGTTAACATGTTGCTTTTCTTTCTCTTCCTTTTTTTATTATGGTTGTGCATCTCATGTCTATACTCTTTGTTTTTATGCAGTCTCAAATCTCCTGTTTGTATCTCCAAAGTAGTTAATAATTTTTATTCATATACTTTAAAATGCACTCTTTTTGGAAATTGTAACCACTGCTGCAATCAAGATACAGAACAGTTACACCACGTACCAAAATTTTCTCCTTTTCCCTTTCTAGTCAAACTCTCTTATCGCTGCAAGTACTGGCAACCACAAATTTCTTTTCTTTTCCTTTGGTTTTGCCCTTTCCAGATATCATATAAATGGAATCATGCGATATGTAGCCTGATGGGATTCAGAACACACCACCCCAAAATATGGCACATTGCATATTGAATATTTTAAGCTGAAGGAATTTGAGAAATGGCAGGTACAGGAAGGACTCTCTGACCTTCCTCTGAAGAAGGTCATAAGACATGTCATGTGAGAGGTGCCCTCCCTGCACCTGGAGGGGGAAGGGGCATTCCTGTCTCCAAAGGCGGAAGAACGCTGAGGATTCCAAATGAACTCCACAGGCCTTGCTAAGTTTCCCCTGGTTTGCTAACTCCCTTTTAGCTCATACGCTTTGTCCTGTCACATTTTTTCACAACCTCCCACTCTTTATCAAACCTAGCATAAAAACACCCAGGTTAACTGTTTCCTTCCATCTGCGTTTCCATATGAAGACTCCCATATCATATAACACTTCTATTAAACAGATGTGTTTACTTTTCTCTTTTAAATCTTTTGTTAGTCTAATTTACAGGGCCCAGCCAGAGAACCTGGGAGGGTAAGCGAAAAGAATATTTTTTTCTTCCCCTACAAGCTCTTTTAGTCTGGCTTCTTTCATTTAGCAATATTTTTGGTTTCATCCATATTGTTTCATGTTCATTCCTTTTTATTGCTGTGTGCTATTCCATTGTATGAATGTACCACAGTGTTTTTAATCTGTTAATCACTTGAAGCATCCTAGGTTGCTTGCAGTTTGGGGCAATTATGAATAAAGCCACTATAAACATTCACATACGGATTCTTATGAGAACATGTCCAGTGTCATTTCTGATTTTCCTACTAGGTTTTTCATTTTCATGTAGTCTTTACTTATTGTGATATGTTCTTTTCTCATAATGGCTTCCTCTGATTCCTAGAGTCAGTGTCCTTTTGTGTGTTGTTAAGAACAAGGTTCAAAACTGAAAAATTCTTTTATTTTTTGATTTACATTTCATACTGACAAGAATTAGTCTTTCTTCAGCACTTTGGTTTTTTTTTCTCTTTTGCTCCTGAAACTTTTGTATGCTCTGAGATAATTTTTCTTTGCTCATCCGTAAGAGAGAAACCTACAGGCACTTTTGAGGTATAGATAAAATTAGGTACTTTAAGTACTGCTATGAGTTCTGACAGATTGGTACAGGGGCCCACCTATAATTCTTCCAAGTGGACCTTCCCAGATCTGTATCAAAGGAAGTAACAAAACTCAACTTTCAGTAGGTGGCTGGATAGGAAATGGAGCAGTGGGGAATTCAAGCTCCATGCTGGTCACCTTCTCTCATACGTTGTCTTCCCAGTTGTTGCATTTTAGTTGACAAGTGTAACTAGTTCCAGGCAGATGCCCCTTCCCCACATATGGTAGGCAAAACCTAAAAATGGTTCCCAATATTCTTACCCTCTGCTGCACCTACCTTGTGTTGTTCCCTCCCCCTGAATGTGGGTGGAACCTGTGGATATAATGGGCTGTTCCTCCAGTATTGTATAGCCACTCATGGCTGTTGAACATTTAAATATGTCTAGAATGACTGCGCAACCGAATGTTTCATTTATTTAATTAATTTAAAACTAAATAGCCGCATGTGGCTAGTGGCAGCTGTAGTTAATAATGTGCTTGGTGAAGTATTTGGGGTGAAGTGTCTTGATATATGCATCTTTCTTTGAAATGCATAAGAAAGTACAATGGATAGTTGTATGGTAAAGCAAATAAAGTACAATATTATCATAGAATCTAGGTGGTAGGTATATGGAGTTCACTGTAAAATTATTTCAACTTTTTCTGTATATTTAAAATGTTTTACAATAACATGACAGGAGGAAACCTTTTGATGGACTTTAGTGAAAAAAGTAATTGCACCCAGTAAAGAAAAATCTAGGACCAGATGGCATCACTGGTGAATTCTAGCAAACATTTAAAGAATTAACACCAGTCCCTCTGAAATTCATCTAAAAAATAGAAGAGGAGAGAACACTTTCTAACTCATTCTCTGAGGTCAGCATACCAAAGCTAGATAAAGATATCAGAAGAAAAGAAAATTATAGACTGATAGCCCTTATGAATATAGATGCAAAAATATTAACAAATCAAATTCAACAGCATATTAAAAGGATTTTACACCCATCATCAAGTGGGATTTATCCAAGGAATACAAAGATGCTTCCACATAACAAAAATCAATCAATATAATATAGCACATTAATGTAACAAAAGCAAAAACAGAGTGATCTCAATGAATGAAGAAAAGGTATTTGCCAAAATCCAACACTTCATCTCAGGAATGATGAGGTTGATGGAAAAAACAAACAAACAAACAAACAAAAACACTAAAAAAACCCTATAAGTAGAAGAGAACATTCTCAACATGTTAAAGGACATTTCTGAAAAACTCACGATTAGCATCATGCTCATTGGTGAAAGACTAAATAAAAGCTTTCCCCCTAAGATCAGGAGCAAGACAAGGTGCCTGCTTTCTCCATTGCTATTCAACGTTGTACTCGAATTCCCAATCAGAGCAGTGAAACAGGAAAAAGAACTAAAATGCATTCAAATTGGAAAAGAAGTAAAACAGTCTCTCTTCACAGATAATATGATCCTAAATATAGAAGATCCCAAAGAATCTACAAGAAAACTACTAGAACTATGAAATGAATGTAGCAAAGCTGTAGGTTATAAGATCACCATGCAAAAATCAGTTGTGTTTCTCTTCATCAGCAATGAACAATCATAATCAATCTGAAAAGGAAATTAAGAAAGTGATTCCGTTTACAATAGCATCTGAAAGAATAAAATACCTAGGAATAAATTTAACCAAGGAGGTGAAAAATTTGTACACTAAAAAATATGAAACAAGTTGTGTGCTGTAGCACATGCATGTAGTCCCAGCTACTCAGGAGGCTGAAGCAGGAGAATCACTTGAGCCTGAAAGTTTGAGACCACCCTGAGCAACATAGCAAGGCCCCATCTCTTAAAAAAGAAAAAAAAAAGTGATAAATTATGAAACACTACTGAAAGAAATGAAAGAAGACCTAAATAAAAGTAAAGACATTCATGTTCAGGGATAGGAATACTTAATATTGTTAAGATGTCAGTACTACCCAAAGTAATCTACAGATTCGGCACAATCCCTAGCAAAATTCCAACAGCACTCCCCTTTTTTTTGCAGTTCTAGAAAAGCTATTCCTCAAATTCACGTACAGTTGCAAGGGCCCTGAGTAACCAAAGCAGTCTTTAAATGGGACAAAATTAGAGGACTCACACTCCCCAATTTCAGAACCTACTACAGAGTTATGGTAATCAAACCACCATGGTACTTGCATAGGAATAGACATATAGATCAATGGAATGGGACTGAATCCAGAAGTAAACCCATACAACTGTAGCCAATTGATTTTTGACCAGGGAACCACATTTATTCAGTGGGGAAAGATAGTTCACCAAATGGTGCTAGATTTCTGCATACAAAAGAACAAAGTTAGACCCCTACCTTACACCATGTACAAAAATCAACTCAAAATTGAAAAACAACTTAAATATAAGAGTTAAAATACCAAGACTCTTAGAAGAAAACACAGGGGTAAATCTTTATGACCTTGGATTTAACAGTGGATTCTTAGATGTGTCACCAAAAGCACAAGCAACAAAAGAAAAAATAGATAAATTTGACTTCATCAGACTTTAAACTGTCATGTATCAAAGGATATTATCAAGAAACTGAAAAGACAATCTACAGACTGGGAGACGATATTTACAAATTATAAATTTGATACAGGTTTAATTTCTAGAATACGTAAAGAACTAAAACTCAGCCTGATGCAATGACTCACACCTGTAATCCTAGCACTTTGGGAGGCCGAGGTGCATCAGATCACTTGAGGTCAGAAGTTGGAGACCAGCTTGGCCAATATGGTGAAACCCCATCTCTATTAAAAATAAAAAAACAAAAATTACCCAGAAATCGCTTGAACCAGGAGGGAGAGGTTGCAGTGAGCCAAGATCATGCCACGACACTCCAGCCTGAGAAACAGAGCAAGACGCCATCCCCGTCCCCCACAAAAAAGAACTACGACTCAACAAGCAGACAACCCAGTTAGAAAATGGACAAAAGATTTGAATAGATATTTTTCAAAAGAAGATAAGCACATGAAAAGATGCTGAAAACATTCTTAGTCTTTAGTGTGATGCAAATCAAAACCCTTCAGACTTGCTAGGATGGCTTTAATTAAAAACAAAATAGAAACTAAGTGTTGGTGAGGATGTGGAGAAATTGGTCCTCATACATTGCTGTGAATAGTAGCAATGTAAAATGGTGCAGCTACTGTGGAAAACAATGTGACTGTTTCTTAAAAAGTTGAACATAGAATTAATATATGACCCAGCAATTTCTCTCCTAGGTATATGCTCCAAAGAATTAAAAACAGGGACTCAACCTGATACACATACACAAATGTTCATTGCAGCGATATTTGCAATAGCCCAAAGGTGGAAACAACCCAAATGACCATTAACACATGAATGGATAAACAAAATATTGGATGTATGCAAAATTTAATATTATTCAATCATAAAATGGAATGATGTTCGGATATATGCTACAGCATGATGAACCCTGAAAGCATTATGCTAAATGAAATAAGCCAGACACAAAAGGACAAATATTGTATGATCCCATTTATGTGAAATATCTAGGGTGGGCAAATTCATGGAGACAAGAAGTAGATTAGAGGTTACCAGGGAAAGGGTGAAGGGAGGAATGGGGAGTTATTGCTTAATGGATACAGAGTTTCTGTTTCAGGTGATGAAAAAGCTTTGGAAATGGTGGTGATAGTTACACAACATTGTGAATGTAATAAATGTCCCAGAAATGTAAAACAAAATTAAAGAGCTCTGTTAAAATGAATATTCAAGACATGGACTGGGAGAAAATATTCACATTTATTTGGTAAAGGGTTGATATCCAGCATATAAATATTTTTTACAGCTCAATAATGAAGACAAACAACTGAATTTTAAACTGGACAAAAGATTTGAACAGATACTTCAAAAAAGAAGATATGAATGACCAAAATGTACATTAAAAGTGTTCAACAACATGAGTCACAAGGGAAATGCAAATGTGAATTACAATAAGATACTCCTATACATGAAGTACAACCACCAGAATTTAAAAGATTAACAGCACTAAATGTTGGCAAGGTTGTTGAACAACTGGAATTCTCATACATTGTTGCTGGGAATGGGGGTTTCCACCCACTTTGGAAAAATGTCTGGCAGTTTCTTATTGAAGTCAACATGCACTTATCCTGTAATCCAGCAATTCTACTCATTTACTAAGAGAAATTTGTCAAAATTAGTCACAAAAAAGCTTGTATAAGCATGTTTATAGCTATTTTAGTCGTAACCACCAAAAATTAGAAACAGCCCATGTGTTTATCTGTAGAAGAATGGACAAAATGGAATTTATCCACAAAATGAACTATTATTTAGTGACTAAAAGGAACGAACTACCAATTTAAGCAATAACAGGAATTTAACAATATTATGCTGAGTAAAAGAAGCATTACACAAAAAAAGTGCAAGATATGATTTCATTCACAAGAATCTCTGGAAATAATCTGTGGTAGAAAAAAAACTGAATACTTGTAGGCACGAGGGTAGGGAGAGATTGTCTGATGAGGTGCATAGGATTACTTTCTAGAGGAAAGTATTTTATATCTTTAGAGTAGTTTGGGCTACACAGTAGATGATTGTCAGAACTCACTCGCTTAAGATCTTTCCTTTTTTTCTTTTTTTGTAGTTGTTGTTTTAAGAGACAGGGTCTGTTTCTGTCACACAGGCCAGAGTAGAGTGGTATGATCATAGCTCACTGCAGCCTTGAACTCCTGAGCTCAAGTGATCCTCCTGCCTCAGCCTCCCAAATAGCCGTGGACCACCATGCCTGGCTAATCTTTAAAAAAAAAATTTTTTTTGGTGGAACATAATTTCTTTTTTTTTAAATTATACTTTAAGTTCTAGGGTACATGTGCACAATGTGCAGGTTTGTTACTCATGTATACGTGTGCCATGTTGGTTTGCTGCACCCGTTAACTTGTCATTTACGTTAGGTATTTCTCCTAATGCTGTCCCTCCCGCATTCCCGCACCCCATGACAGGCCCTGGTGTGTGATGTTCCCAGCCCTGTGTCCAGGTGTTCTCATTGTTCAATTCCCACCTATGAGTGAGAATATGCAGTGTTTGGTTTTCTATCCTTGCGATAGTTTGCTCAGAATGATGGTTTCCAGCTTCATCCATGTCCCTACAAGGGACATGAACTCATCCTTTTTTATGGCTGCATAGTATTCCATGGTGTATATGTGCCACATCTTCTTTTTTTTTTTTAATTTTATTATTATTATACTTTAAGTTTTAGGGTACATGTGCACAATGTGCAGGTTTGTTACATATGTATACATGTGCCATGTTGGTGTACTGAACCCATTAACTCGTCATTTAGCATTAGGTATATCTCCTAATGCTATCCCTCCCCCCTCCCCCCACCCCACAACAGTCCCCGGTGTGTGTTGTTCCCCTTCCTGTGTCCATGTGTTCTCATTGTTCAATTCCCGCCTATGAGTGAGAACATGAGGTGTTTGGTTTTTTGTCCTTGTGATAGTTTGCTGAGAATGATGATTTCCAGTTTCATCCATGTCCCTACAAAGGACATGAACTCATCATTTTTTATGGCTGCGTAGAATTCCATGGTGTATATGTGCCACCTTTTCTTAATCCAGTCTGTCGTTGTTGGACGTTTGGGTTGGTTCCAAGTCTTTGCTACTGTGAATAGTGCCGCAGTAAACATACGTGTGCATGAGTCTTTATAGCAGTATGATTTATAGTCCTTTGGGTATATACCCAGTAATGGGATGGCTGGGTCAAATGGTATTTCTAGTTCTAGATCCCTGAGGAATCGTCACACTGACTTGCACAATGGTTGAACTAGTTTACAGTCCCACCAACAGTGTCAAAGTGTTCCTATTTCTCCACATCCTCTCCAGCACCTGTTGTTTCCTGACTTTTTAATGATCGCCATTCTAACTGGTGTGAGATGGTATCTCATTGTGGTTTTGGTTTGCATTTCTCTGATGGCCAGTGATGATGAGCATTTTTTCATGTGTTTTTTGGCTGCATAAATGTCTTCTTTTGAGAAGTGTCTGTTCATATCCTTTGCCCACTTTTTGATGGGGTTGTTTGTTTTTTTCTTGTAAATTTGTTTGAGTTCATTGTAGATTCTGGATATTAGCCCTTTGTCAGATGAGTAGGTTGCGAAAATTTTCTCCCATGTTGTAGGTTGCCTATTCACTCTGATGGTAGTTTCTTCTGCTGTGCAGAAGCTCTTTAGTTTAATTAGGTCCCATTTGTCAATTTTGGCTTTTGTTGCCATTGCTTTTGGTGTTTTAGACATGAAGTCCTTGCCCATGCCTATGTCCTGAATGGTATTGCCTAGGTTTTCTTCTAGGGTTTTTATGGTTTTAGGTCTAACATGTAAGTCTTTAATCCATCTTGAATTAATTTTTGTATAAGGTGTAAGGAAGGGATCCAGTTTCAGCTTTCTACATATGGCCAGCACCATTTATTTAATAGGGAATCCTTTCCCCATTTCTTATTTTTGTCAGGTTTGTCAAAGAACAGATGGTTGTAGATGTGTGGTGTTATTTCTGAGTGCTCTGTTCTGTTCCATTGGTCTATATCTCTGTTTTGGTACCAGTAACATGTTGTTTTGGTTACTGTAGCCTTGTAGTATAGTTTGAAGTCAGGTAGTGTGATGCCTCCAGCTTTGTTCTTTTTTGCTTAGGATTGTCTTGGCAATGCGGGCTCTTTTTCAGTTCCATATGAACTTTAAAGTAGTTTTTTCCAATTCTGTGAAGAAAGTCATTGGCAGCTTGATGGGTAAAAAAAATTTTTTTTAGAGATGAGGTCTTGCTGTGTTGACCAGGCTGGTCTCACACCCCTGGGCTCTAGTGATCCTCCTGCCTCGGCCCCCCAAAGTGCTGAGATCACATGCATGAGCTACCGTGCCCGGGCTACATTTCCATTTATGTAGATTTTCCATCAAATAAAAACTTCTAGTTAATGATATGAAAGAAAAAAATAATCCTGAGCTTCGAAGATGATAGTCACACAGTGACAAAACACCTGTATGTTTATGGGACTGTTAGCACTCGCCTTGGGCAGTTACTGCCTGATGTTTTACAATGTACACACCATGTGTGTTAATAACTAGTGCTGTAAGCTACATCTTGATGTTTCTTATTGCTTAATTATCAAGTTGTAGACTCTAAGCAAGATGCATAAGAAGTGGTGCTTATGGAGTTTTCCTTCTCAAGAACTTCCTCTCTAGTGATAAAATCATCAGCACCCGGATTGGAACACTGTACACATTCATGAGGAGAAAAGTGCTCAGCAATAGATGTGGAAAAATCAGTGAGCAATAAATAATTCCATGTATTTTCAGAAAAGAAAAAACGTTTATAAAATCACATTTTTCTACTGATGGCTATTGTAATTTTATACAATCTGATGGAAAATAAATGTAGTGGTTATCAGAACCTTCTGGTGACATTCCAGGTTTTCTCTCTTGAGCTCTCTACTGTTTCTTTGACGTTCGTGGAGTGTTGGCTTAAAATTTGTTTTCTACACTCTTACCCTGGGGAGATTCTGCGTCAGCGGGTCTAAGATGCTGTCATACCATTAGTCTTTTTAATTAGTGCATCAGGCGATTTGCATCAAATTGTTTGGGAAATATTGCATTTAGATTATAAGTAAAGGCATCAGACAAGAAGTAATTCTTACTGGTGACCAATAATAGCTTAAAATTCAATATAATAATAAAAACAATAGTAACGTAAGATAATACTATTGAATATTTATGAAGCAATTACCATATTTTAGTTCCTCATCTAAATGCTTTTTTTCCATTAACTTGTTTAATCCTCACAAAAGATGGAGGTGCTGCAATTATCTCCTTTCACAGATGAGAAAACAGGTGAAAGGATAAATAATTTGCACCTCCCCTTTCCCCCGCTACCCTAGGCACAAAAGTAGTAGATGACAGAGTCAGGCTTTAAACTCTGACATTCTGGCCTCAGAGCTCTTGGCTTAACCAGTGATTTACATGGCTACCGCATGAGTTACAGGCACTATGGTGTGTTCATTTTGAGGGTTGGAAGGAGTTTTTCTACAAGGCAGTAATGAGGTGTAATCATGGCCCAGTGTCTCAGTCCTTCCTCTTCTTATCTCCTCACCACTCTCTAGCACTAGTGGTCTTGAACTGAGTAAGAGTTGGAAGGCTCTGGCTTGAGCTCTGACGTGATCATTTGTTAGCGGCAGGAAGGTGGGCATGCTGCAGCCTGTCCTTACTGTGAGTTAATAACACTCCCCCTGGAGTGCAGATCATGGGAGGTGAAAGTACCCAACAGACGCCGGGTGGCCTGTCAGTCATCCTTCGCTTCTTATTCCATCTCACTCTTTGTCACTCATCCTGCTTATTTCTTTTCTTTTTTCTGTATTTTTTTTTTTTTTTTTGAGACGGAGTCTCACTCTGTCACCAGGCTGGAGTGTAGTGGCGCAGTCTCGGCTTGCTGCAACCTCCGCCTCCCGGGTTCAAGCGATTCTCCTGCCTCAGCCTCCCGAGTATCTGGGACTACAGGCATGCGCCACCATGCCCGGCTAATTTTTGTATTTTTCATAGAGACAGGGTTTCACCATGTTGGCCATGGTGGTCTTGATCTCTTGACCTCGTGATCCACCCGCCTTGGCCTCCCAAAATGCTGGGATTACAGGCGTGAGCCACGGCGCCTGGCCCATCCTGCTTATTTCTTACATGCATAAGGGACTCTTCTGCTTTTCTCATGGTCATCTGTTTTTCTTTTTTAATTTTAGTCTTATCTACGGAGTTGTTTTTTTCTCAACTCTACTTTCAATTACTGCAGCATCCTTAGAGTTGCTGTTTTTTCATGTCTTGCCTCTTCTGCACTTGTGCAACTTGTTCTTGTTGCATATATATCTGTATTAAAAATAAGTGTTTGCACCGTCTCCCCTGACAGAGAAATCTTACCAAAAAGTTGAACTTAAATTTGGTTAAGGTAATGAAGAAGACATGGGGACATTCCCATTCTTAAAGGATGCAGTCAGCAAAATCCAGACTGTGAAACTCTTTACTGGACCAAAGACACAGTTCTTCAACTAAGAAAGAGGTGTGGAGCAGTAGGGAGGGAGAGGGAGAGAGACTGAAGTGGGGACTCCTTCACAGATGAAAAGAGACTTAAAAGAGAATTGAAATATGTGGACTGTATATGGATCCTTATTCAAACAAACTATTTAAAACTTGACAATTATAAGACAAGTACAATATTGAGTGCTGATACAATGTAAAAATTATTTTAAAACTTTTTAAGGTATGGTAATAATGAAATATTTATAGGTGAAATGACGTATCTGAGATTTTGCCTCAAAATCCTTGGTGAGAGCATGTGGCTAGGTGACCCAGGGGTGATACTAGTTGAAGCTGACTAATAAAAGCATGAGGATGAATTATACCGTATTGTATATTTATATATTTATATATATGTTTGAGGTTTCCTGTCATAAAAATTACACAAAACATGTACTCATAACCTTTCTCCATCTACAGAATCATCCAGATTTAACAAAGCAGTTCTCACTTTAAAATTGATTCTAAGGAGTTTTTATTTACCTCATATTAACTATCCACTTCCAGCTTGGCCTGGAAAGATTTTGTTGCAGTATTTTCTGACAGCATTTTCCTAGATAAGCCAACCTTTTTGGAAGCAGTTGCCTTAAGCATCTGTCAATAGAATCTGATCAGATTGGTTAAATTGAATGAATTAAACTGAGGCAAAGTCAAGTGGATGAAAACCTCCTGGTCTTTCACTAAACATCTGCTCCTAGTGACAGGTTCACAAAGGTCACTTTTACTGATTTACCTGAGTTGAATTTGAGGGAGCAGGTGCAGAGACATTGGCTTCTTTTGTCCTGCACCTGCCTTACCTCAGGTAAGTAGAAACAGCTGTTGAAAGCAGAATAGCATTACCCTGTAGGTGGGTCTGGAATGATCCCAAAAACGCATCTCTCTGTGCCGCCTTATTTTTAATAGCTGGTATTTTTGACTTGGCATCACAAAAGAAGCGCATTAGAACATCTTAATAATGTACTAATTCTTTGGGGTTTTGACTGGAGTCAGTTAGATAATCATGATTCATTCAAGTTGCTGCACTGAATGCAGGTTACAGCCTAGTGCCATGAGGTGTTCGCTGGCCTTTTGCTTGCCTCAAAGCAAAAGAACAATAGCACTCAACATGCTTGGTCCCCCACTGTATAACTGAATGGTTCAATTTATATCTCATGCCTGTAGCAACTGCTTTTCAATAATCACAATAAAGAGTAAGGGATATATGTGTAGAGATATATGGCTGGATTATTCAGGTGGGGAGGGCCTGACTATGGGGGAAGGATAATGTGAATTTCAAAGTGTAAATATGTCATTGCATAATTTTTTGTTCTGGGCATAGTTACATTTATTTATATTGTTTCTAAGGCTTTCTATCTGATAGTATGTAGAATATGCAGTGGTTACATACTTCTGTAGTCAAATGAAGCAACTATTCTACTATTTGCTAAATCTGTGTGCCTTGAGATAATAAATTTAGCATCTCCATCCTCAATTGCCTATTCTGCAAAATGAGGATAATAACAGAACTAACTTCATAGAGTTGTGATAAGGATAAAAATGAAGAAATGTATGCAGAGAGCTAAGCACAGTCTTGGGCATGGAGTAAGTGCACAAGAACTCACGATACTGATGATGATGATGATGATCATGAGTAATTGTATAGTAGTATGTGAACAAAAAGATTGAGTTGTTTCTTACTAGAGCAGGAATTAACATTATTTTATGTTAATAATGCAGTCCTTGTCGAAGCATTCAAATGGTGTGATTATAAATGGAATTATAAATACATAGAAAAGAAATATGTTTCATATTTTTGACATGTAATTGTGTGCTGAGTACATTTTAATCAAAGACAGAATGAAATTGCTGTCAAGGATATTGGTAGTTCATTAGCTTATTGACTGCACACTAAGTATCTAAAGTGTTATTTTGGTGACAGCCTGATGCATTAATTTCTAGGTCAGCATATTATTGACCTCAACTATTTAATTCTTTAAAAAATTACCTTAACTATTTTTTGGTCAGATATTGTTTTATAAAATCAGTATATATTCAATGAAAATTATTTTCTCCTTACCATACCATTCAGATGGTCTTCCTAAATTAACAGTGGTAAATTTACCAGTACTAGAACTTGGAAGAATTAACCTCTTAGCCTACACCCCACATACTTTTTTTTTTTTTTTTTTTGCTGTGTTTTAAACATATAATGGATATTTCTTTATGTGGCCTCAGGGAGAAACTTATTAATACTTCAAATTTTTTTACAGGTTTTAAGTGTAAGCTGCTCTGGTTTTATAAAAGAAGTTTGAGTGATGCTTTTCTTTATAAAGGCTACACTTCTGAATCAGAGATTTTCCATTTGGGAAGTTTGAAGAAGGTCTTTCACTTCATGTTGAGTGTTACAGGTTTAACAACTGCCCCCATTATAGAGATAATGGTTAATTTCTCCTCTAAGTTATACACTTCTAAACTTTAGTTTTTTACAAAAATAACACATAAAATACAAAATGTGGTGGCTCACACCTGCAATCCTCAGCACTTTGGGAGGCCAAGGCAGGAGGATATTTTGAGTCCATGGGTTCAAGACCAGTGTGGGCATCATAGTGAGACCCTGTGTTTTAAAATATATATACAGTAGGTAAGATAACTGATACTGGTGAATTTTCCTCAGAGAATAAACAATCTTAGTTTTGTCATGTGCTCTTCAGATTCTTTTTGTTTTTGTTTTTTTAATGAAATAATATGTTACAGATAAAGTTGAAGTTCTCTATCACCTCCTACCAGGTTCTCTTCACCTGCTGCTCTACCAGAAGTAACTGCTGCCGTGAATCTGTTGTGTATCTTTTTTCTCTATGTGTATGTTTTGTAAGTTTATAATATTAAATAATGGTTTTATACTCTCAAATATTTTGCAGCTTTGCTCTTTTCACTCACTGTTTTCTTTTATGGACCTATCCATATTTGTCCATATATCTGTTTTACTTATTTTAATAGCTCTATAGTATTCCATCATGTGAATTTACAACTTACTCACCTGGTAATGGATATTTGGGTTGTTTCCAATTACAAACAATGCAATTGTAATGAACATTTGCACTTATTTCCTTTTATACACATGTGAGAGTTACTTCAGGATTCCTTACCTATAAATGAAATTGTGGGTTAATGAATATGCTTATTTTCCACTTTGGTGGATATTACCTAAATGCACTCCTGTACTTCTCTCAGTAGTGTATGTTTCCATTTCCCCATACGCTTGCTCAGCTATTCATTTTTAGAATTCAGAATCTAAAGTGTCTATCAGAAGAATGAACTCAAATGCCTTACATCTTTGTAGGAAAGATGGACATGAATACAGATGCATTCATTCAGTATGTTCTTATCATCATCATGTTGATGATTTCCAGAGGAGATTTCAAGATTTGCAAGTAACATCTAACATCAACAGTCGTGAGAAGTCTGCCATGTCTCCATCTCTTTAGCATGGTTAAACTGCCACTGTTTATAATCATTCCTGGAAAGAAAGGGAATGGCTTCCCAAAACAACCCTTCTGCAAGCACTACCATACCCAAAAACATGTCCAGTTGCGTGATTACTATGGCAATATGCATATTTCAATAGTCACTCCTGAAAGTTTTGTCCCTCAACTTTCTTTATCCAGTGGCCCTTTTGATAAATATCTTATTTCTCTCTCTCCACTGCAGCCTCTGATATGCCACCACTTACATCTGGTCTCCAACATTATTAGGAATATGTAAAACAAACATATAAAAATAGCATTCTGAGCAATGACTGAAAGGGAACACTGACAGATAAAATTGAAGAGATTGGGATTGGAAATGGCTTCTTTTTTTCTTTTTTTTCTTTTCTTTTCTTTTCTTTTTTTTTTTTTTTTGAGATGGAGTCTTGCTCTGTTGCCAGACTGGAGTGCAGTGGCGCGATCTTGGCTCACTGCAGCCTCCGCCTCCCAGGTTCAAGCGATTCTCCTGCCTCAGCCTCCCGAGTAGCTGAGACTACAGGCTCCGCCACCACACCCAGCTAATTTTTGTATTTTTAGTAAAGACGGGGTTTCACCGTGTTGGCCAAGATGGTCTCGATCTCTTGACCTCATGATCCACCCACCTTGGCTTCCCAGAGTGCTGGGATTACAGGTGTGAGCCACCACGCCTGGCCTCTTTTTTTCTTTTGAAGTCATTTTATGCAACTTAAAAATGGGGTAGGAAGAATAGATAAGAAATCTTGACCAAAACAAATTCGTAAGTCCAACAGTTAAATACATTCATTTGATATAAAATGCATATTTCTGTAATTGCTTAAATGAGTAGTTTCTAGTGCCAAGTAAAATAAAGAATACTTATTTTAAATCAATAATGAAAACCATGGTTTGAGTTTTTTGGCTTAGAAATAAATATATATGGCCATGTTTGATTTGTAAACTCATCAAATTAATGTGGTTCATTCACTTTTCAGTTAACATTCCAGTTTAGGATTCTGTGTACCACTGTTGGAAACTGAGACTACCAGATATTACCAAGTTGGGGGTGGAAGGTAGGAGGGATCACCGAGATGAAAGCTCCCTCCCTCCCCACTCCCTACCTTTCTCAAAATAAATCTGTCTTCTCAAAGAGAGCTGTGACCTTGGAACTCTGTTATGTACAATTCAATCAGATGAAAGTGTTCTTGGGTTCGGAGGATGGTTTCAGAAATTATTTTCTACTTGGACCTGTGCCTTAGTCTACTTGGACTGCTATTACAAAATGCCTTCGAATGAGTATAAACAGCATGGATTTACTACTCACAGTTCTGGAGGCTGGGAAATCTAAGATCATGGTGCCAACAGATTCAGTATCTCATGAAGGCACGCTCTTGCCTTCAAAAATGGTCCCTTCTAGCTGTTTATTCACATGACAGAAGGGGTGAACAAGCTTTCTTGGGCTTCTTTTATAAGGACACTAGTCCCATTCCTGAGGGAATAGCTGTCATGACCTAATCACCACCCAAAAGGCCCTTTAATTAAAGTTGATTCACTTGTAGACATTTGTTCAGAAATGAGTAAGTCAAATGGGACACCACAAGAAAAGAGACTGTATTTCCTGACCCCCAGTAGGAATGAATTGGGCACGAGTGGAGGTAGAAAGATGCAGGCTCAGATGAAGAAGTGATTAGTATGCCAAGCCCCTTATAGCAGAGGCCTCCCAATCCTGCCGCAAGCCAGAGTGAGAATGAGGCCACATGTCCTGGCCTCTTTTGACCTTGGGAATCTAGTGGGCAGCCAGATGCCTCAGATAACATACATCTGTAATATAGAAAAAACAAGCATCAGGGAAGTCTTCCTAGAAATAGCTCTAATTTTGTATCTTTTTTCCACCAATCTTCAGTTATATATTCAGATAAGTCTACTTTTTTAGTAAGGGACTACAACATTATCCTAATTATATAGGAAAAAGTCTTCGTGTATGTGTAGAAAAAAGACTGAATTGAGATAAAATAAAGTGATTATTATCTCTCAGTGGTGGGATTAAATTATTTAAATTTTATATTCTATGGAATATTTACAGCAAGTGTTCATTATCTTTATTTCCTACAGTGAACATGAATTACCTTTCTTTTCCTAAGTATAAAATAATTAAAAGTACATTTATTTCATTATTAATTAGAAATACATTTTTAAAGTAATTAAAATACAATAAAAATCTATTTAAGATTGGATTATATGAATGACTCAGTCAAAGGTCTGATGAATTGATAAAGGTAAAATTTCCAATTCTTTGGAGAAAACCATGAAAATGTTGCTGCCCTTTAGGGTACAGTCTTGTTAATCAACAGATCTTTACTCATTTACTTCTAGGTGTGGAAGGATGGCCCAGCTCCTCTTGGGTGTATAATTAGTTTGTGACAGCTGCCTTCTGTAATGTGGGACTTCTTGGGCTCTTTTTACTGTTTTTACTGAATTTTGTTTCATTTGCTTCCTTTTACCTCCCTGTCTCTTGTTGGTTTGTATATGTGTGTTCCTGTTCTGCTTGTCTTTATCCCTCTAGATACTCTCCTGGTCCTTAGTTATTTAGTAAATTTCATTCTGTCTGCTCATTCACGTCCCTCACCTCCAACCATGCCTCCTATGACATTGGGAATTCTCGTTCTTGATTGTGTAGCCGTCTCCGGTTGGGATACTCTGAATGAGATGTGTAGGCATGCTAGATCATGACTGGAGCAGCTTCTCTAAATGTGACTGCCATTGCGACAGTGGCCTCCTGCTTAGGCTTTCCCTGGGTTCTTGTCAAGAATGAGCTCGTTTTTATAAGGGGTATTATAATTCTGACGTGGCCTTACTCTTGACTATTGATGGTAACTATTTTTCTTGGCATCTGAAATCAAAGAGATGGAAACCCGGTCCCTCCTTCTAAATTCTATGGATTCAGTAGGATTAGGAATGCTTACTGAGAGTACTGATAAACCAAACATTACTTATGTCTCATCATGAAAATTATTGAGTAAAATAATGTTTTGTGAAGTCAATCATATATAAACTTTTTTATTTTTACATATAAAATTCCCTATTTAAAATAATTTTATGATTAAAGCTTTTATAAAATAATTTTCACCTAATTTGTGTTGCTCAAAGGAGCTTCTGCTAAGATTCAAGGGCTCCCAGGGTTTTCCCTGTACAGAATATTAGTTCTAAGAGGTATCTTGAGGATCACCTTACTAAATACCACATTTTATTTGTATAGAAATGGAGAGTCAGGGGGCTGCGTGACTTGCTCATGTTATATGACTAACTCTAGTGAACACAGGCCAATCAAGACACAGTTTCCTAGGATCCTTTTTCTTCTAATTCTTTTTTTTTTTTTTTTTTTTTTGATGGAGTCTTGCTCTGTCGCCCAGGCTGGAGTGCAGTGGCACAATCTCTGCTCACTGCAAGCTCTGCCTTCTGGGTTCAAGTGAGTCTCCTGCCTCAGCCTCCCCAGTAGCTGGGACTACAGGTGCCCGCCACCACACCTGGATAATTTTTGTATTTTTAGTAGAGACGGGGTTTCACCATGTTGGCCAGGATGGTCTCAATCTCTTGACCTCGTGATCCACCTGCCTCGGCCTCCCAAAGTGCTGAGATTACAGGCTTGAGCCACTGCGCCCGGCCCTCTAATTCTTTAGCCACCACGCCACAGTACGTCTTGTTAATGAGGTGTTATTTTCAGGGCATAATTTGTCTTGTTCTTGCTGCAGTGGATCTTGTGAACAGAATGATGCTGCTTTTTAAAACCACTTACTGGTAAAATAATATTTACCTGGTACAATGCTAAGCAATTTCTATGTCATTAATTTTGTTTTTATTCTCTGGTTGGGTGTGGTGGCTCACGCCTGTAATCCCATAACTTTGGGAGCCCGAGGCAGGCAGATCACCGAGGTAAGGAGTTCGAGACCAGCCTGGCCAACATGGTGAAAAACCATTTCTACTGAAAAATACAAAATTAGCTGGGCATGGTGGCCCATGCCTATAATCCCAGCTACTTGGGAGACTGAGGCAGGAGAATCACTTGAACCCAGGAGGCAGAGGTTGCAGTGAGTCAAGATCATGCCACTGTACTCCAACCTGGGCGACAGAGCGAAACTCCGTCTCAAAAAAACATTTAAAAAATTTTTATTCTCATAACTCTGTGAAGTTGCTACTATTATCCTCATTTTACTGATGAGGAAACTAAGGCAAAGAGGATCTAAGCGATCTGACCAAGGTGACATAAATGTTTACTTTTATGACCATGCTGTGTCTGCTTCAAGCATTGATAAAATGCTCAATGATTAGAGATGCTAGCACCCTCTGTTCTTACTATTGTAGGGAACCATTACAATTCTGCTTCACCTTCTCAGTATTCTAGTCTTCAACTTTTTACCCGTAATAACTTTTATTGAGAGAGTTTAAAATTAAATAGCCTGTCTCCTTTCGATTTATACTATATAGAATTTGGCACATAGATGCTACCTTAGACATTGTGTGTTTGGCTCAATCCTTATTAAAAAAAAGGGGGCAAAAAACATAAAATTATTCTAAAGCTAATTTCTGAGGCCAATCTGTAAAGTGATGGAGTGAAAACCATTTTTTGATGGCTCCTACCATTTAAAAGATAGTCTTCCAACTGCTGTAGTGAAATATGTCAGTGCTAATGATTCTGCTGCTTTAGTAAGCTGTGAGAAGCACAAGGCTTCTCTCCTGATCAGTACTGTCACATGGCCGTGTTCTGATGCAGTATGCAAATAACAGCACCAGCATCGTAAGTAGATATTGCTAGTGGCACATCATATATGGGCTACTTGAGAGAAAAAGGCTGCTGTTAAACTTAATGATGAGGCTGAGTGTCATTAACTGTGTGCTTATTCAAAGAGTTTCCCCCTGAAACATCTGTTCCCCTGTCAGATATGTCACTTTTAAGCAACACCTGTGCAGTAGTCATTTCCAAGTTTCTTTTCATGCAATCACCTTGTTTTTTGCTAATGGACTTCTTGGTAAAGGAGGAAAATGCAAACTTTCTTTTTCAACATCTTACTGTAGTATCCCTGCCTAAGTAATGTGCTGTAGAAGTTAAAAAAATGAATAACATTTCTTAAGGGAATGTTTTATAAACACATGGTAGAATATTTTATCATTGGTGTAAATTTGTGTCCTGAGAGTTAAATACTAAAATGAAAAATCATTATCCTTTAGTTATTGCATAATTTGTAATAGTTTCAGTAGCAGTCATATACTGAAAATCAATGAGACGTGTCGTCTTTCATATTCATGACAAGGTAATGTCCATTGGAGCTCATGTATTATTATATGAACATTGGAGTTTTCTTTGAAGTCTAGCGATGATTGTCTCACTGGTGCTTGCTCTGTGTGGGTGAGAGAGAGAGAGGCCAGGAGAGGACAGGAGAACGGGCATGTGTCCGAGAGACAGATAAACATATTAAGTAGCCCTTTCGGTGATGTACATATATGAAGATAGTATTTCTGCGACTGTTGCCTCCATTTGCAGAGTCTGTTTTTTTCCTCTTGGATTTTTATTTAATATTTTTATTCAACTATAACATATATACAAGAAAATGAACAAATCTTCAGTGTATAGTTTAGTGATATTTTACAAATTGGACATAACTATGTCACCAGCACTCAGATTAAGAAACAGCTTTAGAGGCCAGGCGCTGTGGCTCACACCTGTAATCCCAGCACTTTGGGAGGCCGAGGCGGGCAGATCACAAGGTCAGGAGATCAAGACCATCCTGGCTAACATGGTGAAACCCTGTCTCTACTAAAAATACAAAAAAAAAATAATTAGCCGGGCATGGTGGCGGGTGCCTGTAGTCCCAGCTACTCGGGAGACTGAGGCAGGAGAATGGTGTGAACCTGGGAGGCAGAGCTTGCAGTGAGCCGAGATTGCGCCACTGCACTCCAGCCTGGGCAAGAGTGCGAGACTCCATCTGGAAAAAAAAAAAAAAAAAAAAAAGAAAAGAAACACAGTTTTTCCAGCAACTCAGAAACTGGGTTCTTCTCTTTTCTTTCCTAGTTGTTTTTTGTTTGTTCGTTTGTTTTTTTCTGAGACAGAGTCTCTCTCTGTCATCCAGGCTGGAGTACCATGGCGCAATCTCAGCTCACTGCAACCTCTGCCTCCCGGGCTCAAGCAATTTTCATGCCTCAGCCTCCTAAGTAGCTGGGACCACAGGTGCATGCCATCATGCCCAGCTAATTTTGTATTTTTAGTAGAGATGGGGTTTCGCCATGTTGGCCAGGATGATCTCAAACTCCTGGTCTCAAGTGATCTGCCTGCCTCGGCCAGAAACTAGTTTCTTATCTTTCAGCTGTCCGTCTACAGTAACCACTGTCCCCCTGACTTCTAACACTGTGGATTATTACTGTCTTTGTAAATGACCAAGTTGGAAATGTTGAACTTTATCTCAAGAACCTTTATTTCAAGGTTTTAGCAGTGAAATGACATCATCTGATTTGCATTTCCAAAGGATCAGTAGCTGCTGTGTGGAGAATAAATTGTAGGGGTTCAGAATGTAAGTGGAGGGACCAGAGAAGAGGCTACTTAAAGAAATCACGTGGTGGATTCACACACACACACACACACACACACACACACACACACACACACACACAATGTGTTTATTGGGCCTTTAATAAACTGAGTTTAGCTATGAGGTATGAGTAAGAGAGGGAGACATTAATAGTTCCCAGGTTTATGGATAAGGTACAATGTACTGAACATGGAAGACTGGAAGAGGCAACTATTTGAGCAAGAAGTTCTGGAGTTCCAGTTTGAACATGTTATTTTGAAATGCCTGTGAGATATCAAAGGGGAATTCCCAAGCAGGCAGTTGAATATATGGCTATATCTGGAGTTTGAAAAAGGAATCTGGAATGCAGATATAAAATTGACCATTATCTACATATAGATTATATATAAAACCATAATATTGGGGAAATTGCTTAAGGACAGAGTGTAGAGTAAAAACAAATGACAATATGGATATGGCATACAAAAAGGGAGAGATAGAAAAGCGGGAGCTTTCCAAAAGGCAATAACAGAAGAATGGTTATTGGTAAGGGGGGTGACGGCAGGTCATTTGGGTGGTCTAAATGGGTGATGGTTGAAGAGTGCATTGGGACAGAACCCATCCAGGAGAGCAGCCGTATGCTTAGTTGTGATCCTAGAGCTTTTCCCATAAGTAGTAAGTCATTTTTCTGTCTTCTACTTGGGCTGTCACTGTATTCTATAGACTGAATGACATTCATTGTAACAGGAAGTTGCCAGTTTTTTGAGGGAAGATGTGCAAGTTTGAATATGTGACTTCAGGGTGGAAAAATCAAATTGTTTTTAGCATATCTGCTTGCCAGGCCTATTCACCAAAAATTGATGCCAAATGTCTACATTTGAACAGCCAAACTAAAAACACCTCTCTTCTCACTCTCTCTGTCACTCCTGCTCTCTCTAACACACAAACGCAGACACACACGAACAACTTTAATGGTGAATATCTTAATTTCTGTTTCAAAGCTTTTCTGAGGATGTTAGTCTTTGAAATACTCTCTCCTTTAATCTTCCCAAGCATCATTATTTGGAGATGTGTTCTTGAATAAAGTGCTGCTGGAATTGGTAAGCACATGTTCATTACTTTACTCAGCCTTAGTTCCTTTGAGACTTTATAATTGAATATTAGTAATACATATCATTTTAGAAGTGTTCAGCGATCTCGATGTTCCCTTTTTTAGCTTTGCTGCTTTCACAGTGCTCCTTATATATTTACCGAAGAAGGTGAGATGATTTTCTGCTCCTATATGCTTTAGTTTGATTTCTCAATCATGATTGCATTTTCTATATACTTGAACACAGTGCCTGAGGAGAAAATTCTGGTAACAAAGATGCTGCTTCTAAATAGAAAATGAGTTTTATTCAGAAGTGCTTATAACCCTCCCTCTGGAACAAATGAAACTGAAGCCCATGTGCATTTGTATCACGGAGCAGAGTTGGGCTTGCTTTGTTTTTTCATAATAAACATAAGTCCTTCTGGGATTAGAAATTATAGTCTGAAAAGTGACTATGCAGAAGAGGATTCTGGGAAGATGGCAGAGTAGAAAGCACCAGGAATCTGTCTCCCCAACTAGACAACAAATGCACTGACAGAACCTGTTTGATGTAACTGTTTTGGAACTCTGAATCTACTAAAGGTGTACAATTTCCAGTGGAAGGCTAGGATGGTGAATTGTGGTTATGTTTGGTCCTTAGCATGGTAGCAGCTACACACCCCTATCCCTCAGCCTTGGGGTAGGCAGCCATACACTTGGTCTAAGAGAAGCTTGCAGGCAGCTTGCACAATGTAGGGTGCACAATAAGGATCCAGATATTGGAGATGTGGGTGCTGATTGCTGCTTTTGATCAAGAGCTGCAAACAAAGTGGTGGGCAACCATTGTTTTTGTGCCCTCCCTGCATTGTTGCAAGCCCCTCCTCCTTTAACTGATGTGAGTTTCAGGGAATTTAAAGGTCTAGTCCAGGGCTGGGCATGGTGGCTCATACCTATAACCCCAACACTTTGGGAGGCCAAGGTGGGAGGATTGCTTGAGCTCAGAACTTCAAGACCAGCTTGGGCAACATAGCGAGACCCCATCTCATAAAGAAAAAAAAGATTCAGTCCCTTTTTCACCCCTTCATTTTTTTCTATTTCCATTTTGGGAGCCAGATCCTGGAAACTAGGGCATTCCAAAGCAACTGGACACGTATGAGGAAAGTTAGAAAGTCACTACATGTGGGTCTGGCACGGTGGCTCATACCTGTAATCCCAGCACTTTGGGAGGCTGAAGCAGGTGGATTACCTGAGGTCAGGAGTTTGAGACCAGCCTGACCAACATGGAGAAACCCCATCTCTACTAAAAATACAAAATTAGACAGGTGTGGTGGCACATGCCTGTAATCCCAGCTACTCGGGAGGCTGAGGCAGGAGGATTGCTTGAACCCAGGAGGCGGAGGTTGCGGCGAGCCGAGATTGCGGCATTGCACTCCAGCCTGGGCAACAAGAGCAAAACTCCATCTCAAGAAAAAAAAAAAGAAAAAAGAAAGTCACTACATGTGGCCAGGAAGACGCACAGACTCAGAAAAGATGTGAGAGGACCTTAAGTTTACACCTCAGGCAGATTATTGACTTAGAGACTGCCTATATCAATCAAATCAAATCAAAACAAAACAAAACCAAAAGCCGCAGCAAACCCTTGGGAAGGAAGAAAATTTCATTTCCAGAATCACCGCATTATTAGATTCAAATGTCCAGTTTTCAGCCAAAAATCACAAGGGATACAAAGAAACAAGAAAATGTGTCCCACTGAAAGGAAAAAATAAAACCAACAGACTGTTCCTGATAAAAATCTGATGGCCTATATTTTAGACAAAGACTTTAAGATAACTGTCGTAAAGATGTTCATGAACTAAAGGAAGACATGAGGAAGTCAAGAAAACAATGTATAAACAAACTAGAAATATTAAGAAAGAGATAGACAACCTATCAAGAAGCCGAAAATAAATTTTAAAGCTGAAAAATACCGTAACTGAAATAAGAAATTCACTAGAGAGATTCAAAGACAATTGTGAGCAGGCAGAAGAAAGAATTTGAATTTGAAAATAGGACAATCAAAATTATCAAGTCTGAGGAACAGAAAAAAGAATGAGGAAACATGAATGGAGTATAAGGGACCTGTGGAACCTTACACCATGAAACAGATCAACATGTGCATTGTGGAAATTCCAGAAGAGAGAAAGGGGCAATGAGAATATTTGAAGAGATAATGGTGGAAAACTTCCCACATTTGATGAAAGACATGAATGTAAACATCCCAGAAGCCCAACGAACTCTGAGTAGGATGAACTCAGAGACCCACATCGAGACACATTATCATCAAACTGTCGAAACAAAAAAGGAGTATCTTGAAAACGGCAAGAGAGAAGCAACTCTTCACATGCAAAGGAACCACAATGAGATTCTCCACAGATCTCTCCTCAGAAACCTTGGAGCCCAGAAGCCAGTGGGCCAACATAAAAGAAAAAAGAAAAAAACAAAACAACACAAAACAAACCCAGACAGCCAAAGAACCTATATCTAACGAAACTGTTCTTCATGAGTGAGATAGAAAATAAGACATTCTCGGTAAACAAAAGCTGAGGGAGTTTGTTACCACCAGACTTACCCTGTAAGAAATACCAAAGAGAGTCCTGCAGATTGGCGTGAAAGGACACTGGACAATAACCTGAAACCCTTTGAAGAAATACACATCTCAGTAAAGATAAAGGCATGGGAAATTATTAAAGCTAGTAGTATCGTAACAACAGATTGTAACTCCACTTTTTGTTTTCTACATGATTTTAGAGAGTAACGACTAACATTTTTTAAAAAGGCGATTGTTAGTCTAAAAGCTAGTATTATTATAACTTTGGTTTGTAACTCCCTGTTTTGTTTTCTATATAATTTAAGAGACTAATGCATTTAAGTTTTTTTTTTTTAATTTATGTTTTCGGACACACAACATATAAAGGTATAATTTTGTAACATAAGCAGTTGAAAGGAGTGAGGACAGAGATTTAAAGGAGCAGAGTTTTTGTATGTTATTAGAGTTAAGCTGATATAAATCCAAATTAGAGTGCTATAAGTTCAGGATATTAAATATAATTTCCAATGCAACCACAAAGAAAATACATATAAAATACACA
Organism: Homo sapiens; assembly: GCF_000001405.40. NCBI lineage: Eukaryota > Metazoa > Chordata > Mammalia > Primates > Hominidae > Homo > Homo sapiens. Next base: position 20,906,454 of record NC_000006.12, read on the forward strand.
GATGTTCCTCAACTTATGATGGGGCTACTTCCCAATAAACCCATTGTAAGTTGAAAATATCTACGCTGAAAATGCATTTAATACCCTGTTAAACCCATTATAAAGTCAAAAAGTTGTAAGTTGAACCATTGTCCATACACTCCTCAACTTATGATGGGGTCATGTCCAAATAAACCCACCATGAAGTTAAAAATTATAAGTTGGACATTAAAAGTCAGGGACCATTTGTATACAAAAGGAAATGAGAAAGGAATTTAAACATTGTTTCACCACAAAAAAAACATCTAAACACAAAAGAAGGCAGTAATATGGAAAATGAGGGACAAAACAAATAACAAAGTGGAAGAAGTAAGTCCCTTCTTATCAGTCAGAGTCTGACATATACTAGAACACAGAAGGAAATTCTAACAAATGCTACACCATAAATGAACCTTGAGGATGTTAATATTAAGAGAAAAGAGCCAGTCACAAAAAGACGGATTATAACAGATATATAACACATTATGCAATTATAACTCATATGAAATTATACATACACATTATAACACATACATGAGTACTTAAAGTAGTCAAAATCATAGAAACAGAAAGGAAAATAGTGATTCTCAGGGATTGAGAGTAGACGGAATTGGGGAGTTATTGTGTAATGGGTATAGAGTTGCAATTTGGCAAGATGAAAAAGTTCTGAAGATTGATGGTTGGTGATGGTTGCACAACAATATGAATCATTCAATATGTCTTAACTGTATACTTAAAAAATGTTTAAGATGACCAGCCTGGGCAACATGGCGAAACCACGTCTCTATAAAAATATAAAATTTGGCCAGGCATGATGGCATGTGCTTGTAGTCCCAGCTACTTGGGAGACTGAGGCAGGAGAATCGCTTGAGCCCAGGAGGTAGAGGCTGCAGTGAGCCGAGATTGTGCCACTGCACTCCAGTTTGGATGACAGAGACCTTGTCTCAAAACAAAAACAAAATTAGTTAAGATGATACATTTTATGTTATATGGAACATAACGTTAAAAAATTGAAAAAAATGACTATGAAGAAAAAAATAGTAATAAAAACTTACAAAAGACAAAATAAAAAATACTCCTAGGTAGTCCTCCAACAATTGTGGACTAGGAGGTACGTGTAGCAGTTAAGGGTTAATCAAGGGAAGCCAAACCACTGTGAGCCATGGGACTAAGGGTTTATTACAGGAATGAGAGCTCCCCCGTGTGTGAGGAGCTGAGTGGCGGCGGGAGGGCCAATGGGGAGTTGGGGCATCAGAGGAGTCAGCAGCCAGGGAGTCAGAAGCTGAGCACAGCCCACCACCCGAGGTGGATGGGAATGGGAAGGTCCTGGAGGGCCTTGGGGAGCATGCCTCTGTGTGGCAGCTGCTTCTGTGGGTTTGCTGCCAAGCACTTCTTGTGGGCACCATGCCACTGTTGGTCAATAGGGTCCACTGGGGCAGAAGAGCTGGACACAGAATGGAGAAGAGTAAGGATGAGCTGGGAACGCTGACATCCACGGCTCTGTCACCACTTCTCCCCATAATGACCTTCATTCAGAGAGCACTGGCTGCAGCTTCACTTTTGCTCCAAAACTTGTGCAGATTTCTTCTAGGGCCAGTATTAACCCAGAACCTTACCAGCGAAGGGCCTTCTGGGAACTCCAGCATAACCATGGGCACAGAACAAACTACCGCAATGTGGAATCTAAATAAATCATATAGGCTTCTGAAAGTTGATTTTTTTTTCTCTACCACTTCAAATACCAGAATTATTGAATGGAGACAAAAGAAAGGTTAATGTATTTTTCACTAGAAGGTAAATGACAGTCTTGAATATGCAGATCACCATAATAAGAATTGAATTCTGTCTGTATTTATCACATTTGGATGGGCCTAAATGTAATTACTTGAAAATATTTACCATTGATTAAAAATGTCACATTTTGTTTAATATAGGAATTATAAATACAAATTTAATCAAACAATTAAAATGAATTCCTTGCTGAATCTTGACTGGTTGGCAAATGAAAAGGTACACTGGGCTAGACATCACTTGATCTAGTTTTAAAAGCAGTTGTGTCATAAACCAACTATGTGACTTTGCATAAATATTTAGTTTTTTTATCTTTAGATTATTTATAAAAATTAAAAAAATACGTGGAAACAGTGAAGCATTTTATAATCTTGAGATATTACAATGTCTTTAGGGAAAAAGGTTTCCTCCAGTTGACAATAAGTTGACTTATACAATAAACATTTTAATCCTAAGTAATAATCTTCTAATGAATAGACTGCATTACATATTAAATCAAATTCCATTGTCTGTCTTAAAGTGATTGCAATGTGACAGTTCTTATTAAAATTTAAATAATCTTATTTCTTGGTTATTTTTCTAAGAGGAATTTTCATTTGTATTTTCCATGAAAGTGGTGGTTTTGCTTCAGTCATGAGAATATGATTCATTTTGAACCCTAGAAGTTGCATCCTTGGGTGTCATGCTACACTATGATTGAATGAGTACCAGACATTAGATCTGTTTCAATGCATTTTTGAACGTTCTGGCTGTTCCCCCTTGGTTGTTGCTGCATCCTTTTCTAATAAACTATATTAAATAAAAATGCAAACACCATAATTTAAAACCCTAAAGCTAAAATCATCTGTGATACAATGAATGTGTGTATGTGTGGTTTATGATATGAAATTGTATGTATATGTATCTATATATGTGTGCATGTATGTGTGTGTGTGTGTGTGTGTGTGTGTGTGTGTATTACTCTTGTTGAATTTAAGCCCCTATGGTACAGAATTCAAATTACACAGAGCTCAGAAATCCTTCTAAACATCTAGTACAAGAAGAAAATTGGGATTAGGGAATCAGAATTGATGATGGGACCAAAAATGGGTCAGACCGTCCAAAGAATATATCCCAGATCAGCATCTTTTCGAATTAATCCAGTGAGTCTTTACTTACTCGCTGTAATTTAGTTTTGTAAACCAATGTTGTTTTGCTTTAAAAGGCCGCTAGTTACATCTAAGCTATTATTGCTTATGCAGTCAGTGAGATTTACTTAAATGCTTTAGGTGCTTTATTTAAAATCAGCATAAAACACAGATTTTATTTTAGTGTGGTTTTTGCCTTGGTTTTGCTTGTTATTTTATTTTTTCAGCGTTGGAAACATATTTCAATGCTTTGAGCTATAGCTAGACCACCCACAAACTAGGCACAGTTCTGCCCTCAGAGCCTATACTTGTAGGAAGGAAGATTATTTCCCTGTGCCAGGGAGGTTGAGAATGCAGAGGCAGAGGGAGCACCTTCCTAGGTAGGCCTCAGGTAGTGTTAAAGAAGGCATGGTGCCAGGAGGGACTGAGCAGCAGGTCCTATTTCCTTGAAGAGGGTGGCCTTGGTCATAGTGTACTATGAGTTTAGCGGGTTTGCACCTGGCATTGGAATAAGCCCACGGGAAAACAGTCTTACTAATACAATGATTAAATCCACTTTCACCTCCCCAGAAGATAAGCATTATTTGTAGTTATCTAGTCATTTCTCCTACATTCTCATATTCTAAATTAGAAAAGCATTTGTTAATCCCAGCAGTTTATGTTTTGATTTTGTTTTCACTTTATCATTCTTCCTTTTACTTCTTATACTAATAGCTCTAACTGTTCCTTGTCCTCATCTAATCCATTGCTTCCCAGATGTCTTTGAAAAGAATGACTTGAGCTACTGGTTAAACATAGCTTTCCAGACATCTTCAATGGAGAACATGATTCTGTGGGTCTGGGATGGAGCCTGGGAATTTGTATTCATAACAAGTACCTCAGGTAGTTCTTATGGGAGATGTTTAGGTAATGCTGCCTGACCTTGAGAGCTCAGCGTGGCAATGCAACCCACCTGTGGGTAGAGGGCCAGCTTAGGAAATAAAAATACAGGAGGCTCATGGGATATGCCTAGGCTGAAAATAGTCCATTGTTTATTGGAAATTTAAATTTAACTGGGTGTCCTATCTGGCAACCTTTCCTGTGGAGAAAATAGATTCGTGGTGCAGAAGTAGCTGTTCAAATTTGTTACCTGGGGCCAGATAGAGTCTGTCTGGCCAGGAATTAGATTAGAGTTCTCTTGGACTTCAATGCAGGTGTTACCTCAGACCCCCTCTGTGTGCCCTGATTTGCTGGCTTTTTTGATGGAGCATGGTGTTGTGGGTTAAATAGTGTCACCCCAAAATACATATTTTGAAATTCTAACCCTGAATACCTCGGAGCATGAGTTTATTTGGAGACAGGGATTTTCACAGGAGCACAAGTTAAAAATGAAGTCATTTAGGGTAGGCTCTAATACAATCTGATTGATGTCCTATAAAAAGCAGTAATTTGTAGACAGACACATGCACACAGGGAGAAGAGCATCATGTGAACATGAAGGCAGTGATCAAGGTGATGCTTCTACTGGTTAAGGAACCCCAAAGATTGCCAGCAACCCACCCAAAGCTAGGGCAGAGGCCTGGAAGAGATTGTCTCTTACGGGCCATAGAATGAAACACCCGTGGGCTTGCACCTCTAGCCTTCAACAGGAATTTCTGTTGTTAAAGCCACCCTGTTCGTAGTACTTTGCTAGGGCAACCCCAGCAAACTAATGCATGTAATGCAAACTAATAGCCTTTGTAGAGTAGTGGTCATGTGCCAGATACTTTATATGGAGTATCTAATTTGATATTTATGATAACGAGTAAGTTAGGCACTATTCATTAACTCCATTTCATGAATGAAAACTAAAGCTCAGTAAGAGAACATGTTGTGGTATAGTCAAATAGTAGCTACCCACTAAGTAGTAGAACCAAGAATCAAGACCAGGTCCTTCAGTTCCAAGCACTGTTTTCTATACTTCTAGACAAGAAAGATGCCCACCAGTGTATAACATTGCAAAAGGCTGAATGAGGAAAAGGAGGCGCTCTGTTGAGTTAGATTGTCTTCTTGTTGCTCTAGAATTCTACATTTTGTTTCACACGTTAATTTTGCATATGTGCACATGAATCAGTAATCTCTTATGTGGGCAGGGTGACACCAAAATGCCTTTGTTCATGAATTTTACCAAGAATTAAAGGAATTTGCTACAAGTAAGGTTTTCACATTATTACAGACATTCTTATTTATGCTCTTTTAGTTTTGCCCTTAGACCAGAATAAACATGGTTAAATTTAATTCCTGAGTTTTATGTCCTTAGTTCCTAACAGTTTCCCTAAAAGATTGCTGGCAAGAAAACCTTTCTGATGCAGGGAATAATACAAATTTTACCTGTTCCTTTCTCTTGTGTCTTCCCCAACCTCTGAGATTTGTGACACAGACTTTTATTCCTTTGGATTTTCACTGTGATATTTCTATTCCAGCATTTTAACAGTTAATGTTTGCTTCATGCGCTGGAAAGGAAGGTTTCTCACCAGAGGTGATTTCTGGACTGCAGAGTGTGTGGCTCATGAGATTTATTATTTTTATTGGGTGGAGGAGTTTCTCCAGGCTATTTCTGTGAATGAGAGATCAAAGTCAGATGGGATCTGACAACTTTCCTCTGAGAAGGACCACCCAATAGTTTGCTAGTTCTTGTGTTTTTCCACCACATGGTGGTTGATGTACCCAGGATCCACTGCCATTTTGTTTTGAATGAGAGTGCATGAAGAAATCTCTATTTCTGCTGTTTTTTGTGTGTTTGTTTTTTTACCAATTTTATTATTGTTTCTTTCAAATTCGTAAAAATTTCCAGTGTTCTTCCTCCTCAAACCCCCTCCTCAGCTTTCTTTTTAGCTAATATTTGTTTATTATTCCTTCATCTGAACTGGAGTTAAACTTGACTTTGCTGCTTGGGTGGGGAGGTAGCAGGCTTCCCTGGTCTGCATCCTGGGTTAAGGAGCCAAGACTCTCTTGAAATGAAGTTGGTCTCCTACTTTCAGCAGACGAGTACTTTTATGAGGGAAGTGTAGTGTGTTGGTCAGGCCTTCAGTTCCTAAGCAAGGGTGAGACATGCAAGAGTCTAGACACATATGGGGTGGAGTTGATGCCCTGATTCTGAAATAGCTGAATGAGGCAAGTAATCAAGAATGAAATCAAAGACACCTTGTAAAAGCCAGATAGCCCAGTAAGTGAGAGACCAGAGTTGGATGCCCAAGTGTTCAAATAGTGGAACCTGAGGATCAACCTTACTAGACATATTTTTTTTAACTTTTTCAGTGTTAATCTTTTAACAGAATCATAAAGAAGGTAATTTAGCTATCTATTGCTATATAACAAATTACAAATATGCCTGAACATATTTTTTTACTTAGCTTACTCTGGTGGGTATAAGATTGAATATATGGTAGTTTGTTTCTACTCCCTCTTACAGAATTTACTTTCTGAATTACTAGCAGACTTTAAAATAAGATGTTGTTACATCATATTTACTGATTCTCCATTAAACTCTTAATCCTTAGCTATCCAATATGTACATATCTAAAAGAAATATATCAATTTATTGTGAATTGGTTTATATGTTAAAATCACAGATTATTTATATAATGGCAAAAAAAAAAGAAAACAAAAAAAAGTGTTGAGAGCAGATATCTCTGCCTATTTTCCAGTCTTAGGAGATGTATCAGTCAGGGATCTCCAGAGAAATAGAACCATTGAACCACAGTTGTTTACACACACACACACACACACACACACACACACACACACACACATTACCACAAATGTAGAAGCTTAAAACAACCCATATTTTTTATCTCACAGTCTCTGTGGGAGTCTGGCATAGCTTACCTCTACTCAGGGTCTCTCACAAGTTAGTCAATGCTGAGGTCTCATCCAAAGACTCACATGGGGCAGGATCTGCTTCCAAAATCACTTATGTGGTTGTTGGTAGGATTCAGCTCCTTGTGAACTGTAGGGTTGAGGGCTTCAGCTCCTCACTGGCTGCTGGATGGAAGCTTCCCTCAGTTTGTGGGCCTCTCCAATATGGCAGCTCACAACATGGAAATTTAACTTCATCAAAGCCAGCAAGAGAGAGGACCTACTGCGAGAAATGCATCCAAGGTCCTGCCCCAGCTCTGTGGAAAACACACCCCACTTCTGCAGCCAACACAGCAGACAGGTTTCTGGCCTTGCCTGAGCACACCGCATGGGCAGGAGCAGTGTGACTCCACACTGCCCAACTGATTGAAATTTCTGAGGTTCTCTCTTTCCATCCATCTTCTTCCAGGAGGTCACCCCAGATTTATAGAGTTTGTGTTGGTGATGGCTTATCCCTGTAATCTCAGTGCTTTGGGAAGCTGAGGCAGAAGGATTGATTAAGGTCAGGAGTTCGAGACCAGTCCAGACAACATAGTGAGATCCCATCTCTAAAAAATAATAATAAATAAAAATTAATTAGCTGTGGGTGGTGGCACACCACATAGTCCCAACTACTCAGGAGGCTGAGGCAGGAAGGATTGCTTGAGCCCAGGAGTTTGAGGTTACATTGAGCTATGATTGTGCCACTGCACTCCAGGCTGGGTGACAAAACAAGACTCTGTCTCTTAAAAGAAAAACAACAGGCTGGGCATGGTGGCTCACGCCTGTGATCCCAGCACTTTGGGAGGCCGAGGCAGGCAGATCACGAGGCCAGGAGCTCGAGACCACCCTGGCTAACACAGTGAAACCCCGTCTCTACTAAAAATACAAAAAAATTAGCTGGGCGTGGTGGCAGGCGCCTGTAGTCCCAGCTACTCGGGAGGCTGAGGCAGGAGTGTGGCATGAACCTGGGAGGCGCAGCTTGCAGTGAGCCAGGACTGTGCCACTGCACTCCCGCCTGGGTGACAGAGTGAGACTCCATCTCAAAAAAAAAGAAAAAATAACCAAAGTTTATGTTATACCCGCATGCCATTTTCTCAGAAAGGTCTTGCCTGTCCACTCTCTCTAAAATGCACCCACCGCCAAACACTTCCATCTTTTAATCTCTTACCGAGTTTTATGGTTTTTTTTTCATGAGAATTTATCATGATCTGACTTTATTGTGTTTATCATTTTTTCCTTCTACCCCACCCTAGCTAAGTGTAGATTTCTTAAGAATTTGGACTGGATATATTGTTTATTGCTATAACCCCAGAGCCTAGAACAGTACTCTGTACACTAAGATGGTCAGTAGAAATTTGTTTTTGAATTTGTGAATGTCTTTATGGCAGAGATATTAACACTACTTGGATATTTCTGTACTGTCTTCTAAAATGCTACTATTTAAAGTAAGTTTTTTAAAATTTTTGCTTCTACCGCATAGAACATAATAACAGTTTTCTATAGCTGCACATAGCCTCCCCTAAGAAGCTCTGTAGTAAACATTTGAAATTTTCCTGCCTTTTTAACGTGTAGATTTTTTCATAGCTCTGGTGTCACTTTGACAAAATTTGAATATCAGTTGTATCACTAAGGTATTGCTCACCTCTAAACTCACGTAATATGCCTGAACATATTTTTTTACTTAGTTTACTATGGTGGGTATAAGATTGAATATATGGTAGTTTGTTTTTACTCCCTCTTATAGAATTTACTTTCTGAAATACTAGCAGACTTTAAAATAAGATGTTCTTATATCGTATTTACTGATTCTCCATTAAACTCTTAATCCTTAGCTATCCAATATGTACATATCTAAAAGAAATATATAAATTTATTGTAAATTGGTTTATATGTTAAAATCACAGATTATTTATATAATGGCAAAAAAAAAAAGGAAGAAAGAAAACAAAAAGAAATGTTGAAAGCAGATATCCCTGCCTATTTCCCAGTCTTAGGAGATGTATCAGTCAGAGATCTTCAGAGCAACAGAACCATTGAACCACAGTTGTTTACACACACACACCCCCACACACACAGATTTTAAGAAATTGAGGAACTGGCTCTCACGACTGTGGGAACCAGCAAGTCTGCAGGCTTGGGCAGGCTGGAAATTTCACCAGGAGTCATTGTTGCAGTCTTGAGTTTGAAGGCAGAATTCCTTCCTCTTCTCTGAACTTTAGTCTTTTATCTTAGATCCTTCAGCTGATTGAAAGAGGCCCACCCACATTTTGGGGGATAATCTGCTTTACTCAAACTCTACAGATTTAGATGTTAATAACATACAAAAAATTTTTATGACATCTGGTCTGGTGTTTGACCAAACAACTGGGTGCCATAGTCTAGCCAGCTTGGATTAACCACTTAAAAATTAATTATCCCAGGTACCGTGTGACCCAGCAGTCTTACTCCTGGATATTTACACTAGAGAAATGAAAACTTTTGTTCACACAGAAATATATACATGAATGTTCATAGCAGCTTTATTTGTAATAGCCTCAAACTGGAAATAACCCATATGTCTTTCAACAAGTGAATGGATAAACAACCTGTGGTATATCCATACAGTGGAGTACTACTCAGTGGTAAAAAGGAGCAGGTCTTGATATATGCAGCAACTTAATTGGATCTCAAGATCCAATTATGTTGAGTTAAAAAAAAAAGCTAATCTCAAATGATTACATATTCCTGAGGTGACAAAACTATAGAGATAGAGAAAAGATTAATGACTGCTGGAGTTTAGAGTTGGGGAGAATAAAGGCTATAAAGGGATAGCCTGAGGCAGTTTTGGGGTAGTGATGGAGCAGTTCTGTGTGCCGACTGTAGTAATAGTTACATGAATCTATAATGCAATAAAATTTATAGAACCACAGTCCCTTTCTTCCTCTAAAAGAGTGAGTTCATGATGGAAAAACTGGTAGAATCCAAATAAGGCCTGTAGTTAACAGAATTGTAACAATGCCAATTTTTTGTTCTTGATAATTGATACCATGGTTACACAAGATGATATCATTCGGGGAACCTGGGTGAAGAATGCAAGAAAACTTCCTATTTTTGCAACTTCTCTGTGAGTCAGACTAATTCGAAATTTTGAGTTTTTTGGAAGGATGGAGGAAGAATTGAAAAATCTACAGATGTTAGAGAAGTCACTGATAAATGGCAAATAGGTGGGCAGAAGGCAGAAGAAATAACAAGAGTATAGCACTGAAGCGGGACTGAACACTGGGGGTGCAGGTCAGTGAGGAAAATGGTGTATTGAAGGTCCATGTGTTGAGAAGCAGTGGGCAGGAAGATTGGATGCAGAGGATAGTGCCCTCTTAGACACCTCAGTTGCTTGCTCAAGGCATTTGAAAACTTACCTTCAGTGGGGAAAATTGGGAGTGTTCATGGGATTCTTCACTAAATGAGGATCCATCACAATTTAAAAAGACATTTATATTTTAGGTTTAATAAATGAATCCAAAAAGGCTATCACTAAGCATCTGATTGTATTGCTTCTACCATCTCCTTTCTATCAATTATTACCAGTTCTTCCTTAAAAGAAAGGTCTCACTGTGTATAAAACTACCTTAGGACTAAAGTATACCAAAACAATAACAAAAAAAGACAAGATCGGGCGCAGTGGCTTGAAAGGCTGTTCTTAATAATGTTGTTACTGAAGTATTATAAAAGCATTCGTTCATTTGTCTTTTTGTTTGTTTTTGTTTTTGTTTTGAGATGGAGTTTCACTCTTGTTGCCCAGGCTGAAGTGCAATGGCATGGTCTTGGCTCACTGCAACCTTCACCTCCCGGGTTCAAGCGATTCTCCTGTCTCAGCCTCCCAAGTAGCTGGGATTACAGGCACACATCACCACGCCCAGCTGATTTTTGTATTTGTAGTAGAGATGTGGTTTCACCATGTTGGCCAGGCTGATCTTGAACTCCTGACCTCAGGTGATCCGCCCGCCTCGGCCTCCCAAAGTGCTGGGATTACAGACATGAGCCACTGCACCTGACCTTGCCTTTTTTTATTATTGTTTTGGTATACTTTAGTCCTAGTTTTATACACAGTGAGACCTTTCTTTTAAGGAAGAACTGGTAATAATTGATAGAAAGGAGATGGTAGAAGCAATACAATCAGATGCTTAGTGATAGCCTTTTTGTATTCATTTATTAAACTAACAAGTAAAAGTGTATAATACAAAGTATACTTGTTCTGTGATTGCTTATGGTTATATTTATATCACACATTTTTCTTTTTTATTTCAGTAGGTTTCTGGGGAACAGATGGTATTTGGTTATATGAATAAGCTCTTTAGTGGTGATTTCTGAGATTTCGGTGCACCTGTACACTATACCCAGTGTGTAAATTTTTTTCCCTCACTCCCATCCCACCCTTTCCCCTGAGTCCCCAAAGTCCATTGTATCATTCTTAAGCCTTTGCATTCTCATAGGTTAGCTTCCACATATGAGTGAGAACATACAGTATCACATGTATTTTTGAAAGATTAAATATACTTGCTGTTTTCTGAATGTTTGTGTCCCTCCAAAATTCATACATTGAAACCTAATGACTAAGATGATAGTATTAAGGAATGGATCCTTTGTGGGATGATTAAGTCATGAGAGCAGAACCCTCATGAGTGGGATTAGAGACCCTATGAAAGGGGCCTAAGACTCTACTAAAAATACAAAAGAATTGGCTGGGTATGGTGGCACATGCCTGTGGTCCTAGCTACTCAGGTGGTTGAGGCATAAGAATTGTTTTAGCCTGGGAGGTGGAGGTTGCAGTGAGCTGAGATCACGCCACTGCACTCCAGCCAGGGCGACAGCCCAAGACTCTGTTTCGGGGGGAAAAGAGGCGTAAGAGAGCTACCTAGCCCTTATTGCCCTTCTGCCATGTGAGGACACAGAGAAGCCTCCATCTATGAGGAACAGGTGCTCACCAGACACCAAATCTGCTGGCACATTGGTCTTTGGCTTCCAAGCTAACAGAATTGTAAGCAATAAATTTCTATTATTTCTTAATTACCCAGTCTAAGGTATTTTATTATAGCAGCCCAAATGGACTACAGCAATACCATTCAACTATCACAAACTTTACCTGTTTTAAGACATAGTTGCAAAATGGTTATTTTTAAAAAAGAAAATGAGAATCATAATAACCTTGAATTTCGTTAGAAGATATTTTTATGAGTTTGTGATATTTGGGGGGCTATATTCCAGTAAACAAGTCTGCCTGCTTCCTTCCGATTGGAAGCTGTAACACATGCTCATTCTTGTACATCACAAAAAGCATGAAGAAGAATAAAACATACACATTCTATGATTCTACCTAGATGTAAGGACTGTACAATTTTGTGTGTTCTTCTAAACATTTTTAAGGCATATAAATACATGTTGTTTGGTTTTGATTTTAGGCTGGAGTTGATAATTCTCTTACTTCCGCTTCTCAGTTTCTTTACTTACTCATATTCCTATGCCTAAATTTAATTTGCACATGGGAGGCTATGTAAAATGATGCTTCCTGATGGGGCATTAAGAAAACACTGATCAATTCATCTTCCTTGTGTTTGTCCCTATAAGATGCTGAGGTGAGCAAGAATGCCTGCATTTAGTGTTCATGGGCATTTCCACCCTCCAGTATTGGCCAACAGCAATATTGTGCTTATCATATCCTGGAATTCCTCACTTCTTCAGTCAAAACAAAGTGTTCTCACTACAGAAGAGGTTCTGATTAAATATGCGTGCTTAATGATGGAAGTGGTTTTCCGTGAGAACTCAGCAAAAACTAATACATCAATAGTCATGTGGGTTACTGCAGGGAAACAGAAACAGAGTATTAAAGGGGACAGAATTAGCCAGGATGTGACTCAAGTCAGGATGGGGTCTACAGCATCATTAGCTCCTATCCATTTTGAAAAGAGGAAGGATAACTGATAGGTATTAGAACTGGGCACTAGGCACTACAGAACACTGTAGACTTTTCTTCATTATTCACAGTAGATTTAAATCACGATCAGAGACATTGCTATATCCACACCATATTTGTTTGCTAAATTTATGATTTAATTATTTGCACATCTCTTTTCTGGGATGAAGGAATGAAGACTGCTCATTTTGTTTCTTTTGTTTAATACTTAAGTTCTGGGGTACGTGTGCAGAACATGCAGTTTTGTTACATAGGTATACATGTGCCATGGTGGTTTGCTGCACCCATCAACCTGTGACCTACATTAGGTATTTCTCCTAATGCTATCCCTCCCCTAGCCCCCCACTCCCACTTACGAGTAAGAATATGCGGTGTTTGGTTTTCTGTTCTTGTGATAATTTGCTGAGAATGATGGTTTCCAGCTTCATCCATGTCCCTGCAAAGGACATGAACTCATTTTGTTTCTTATGTGGGTGTTCATTTGGTATTAGCAATTTATAATCCTGTACAATGGGCATGATTGGTATTTTTTTGGCTGCCCAGCACCTTTTGAACACCTTACTATAATCTGGGGGAATTTCCAACCTTACGAGAACCATCCTCCCACAATAGAACTCAGAGAACTAATCTGCTTTGCACCTAGGGCACAAGAATGTAACCTAGATTCCACCAACAAACCTAAGTTCTGAAATGAGCAATTTGAGGAGAGAGGCTCTGCTTAGATTCCAGGTTTGCTAGCCAGAGTGGTGGTAGTGGCATCTGGCTCTTAGGGGTGGTCGTGTTTACAGTGTTGAATTCTTGGTGCAGCTGAAAACAGTGACAGTTTTCTCATTAAGCCTATTTTGTGCTGGATTGGGGATTGTTCCTAGAAGCTTAGTATTGAGCCTCATTCTTAATATCCTTTTAATAAACTCCTTTCCTGTATGATTACTCAGAACCAGCTGCTGTTGCTTATGACTAAGTAGTTGAAAGATCAATTCTCAGTTAGCACTGTGAAGCATCTCTTTTGGTCTGACTGTGTTTTGGGTGAGGGCAAAGGACAGGGTCTGAGCTCAAAAGTTGAATAATGTCATTTCTAGAACGAGACCTGAAAATGTACGCCTACAAGTAAGAAGTGCAGACTGAGTTAAAAATAAAGGTTTTATGAGAAATAGGAGCCCACCATAGGAAAAAGTAACTCCAAGATGAGACGAGGATAGGGATCAAAGTCAGTGAAGTGAATAGAATAATCAGACTCATGCTTGACTGACAAGTTGAAATCCGTGTGATTTTTGTCTTGGCATTAGAAAATTTTATATTGCAATACTATTCTTTGATTCCCACTTCCCTTTGTCATATTTCCAAGATTGTAAATCTTAAAATAGTTTCAAAGAATCAGATTCTTTGTTCACTGTATACAGAATTAACTAAATCAAAATCATGTTTATTGTTTTTAGGATTATATACTGCCATCCACAATTCTATTTAGTTAGTATTAAAATAATAATGCTAATTTTCTAATTGTTTGTGGGCTGTATGCCCAAGAAAGCATTTACAATGAAAAAAATTCTTCCGGGAGCTGTGAACCTAAGAAATCATTATTCAAATACTCTTAGTTTAGTAGACTGATTGGCATATTGAAACATTCACTTACCCTTTATATAGAGAGATACTGGCCCAGTCATTTTGGAATATGGCAGTCAGGAAGCAGTGTTACCTTAACAATATGGCCCTAACTGCTAAATGTGCATGTCTTTCTTGAGATTCAGATGGTTCTGATGGTTAAAGCCCCTCTCCTAGATATGTAACTGAAAGTTTTCTCTTTAGATTTTTATATTAGATAAAAAAAGCTTCCATTTATCAAGGGTCAACTGGGTGCAGTCATTGTTTGGATGCTTTACATAATTTATCTTTGAGCCGTACACACCCCAGCCAGCCAGGTTGTTACACCTGTCTTTAAAAAAAATAATAAACTGGCAAGGCACGGTGGCTCATGCCTGTAATCTCAGCACTTTGGGAGGCCGAGGTGGGCGGATCACGAGGTCAAGAGATCAAGACCAACCTGGCCAACATGGTGTAACTCCATCTTTACTAAAAATACAAAAATTAGCTGGGCATGGTGGCGTGCGCCTGTAGTCCCAGCTACTCTGGAGGCTGAGGCAGGAGAATCGCTTGAACCCAGGGTACAGAGGTTGCAGTGAGCCAAGTGCACCACTGCACTCCACCCTGGGAGGCTGAGCAAGACTCCGTCTCAAAATAAATAAATAAATAAACCAAACAAACAAATGAACTAAGGCTCGAGAGGTTACATGACTTGCTCCTGGCTATCCAGGTTTATTTTAAGTTGATGTTTCAGAGCAATTTTGTAACCTAAGGTACTTTTCTTAGGAATTTTAATAGTTACCTATTCCCAACCTCATCTCAGTGTCTAAGTAGAATGGTCCTGTGGTGCATCCTAGTTTCTATCAACCCTCAGCCTCTGGCCCAGCTCTGTGGCTTGATTTCACAGGCTTTTAGCAACTGGCAGTAACTACTAAGAATCACTTCATTTCATTGCCTATTGGTGATGTAATTTCTCAGATTTGGGCTTTACTTTCTGTAGTTCTTATTCTTCCTACTTGGCCAAAACAGCAAATGAGTAAGAGAATGCCATGTGGAAAATTTAAACCCTCCCTCCGTAGTTTCTCAACAATTGCAGTTATCTCTACTATTTTCTTTTAGGAAGGAAGAATAAGTTAAACTTTTCTTCTCAGGTTGAGGGATGCCAGGCCTGATTTGCAGTTACTTTAGCGGCCTTAGTTTATTTGTGTGCTGTAACTGTCAATGAAGTACCTCAGATGGTCCTGGGCTGTCTTCTTAAAAGCGCAGAATGATTTGAATAAAGTGTAGTGGGATACGCGAACAAAATTCAAACTGGTTTTGTGATAAAGGCATACATTCTGAGCCAATGCCAGAGAAAAGAACCATCTCAAACTTATTTGAACCCCATGGTACTATTTTTGGAACAAATCTCGTGTTCGAATAAATCACTGCCCCATCAGCATTCAGAGGGTCTACTGCACTTCCATAATGAATCACATATTCAAAGTCAGACACGAAAGGAATCATTGTAAAGGGTTTTTGACATTTTAGGCTACAAAGAAATCCTGGTTTTGAAATTTTTCTTTCTTCACCCTCTTACAGTATTCCTGATTGCTGGGAAGTTTGGAAGGGGTAGGAGAGGAACATGAGAAAACAATGAACTCACCTAAGACGCATAGGAGCCATAAAGAGGGGACAGTATCTAAATTAAGATTTTAAGCCATTGTACATCTAGTAGGATAGATACGTGTATGGGTGTGTGTACTATTTTGTGACAAATAACAGGCAAGCTGCTGCTGCTGTGGTGAATGAATGGGAAAGGTAAACTGAGGGGTGCTTACTTTCCCTATGCATTGCAATCATTATTAAGCTTTAATCGAGTCAAACGACTCGTGTGTTTCACCCAAAACAACAATCTTCAGTTTATAAGATCTGACTTAGAACCGGGATGAGAACAGAGACATAGAAGTTTGTATCTGTAGTTATTTAAGTGGTAACCCATCACTTGGGAAGCTTTTGTTCATTGCAAAAAGTTTGTTTTAATGAGTCCATATAATACACAGAAATTTCCATAATTTACCAAATGATTTATAATTTAAACTGCATCTGTATATCCTTTGAGATGATCTATTAAAATGAATGAATAGCTCAAGTTATGTTTAAGGCATAGGTCATAAGTTTATTTAAGAATTAGTCATAAGAGTATTTATTAGGAGGGATGGTATTTGACTCAAATACTTTGAAAACCTAGAAGTCATAGAAGAAAGATAAAGTGATTTTAAAAGGTATTTGGGGGAGAAAAGCATCTGCATATAAAGTCTTCTCTCTCTCTCTCTTTTTTTCTTTGGTAGAAACAGGGTCTTGCCATGTTGCCCAGGCTGGTCTTGAACTCCTGGGCTCAAGCAATCCTCCAGCCTCCGCCTCCCAAAGTGTGGGGGTTATAGGCACGAGCCACCATGCCCAGCCTACATATAACTCTTGGGTACAGGTATACCTCCTTTTATTGCACTTTGCTTTATTTTGCTTTGTAGATATTGTAAGTTTTTTCCTAAATTGAAGGTTTGTGTCAACCGTGCTTCAAGCAATTCTCTCAGCACCGTTTTTTCCAACAGCTTGTGCTAACTTTGTGTCTCTGTGCCACATTTTGGTATGTCTCACAATATTTCACATGTTTTCACTATTATATTTATTATGGTGATCTGTGATCAATGATCTTTGAGGTTACTATTATAATTGTTTTGAGATGCCACGGACTATGCCCATATGAGATGGTGAACTTAATTGGTAAATGGTATGTGTTCTGACTGTTCCCCCACCAGCCATTCATCTCCCTCTCTCTGTCTGTCTTTCTTCCAGCCTCCCTATTGCCTGACTCACAACAATATTGACATTGACTTAGAGGCCTACAAAGGCCTCTAAGTGTTCAAGTGAGAGGAGGGGCTGCATGTCTCTCACTTTTTGTCAAAAGCTAGAAATGGGCAGGCATGGCGGCACACGCCTGTAATCTAGCAATTTGTGAGGCTGAGGTGGGTGGATTGCTTGACCTCAGGAGTTCAAGACTAGCCTGGGCAACATGGTGAAACCCTGCCTCTACAAAAATACAAAAGATTATCCAGGTGTGGTGGTGCGTACCTGTAGACCTAGCTACCAGGGAGGCTGAAGTGGGAGGATTGCTTGAGTCCAAGGGGCGGAGGTTGCAGTGAGCTGAGATCACACTACTGCACTCCAGCCTGGGTGGCAGAGTAAGACCCTGTCTCTAGAAATGATTAAGCTTAGTAAGGAAGGCGTGTCAAAAGCCAAGGCAGGCTGAAAGCTGGGTCTCTTGTACCATTGGTCATGTTGTGAATGCAAAAGAGGTTATTGAGGGAAATTAAAAGTGCTACTCCAGTGAACACACAAATGATAAGAAAGTGAAACAGCCTTATTGCTGATATGAAGAAAGTTTGAGTGGTCTAGATAGAGTTAGCCAGGTGTGGTGGTGTGTACCCATAGACCTAGCTACTAGGGATGCTGAAGTGGGAGGATTGCTTGAGCCCAGGGTGCAAAGGTTGCAGTGAGCTGAGATCACACCACTGCACTCCAGCCTGAGCGACAGAGTAAGACCCTGTCTCTAGAAATGATTAAGCTTAGTAAGGAAGGCATGTCAAAAGCCGGCAGGCTGAAAGCTGGGTCTCTTATACCGTTGGGTCATGTTGTGAATGCAAAAGAGAAGTTATTGAGGGAAATTAAAAGTGCTACTCCAATGAACACACAAATGATAAGAAAGTGAAACAACCTTATTGCTGATATGAAGAAAGTTTGAGTGGTCTAGATAGACGATCAAACCAACCATAACATTCTCTTAAGCTAAAGTCTAATCCAGAGCAAAGCCCTAACTCTGTTCAATTCTGTGAAGGCTGAGAGAGATGAGCAAGCTGCAGAAGAAAAGTTTGAAGCTAGCAGAGGTTGATTCATGAGGTTTAAGGAAAGAAGCCATCTCCATAACATAAAAGTGCAGGGTGAAGCAGCAAATGCTGATGAAGAAATTGCAGCAATTATCCAGAAGGTCTAAGACCATCGATGAAGGCGCCTATGCTAAACAACAGATTTTCAATATAGATGAAACAGCCTTCTATTGAGAGAAGATGCCATCTCGGACTTTTGTTTAAATGGCAACAAAGGATTTTGAGTATTACATAAACTTAGTTGCTAAGGCAGCCAGCAGGGTTTGAGAGGATTGACTCCAATTTGAAAAGCAGTTCTGTTGTGGGTAAAATGCTCATGCTACAGAGAATCTTTTGTGGAAGGAAGAATCAACCAATACAGCAAACTTTATTGCTGCCTTCCTTGAAGAAATTGCCATGGGCATCCCAACCTTCACCAACCACCACCTTGATCAGGCAGCAACCATCAACATTGGAGTCAAGACCTTTCACCAGCAAAAAAAAATTACGACTCCCTGAAGTCTCAGACGATCGTTAGCATTTTGTAGCAATAAAGTATTTTAAAATCAAGGTATGTACACTTTTTCAGACATGATACTATTGCATACTTAAGAGACCACAGCATAAAAATAACTTTTAGATGCACTGGGAAACCAAACAATTTGTGTGACTCATTTTATTGTGCTATTTGCTTTATTGCACTTTTTCCCTTATTGCAGTAGACTTTGTCATGTGAAATAATTAACTCTCTGGCTTATATTATAAATTCTATGTTAGTGATGTTTAGGAATGTACTTACTATAGAATATACTGTTATAAGAGTAGAGAAATAACAATACCTTGCTTAATAAACTATTAAGGTGAACTTATTTTACATTTTTACTTCTCAGTGAGAATACATCTGATAATTTAGGGAATTTAGTGATTATGTAAAAGCATTTTATTGTTTTTTCCTTAGTAGTGCATTTTTTAAAAAGACATGTTTTACATTGTTGGTATCTTGGATTCCAGAAAATATAGAAATCTTCTTTTAAATAGACTTACCGATAAATGATACTAATGATAACACATAGGAAGATACTAGAACCTCTATCAATAGTCAAAATATCAAGCCAAAGATATTAGTTACAGAGTACTGTGACATTTTCAACACTATTATCAATTTTGTTCCTCTCTTTTATGATTGAGTGATACTCCATCTAAAAATGGGGGAAGACATTAATCCTCATTATCTAGACTTAAATGAAAGTCTTGACAAGTTCCAACATATTTTTTCTATAAGATTTTTAGAAAAATAAATTGGTACATCTTTCAAGATATTACACAGAGCTCTGTTAATAACCTGAGGATGGTTTTCTGAAGATGATATTGTTAGCTTGGAACAATATTGCCTTTTATTTAGTAAACAATGAAAAACATACAAAGGATATTGATACATGACATCAGTATGGGAGAAATTGATGGCATCAAGAGAATAAAAGAATCTATGGAAATTCGCTGCAGAAGGGTTGGTAAAAAATCTAACTATATGGTATGTTGAACTCTATAGTTGTTTACATAAAGAATTTGGACTGGACACTGACCCAGCAGGAAAAAATAATCTGGTCAGTACACTTATTTATGTCAAGGATATGTTGATCTTGTAAGAGTTAACATTACTTTGGGGGCATATAAATATTGAGAAATCATTCTAATATTACACTGTGGAGAAATTCAGTGAAAATGGTTAAAAAAAGAGACTTCAGGAAAATTAAAATAAGTTGAAATTGTTTGATTTGGACAGAAGAATCAAAAGATTAGGAGTTACAAGGAGAAGAGGCACAGCTGTTCTCTATTTCTGTGAAAACAGAGTAAAAATAAATGCATATTCATGAGAATGGAAAATATGCAGGTTGGTTATTGGAACAGTACCAGAAAGAAGAAGGGGCATCTTACCTTGGAAATTTTGAATGCAATATATAATTGCATCTGATAAAAACTGTATGTACTCATTCGATACGTATGCATTGAATGTCTTCCATAGAAAAGCCTAATATTAAGTGTTGATTCCTGTTTGAATATAAGAAACTAAACCAGGGACTTGATAGAAGGTGTCCATCATAGTTCTGTGACTTTTATGAACATAGTGGGCTAAGTGAGACTTCTTGAGAAATGGAAAATCAATTTCATACCCTTTCAGTAGGTAATATACCAAGATGTTTCTATATATTTATATATATATGTTTATGTATATTTACATATATATTTTTATATATATATATAGAGAGAGAGAGACATGAATAGAATGGCTCTATAGAGTTAGTCACCCTTTGGTATCAATTAAGCTGCCCATATCTAAATGTCTTTTGACCATTCCTTAAGAAATGTCAAGAGAAATAAGAGAAAGTTAGTAATGCTGCTCATATTTTCTTTGTCATTATTTACAGTGTATTATGCATACAGTGTAATCCATCAGCCAACTTTAATTTCGTAAGCTATTCATTGTGTTTAAACAGCGCCTTTCTTATATTAAATATTTATGGCAGTCTTTGGGAAGAATACATTAAAATAGCAGATGGGGGTCGTTTTAAACATTTCCTTGATTGAAGGCAGGGGACCCCCTTGTGAATTTATAGTCTGCTTTCAAAGAAAGTTCACAATGTCTGATAACCCAAGGAGGCAAGAATTCCACCAATTCCCAGCACTGTGATTTCAAAAAGCAATGGCTGCAAACAGTCTTCATGCTTCAGCACCTCCTATTTTGAAACTGTTAGCAAGAGCAGTGAAGAACGGTGAACAAAACCGTTTACAGTTGTATTGCCTATTAATAATGCAATAGGAGTACACCTCTTTTGCATTAATATTACTTTTTAATCGATTTTTAACCATAGTAGCAAAAATAAGTGGAAAGTCAAACCTTTGACCTGCGGTGGACAGGAAGATGTATCCTAGACTCTGGAATTCTGATTCTGGAATTTAAAAGATGTTTGGGGAATTATGTCCTAGGAAACGTTTTCTAAAACAGGAATGTGCTTTTTTGCTTTATATTTTCTATTTGCCTTGGTAACTAAGAAGTCTGAATCCAGGAATAATGTTTTTTTTTCCCCCAAAGTAGTCTCTTCTCCTGGTTTAAGCTTATAAACACTATACATCTTTAATTATATTATTTTCTTTAGTAGTTATCTTGACCTTTAGGAGTGTTACTGAATATAAAAATTATTCTATCAGTTTTTATTAAAATCTTAGATTATTAGACTGTATAATTTGACTTCATTATCATTTGATAATTGAGATGTTTCTTAAACAGTCTTACTCTGTTTTTTCTAAGCAAACAGCTTGCATTTGATGCAAAAGGGAAATGTTTTGTCTCTGAAAAATCTTATGTAGCTTTAACCAACTATTTCATTAATGTTTGGTGAGAGCTCTGATAGTTTCAGGCCAGGGAAACTATGACTCTTGTAGTACTTAAGACACTTGCCAATCAATAGTAACCATCCTCAGCTGATGGAGTGATCGTTTTACAATCACATAGAATGTAAAGGTATCATGGAAGGGGGAAGGTGCCACGGGCAGGCTGGTAATATCAGAGTCTCTTTAAACTTATATTTTGCAAGTAATTGTTCAATAGTTCTTCATGGGATGTGAAGAAACTAGTTTTCTAGTGGTAAAAATTGTATACCTTTGTTTTTAAAAATGTTTTATTATGTGCAGTGATTGTAATATCACATTTAAACATAGCCCAGGAGTTTTTCACAGATGTGCTCTCAAGGATCTGTGAATCACCTGAAATATCAAACCCATGTTGTATGTAGCTTGTTTTTGGAAGGGTATCCTTAGCTTCCATCAGTATCAAAGGGGATCTCTAATCCCAAAACCTTAAGCTGATCTGATCTAAGATCTTTATTTTCTAGATGAAGAATCTGAGATCTGACAAAATCAAGTGACTAATTTAAAGTAAGACAGTATTGAAAGAACTACAATTAAAATCGTTTATTCTACTGGAGATTGTCCATGAGGTTTACAATATTCTTTTTTTTTTTTTTTTTTTTCATTTTTGTTAGAGACAGGATCTTGCTATGTTGCCCAGGCTGGCCTTGAACTCCTAGCCTCAAACCATCCTCCCACCTTAGCCTCCTGAGCTGCTGGGATTATAGACATGAGCCACTGTGTCCAGTTCTCCAGTATTCTTTTATAAGTTAGATGTTAATACTGTAGAATTGAAAAAAATTATGAACCTTTTTCATACACAAATCTATTCAACTCAAAATACTTACGAAGTCGAGTCCTGGATTCATAATATCTCAGCATATTGTTTTGAGTTCCATCTGAGCTTGAGGATGATATCTATAAAGCCAGCCAATATTAATTACATCTTCAAGTGAAAGTACATTACCCGCCTCCCTGCAGTTTTAACCCTATACAGTGGAAGTGTAGCCTTTCCTTCTTCCAGGAATTGTTAGCATAAATCCTGACAGTTCCAGACAGTATGGAAGGATCCCAGTAGATAGGGAAAAGATCCCCACTCGAAGGTCCAAGCCTAGTGGGATACCTTTCCTGGGCACATGGTGCCAAGAGATGACTTAAATATCTACAACCACTTGTCAGCTCAGTTTTTTTGGGGACTACTCCAGGTCTTCCCTGGGGAAGGGACACATATTCTTCCTGGTAATAAAGATTAACCTTGGGGGCAAGGATAGCATTTTCCTCTGCAGCACAACGTAGGAGTAAATGGAAGGGAAAACCCAGGAAAGCAGAGGTGTTCCCTCACAGAGGCAGTGGTAGAAAAAGTAAGGTAGAAAAAAGCAGTAAGACAGGGATGTTTGGACAAGGCACTCATTCATAAGAAAGGAATGATAGCAGATTGGATGTTTTTTGTTTATGCCTTATGTATTTGACGTTACTGCCAGTGATTTTTGCCTTACATCTGACCTTTTTTAACGTTCAAAAGTGTCAAAATAGATTTTGTTGTTGTTGCAGTTTTGTAATGGGCGGGTGTATTATTATCAGGATGGAGGCTGATTTATTCTTTTAATTTTATTTTTTGCTGGCTGACACCTGAAGATCTACTAGCTCTCTGCCTCTACGGTCAAAGTGTGTTCTTCCCCACTGACAGTTGGGCTGCTGATGGCTCCTTTTAATTCCCATCAGCTGAGGGCTGACTCAGTCAACATCTTCTCCCCATCCTGGACCCCAAAGAATACAAGGAAAAAAGGCTCAGAGACTTAGCACATTATTTTTGTTTTAAGATGTCAGCACCTGATGTATTATTTTAGTGCTTGTTTAAATATTCTGAAACTGTGTTTTCTTTTTTCCTTTAATTTAAATTTGTCTTCATAAAGTTGGCTTACAAGAACATTTCTTTATCAAGTTTATCTGGATTTTCTGGGTCAAAAGTATAAGTGATTTCTGGACTTTTCTTGACAAAAAGTACCAAGAAAAGCTGCATTAAAACAACAAATCTAATTTTAAAAACACTTAGTGAGCTAAAACGCAGACTCAAACCAAACTAATGAAAGCTATTTAAGAGAAGTCAGTTGAAGTAGTTTCCAGAATTTATTTCATTGTTTTTTCAACTCTTTGTTAACACCATAAACGTGAATTAAAAAAAAAAAAATTAACTTGTTTTTGAACTCTATAAAAAGTATTTTTTTTTCTTTTAATTAACTTCATTGTTTTTTAAAGCCCTGCCAAGCTCTATTTCTGTGCTTGGGTAGTTCCCATTTGCAAATAGGGCAATTTCTGCATATAGGTCTGAACAGGCTATGCCACAATTATCCTTTTTATTGTAACTTTACTGTCAAAGAAGTAGTTTTTGTCTCCAAATGGAAATTCCAGAGTAATTCAAATGCCTTAGTAAACATAATGTCATTTCGTATTTCCAAAGGCAATGGCCGCTGGTCCAGTAAACAAAACCCATGTCGAAACCTGGAGTGGACCCACATCCCCTCATTGTTACTTTAGTATCTTTCATAATAATGACAGTTGCTAGGATTTGTTTTTTACCAAGTGCCAGGAAGAGTGGGAAGTGTTTATATGGATTATCTCATTTAATGTTTACATTAACTTTATGAGGTACAGGTATTATGTGTATTTTTTTTTTTTTTTGAGACAAGAGTCTCGCTCTGTTGCCCAGGCTGGAGTACAGTGACATGATCTCAGCTCACTGCAGCCTCTGCCTCCCAAGTTCAAGCAATTCTGCTGCCTCAGCCTCCCGAGTAGCTGGAACTACAGGCACCTGCCACCGCGCCCGGCTAATTTTTGTATTTTTAGTAGAGACGGGGTTTCACCATGTTGGCCAAGATGGTCTCGATCTCCTGACCTCATGATCCGCCCGCCTCGGCCTCCCAAAATGCTGGGATTACAGGCGTGAGCCACCGCGCCCGGCTGCGTATCTTAATCTCATAGACCAGGAAACCTAAGCTCAGAGACCAGTAATTAAGCTGCCTTGGCTACCTAGCTAGTAAACAGTAGAACCAGAATTCTAACCCAGACTGACTAAAGCTTAGCCTAACTGCATCACTGTTTTATACTGACATATGGGATGTACATTTAATGATATATATGCAATAGTTTTCTAGTTATAATTCATCTTTAAAGTCACTTGAGCTTGGAAAAGTTGCTACATATCATAATTGGCCTCGTGCCAGACACCAGGCCCTGTGCTATGTTCTCTACTGGTAAATTTGCTGTCATTGAATGGTAAGAATCCAGTGTCACCATACAATTTTACAAATAAGACATAGGAGATATTAATGTCCTCATCGTCATTGCCTGGTAAGAGGCAGAGTCAGGGGAGTTTCGCTACTAACAAAACTATTCTCCTGGTGCTGAATAAGAACTACTTGAACAAGCTACACAAAAGGATTAAAGCGCAATTAAGTTCTTTCCAAAAATGTGTGGTGGCATTTGTCTCCGTGGCATGTGATTATCTTTAGAACACATTCTAAAGATGATTTCCAACTCACAGTAATATTGGGAAAAAAAATTTGGAAAACATTTGCCCTTCCTAAAAGGTGAAACATTTGAAGTATTTTCCTTTCTGCCTCATGCCTTTCCTTCCTTTAGCAAACATTAATTGAGAACTTATTATGTGCTGTAGTCACTGTGCTGTTTGTACCTAAATGAATAAAACACAGCTCCTTACCCGAAAGAACCTGAAAATATTTTTCGAGCAACTGTCATTTCGTGCTTGCTTTGAAGTTTATGAATTAAGGAGTAGAAATTCAGAAACTCTTCAGTCGATTGATTTTACAGTATAGGTTATCTTCATATATTTAATACACATCTCAAATGTCAAGTTCTTTCTCTCTGCGTTAGTGCCCACACAGAACCATAAAATCTTGCCTTTGTATCATATGCTTATCTCTCCCAGTTCTTTATTTCTTTCAACCGTAGTGGTAAATCTATATATCATGGTGACACATTAATCATTTCTAAGCTATTTTTAAGAAACTGGAGTCTGTATTCCTTTTTGGGATCAATAATTGGGATAAATGAAATAATAGTGTGAGAACAAAATTTAAGGAGGAGATTTTAAAAGTTTCTCTGAAAGTCTAAAATTATTTTCTTTCTTGTTTTAAGGATTTTGATAACTAAATATATATAAGTTGTTGTTGTGTTCTCTTATGAACCCACCGAGTGTTTCTCAAAGTTGGAGTGTCAGGATCACTGGGGCACACAGTTTTGGACACCATGCTGGACCTACCTAATTAGAATCGTGTCCACCCACGTTCCCATTTGAAGTTGTAACATACTTTATTGGCAATTCTGAAGCACAGTAGCACTTCAGACCCATTTTTCCTATCGATTTTATTTATATATAAGCATAAACAGAAGAAACTTTGGTGTGGGTAAAAAAGAAACTACAAAGGGATTCCTGCTGACTCATGAGCCCTAAGCCTCCTTAGATTTCTGTTAATTGAGTTGAGACAATGCCCTTTCCCAAAACCTCTTTCCTTAACAGAAGGGAATTTCTACAATGGTTCTAAACTAGGATGGCGCCAGAGTCCCCTAACACCAAATTCCAGAGTCCTAAAAACTTTCCGTTTTTAGAGAATATGATTTCCTTGCCAACACCAAAAATGTTTCCCTAAAGAAAAATGAGGGAGAGGATATTATCTACCTAGTTCCAAAGAGAACCTTTTTACTGATGAAATCATATAAGCCTCATAGAACCCTCCTAGGGGAACCCAGCAAACAATATTAGCTTTTATTATATGTTTGCTATGGAGCCAAGGACCTGTACTAGATGTTTTTTGTGTTATTGAATTTGATTGTTATTGTATTTAGTAGCCTACTGAGATAGTTATTATTTATCCTCAGGTCAATTAAGTAACTTGTCCAGACATTGAGTTAATCAATGAAGGAGCCAGGAATCAAACCCTGGTTGGCAGAATTTCAAAACTGTCTTCCCAAGGAGAGAAAAAATGGAATATAGTGCTTCCCCCTCTGAATCACAAAAACTCCATCTCAGGAAGCCACCATTAGCAGTGTAGCATGAAGGAAAAGGAGTTTCTTCAGCCATCGTAAAGAAAGAGAATCATCTCCTTTCTGAATTTAAGTATTTACCTTACCCATGAGAAAACAATACCCTTTGCTTCAGGGCAATAAGATAATTGTTTTGGTTTCAAAGGTCTTTCCTTCTGGCTCCTACTGGATTAAAATAAACAAAGGTGATGTTTATGTCAACAATGTTATTTAGCCAAATAGGTGGCACTGTCAGTGTGAAAGCTAGATGGTAGTTGACTCTAAGAAAGGGATGAGATAGTTATTAACTAAAAGGAGAGACTCAAAATTAAGAATGCCTCTGCAACTGCAACTTTAGCACATTTGCCTGAATGTTATAATGTATTCACTGTAAAGTCTAGAAACCTTATAAATATATGACTGGCAGTTGCCTCAGGCAGAAATCTTTTACTGATGCAATGAGATAAAAGTAATTAAGCTACATGTAGACTGATGGGTAATTAAATCCATGTGAAGCATTTTGTAACTAATTGCTATGTTCTAATCACAGATTGCTTTCTATTTGTCAAGGTAAGTGTATATAATTACACCGTCCTTATTTTCTTTAATCTGAAATCATCCTAGTTGGGTGAATGTTTTTAAGCACCCTGAATCTTAGAATATTTGGTACATTTCTTGCATAAAGGTAATTTGCATATTTTGTAATTTAAGGACGTTTTATAGTAAAATAGCTTTTAGTGTCACTAAGAATTCTGTGGTCAATAGAGATTTCTAATCTAGGCTCATTGTTCATTGTTTAATCTTTTTTTTTTTTTTAAATAGTAAAAGGTTATGTTATTTACTAATGCCGGTAACATTCAAGGCATTATATATATATGGACTGTGGTCCTTATCACAGTAGTTAGAAAAGACCAAGGATCAGTAAAGGGATTCAAAATAGATTTCGATTGACACAGGTTGTAAAACAAATAAACAGCTTTGAGGGCTCAAGAGTCTCAGATTGAGAGAGCAATATGATTGAAGGCATGGCTGGATCTCCTTGACGGGTTATAGCTGGTAAGACAAGGGCATTTCTAGAATCAGGGGACTAGAGTGGATTTCATCTACTCTAAGTGGAAGTAGAAATGTGGATGTAGACATCCATTTAAAGCCAAGTTTTCAAATACAAGTCACCTTTGCTGCTTGGTGACACTAGACAGTGCTACAGATGTCTTATTCATCTTTGTGCTTTTAGCATGGTGCCCAGCACCTGGAGCTCACTCAGGTAATATTTGTGTTATTGCCATGAGTAACATGTAGACCAATAATGAATCAACAGATCATTTTCTGCAGATTATCATCATTTGTGGCCTTCTGTTTCTCATTTTCTTAGTTGTGTAGTCTGTTTTCTGACCTTCAGGGCATATTATAAAGTCACTGCATTAACAAAAAAAAAGTCCTAGGTAGGCATGGTGGTTCATGCCTATAATCCCAGCACTTTGGGAGGCTGAGACAGAAGGAACACTTGAGCCCAGGAGTTCAAGACCAGGCATGGCAACGTAGTGACACCCCATCTCTACAAAAACTGAAAAAAAATTAGCTGGACATAGTGGGATGCCCCTGTAGTCCCAGCTACTCGGGAGGCTGAGGCAGGAGGATACTTGAGCCTGGGAGGTCAAAGCTCTGCAGTGAACTATGATCACGCCACTGTACTCCAGCCTGTGCAAGAGAGAGAGAGACCTTGTCGCAAAGAAACAAAGCAAAACCCTGTACTTAATTACTTAATTCCGCCTTATACATTTTTTTTTTTTTTTTTGAGTTGAAGTCTCTGTCACCCAGGCCGGAGTTCAATGGCGCAGTCTCGGCTCACTGCAACCTCTGGCTACTGGGTTCAAGCGATTCTCTTGCCTCAGCCTCCTGAGTATCTGGGACTACAGGCACGTGCCAACACACCCAGCTAATTTTTGTACTTTTAGTAGAGACGGGGTTACACCATGTTGGCCAGGCTAGTCTTGAACTCGTGACCTCAAGATCCGCCTGCCTTGGCCTCCCAAAGTGTTGGGATTACAGGTGTGAGCCACCATGCCTGGCCTGTACATACTTTTTATTACATCAAATGTTTCACATCATTTTTTATTGCTAATGACTTTTAATAGCTTTGTAATTTATAATGAACTTTTAGCCTTCTCTAAGTGGAAATTATTATGATAGGCATAGTTTACTAAGGCTGAATTGTAATATATTTCTTTGGAAACCAGATCCTTACTCCCTCATTCTTCTCATTTTTGTTGAGCAATTAAAGTTGCCCTGTATGGTGTGGAAAATTAGACTTTTTTTTTTTTTTGGAGACATACTTTCACTCTGTTGCCCAGGCTAGAGTGCTGTGGTGCAGTCTTGGCTCACTGTAACCTCTGCCTTCTGGGTTCAAGAGATTCTTGCGCCTCAAGCCTCCTGAGTAGCTGGGCTTATAGGCATGCACCTCCACACGCAGCTAATTTTTGTACTTTTAGTAGAGACAGGGTTTTGCCATATTGGCCAGACTGGTCTCGAACTCCTGACCTCAAGTGATCCACCTGCCTCGGCCTCCCAAAGTGTTGGGATTACAGGTATGAGCCACCATGCCCGGCCAAAATTAGACTTTTTTAAAAAATAGAAACAGGATCTTGCTACATAGCCCAGGCTGGTCTACAACTCCTGCGCTCAAGCGATCCTCCCCCTTTGGCCTCCCGAAGAGCTAGGATTACAGGCATATGGATTCCTCTTCTGCTCACTGCACACCAGACCTGCTTCCCCACACTCTTGGTGTAAGAGTGCCAGCCTGCCAGCCATCAGATTTTTTCTTTCCTCGGAGACAAATGTTATGTTGATTTCTTCACACTGCTGCACCTTGTCCCATAGCTTCTCCTTTGTATTAGTGTAGATATATAATAATGAATAGAAATGTAATGCATTTTATCTTTACTGTATCTAACTTTAACACCTCAAAAACATAGAATAATTATTCTTTTCTAATGCCTGCTGACAATATTATCTTCACATCTTTCTGTTTGTGGTTATGCCGACCTATCTTATAAATTTATTTAACTTAAAGCTTTTCTGTACATTTTTTTAAAAAAATTCTGTGTCACAGTGTCTCATAATTTTTTTTTTTTTTTTTTTTTTTTTTTGAGACGGAGTCTCGCTCTGTCGCCCAGGCTGGAGTGCAGTGGCGGGATCTCGGCTCACTGCAAGCTCCGCCTCCCGGGTTCACGCCATTCTCCTGCCTCAGCCTCCCAAGTAGCTGGGACTACAGGCGCCCGCCACTACGCCCGGCTAATTTTTTGTATTTTTAGTAGAGACGGGGTTTCACCGTTTTAGCCGGGATGGTCTCGATCTCCTGACCTCGTGATCCGCCCGCCTCGGCCTCCCAAAGTGCTGGGATTACAGGCGTGAGCCACCGCGCCCGGCCCATTTTTTTTTTTATATATCCCTTGGGGAACTTCACATGGGGCTTGGTGACAACTACTTACTAAATACCACTTGCTGATGACAATGGCAGTACTATGACACGCTTCAGGATGTGGTCTTTGAGTTTCTAATTGCAAATACAGGCATTATCTTTTTTATGTAGTGTGTGAGGCTTCTTATTTAAAGAAAAATGTGTTCATTTGATGGATTTTTAAAAATAGGTGATAATTTTAGAAGCACCATAACAGTAGCCACTTTAAATCAGGAAACTTTGACTCCGTGCTGAGGAAATAGGTTCTTGATTTACATTAGACAAAGAGTATGTTGGCCCTGCCTTACTTAAATTTCACCTGAAGCTCCTAGAGTCTGTTGGTTACCAGAGGTTTCACGTATTCTGAGTCCTTTGCCCTGATAACCCGTACTCTGCCTTCATTTTCTTCCTTGTTTGCTTTTATTGTATAAAAATCCCAGAGTTACAGAAGTGTTACAAAAACAGTAATAAGAGTACATTTACCCTTCTTCAAGTGTTTTTTTTCTCTCTTTCTTTTCTTTTTTTTAAAGACAGTGTTTCACTCTGTCCCCCAGGTGGGAGTGTAGTAGCACAGTCACAGCTCACTGCAGCCTTGACCTCCCTGGCTCAAGCCATCCTCCTACTTCAGCTCCTGGGCTGGGACTACAGGTGTGTACCACCACACCCAGCTAATTTATTTGTATTTTTTGTAGAAATGGGGTTTCGCCATGTTGCCCAGGCTGGTCTCAAACCAACTGGGATCAAGTGATCATCCCTCCTTGGCCTCCCAAAGTGCTGGAATTACAGGCATGAGCCACCACACCTGGCTTTAAATGTTTCTATTTTAACATGACATTATATAACTATCAATACCAGAAACTTAACGTTGGTAAAATACTATTATGTAATCTGCAGACCCTATCCAAATTTCACCCATTGTTTCACTAACTTTCTTTTTCTGGTCCCAGGTCCATCTAGGATCCCACATTACATGTGGTTACCAAGTCTCCTCAGTCTCTTCACTTCCAATCTGGGCCAGGTCTCCTGTCTTTGTCTTTTATAACCGTAATATTTTTGAAATGTGCTGGTCAATTATTTTATAGCACCTCTCTCACTTTAAGTTTGTCTGGTATTTCCATGTGATTAAATTCAGGTTATGCATTTTTGGCAAGAGTACCACTGAAGTGATTGATACGCACTTTTCAGAGCATCAAGGTACATGATGTTAAGATTCTCATTACTGGTGGGTTTGATTTTTATTACATAGTTAAGGTGATGCAAA
The DNA here is from genome assembly GCF_000001405.40 of Homo sapiens. Taxonomy (NCBI): domain Eukaryota; kingdom Metazoa; phylum Chordata; class Mammalia; order Primates; family Hominidae; genus Homo; species Homo sapiens. The sequence goes on from NC_000006.12 coordinate 20,937,841, forward strand.
ATTTCTCCACTGTGAGGTGGTTTTTTTTTTTTTTCATTTTAATTAATAAGTGTCTTATGGGGGAAATGCTTAAAAACTGTAAATATCTTCCTTCTGCCCACTAAGTTTAGCATCCATGGATGATCCTTGCCTCTGACAATTATTACTTGTGGTGTTTGCCAGATGTTGATTTTCCTATCTTACCTTTTACATTCAGTAATTAAAATTATATTATATGGAAGACCTCTGCTTTTTCCTCCATTTATTTTTTGAAATACCTTTTCTGTTTTGGACTCATGGATATTTATTTTGTTCTATACTTTAAATTCTACTACTGTCATTATTTATTCTGTTGATCAGATTGTCCCAGATTGGCCATTGAGAGCTTCTTCAGTTTGACTCCTTTGTTCTCTTGATTTGCCCTCATAATTTTTTTTAGTACTTTCTTACTGTCTGGCACCAGAAAGTGTTTTAGGCTTACTTTGTACTTTCTGTAACTCAAATCCTGGAATCACCCATTTCTCTAAGCAATTCTTATACTTTATGTTGGGAGAACAGAGTTTTGAAAATAAGATATGATCGCTAGTTGTGTTCATTGCTTCCGGGGTATCATCTTCTAACTTGATCTTTTAAATTTCGAGTTTGTGGAGTTCTCTTGGAACTGATAGATAGCCAGTGCACTTCTATGTAGACTGATGGTCTTCAAATGATTCTCTAGTAAAATTCTCCTTTTTTTCCTATTAAAATGAAATAATATTTTTTTCTCGTTTTAAAGGGAAAATGGATTAAGTTAATTGATAGAATCATCTCAATTTTCTGTATTTCTCAGGAAACCTTTTCTTCCCATTTTTGTGGCTATTCTCCATTTGTGTGGATATATAAAAGATGATAAATTAGTGCGTAAGTAGGAAACATTAACAGAAGCTCAATTTATTATTTTTACAACCTTTTTTTTTCTGTTGAATATATATAGGTATTTTCTGATTGTGTACTTTCTACTCCAATGGGAATGAGCATTTATGCTTTGTTTTCTGTTTGAAATACTGTGAAAACTTGAATACTTTCTTATGTTCTTTTCTTTGTAAGCAAATCTGAGAACTGCACCTGTAGGCTCCTTCTTCCTTTCATGTTGTCATCTCAATGTCCCCTCCTCCTTTTCCTCCTTCCCCAACCCTTCATGCTTCCCTTTCTTCCTGTCTTCTTATTAATTTCTTCATTCAGTCAATAAATAAATATTCACTAGATGCTTAATATGTTCTCAGTCACTGTCCTATTACAAGAGTTAGTTCAGTGAACAAAACAGAGAATTGCAGTCTTATTGTAGCTTTCGTTCTATTTGGGGGTGGGGTGGAGAGGCAATACACAGTAAACATAATTAGAAGTAAATTATATAGTATGTTAGAGGTACTTCTCTCCACTTTTTTCTGTCTGTTCCTTCCTCCTGCTGCATTTACTAATTTCTCTCCATTGGTCACTGTTGGAGATCTTTAAAATAAATAATGAATGAAAGAGAACCTTTCTAGGACCTCAGCTTAATCCTTAACCAGCTGAAGCCACAGGAAATAACAAAAAAGAACTGGGGAGTTAGAGAATACAGAATGAAAATGTATTTCACAAGAGTTTTGTAGAATATTTAAGTGAACTCAAGTTTGAAATATCAAAATGGTTTTTCCTAGAAGAGATTTGGCAGACTTAATAGAGGTAATAAAGCATTTTTAAAACTTAACCAGGGCACTTATGAAAGATAACAAAGTAATTTTGCTGTATTTGGCTAAGCTTGGGCCAGTGCAATTACTATAAGTACTCTATTTTCTTTTTAAATCCTTGTAAGTAAATGCCACAGTAATATATTGGCTGCAGAGGAGACAAAGGTGGAGAGTTTCTCTGTAAAGGTTTTATGGAGGGGGGATTGAGAGATGGTGTTTTTATCAAGTTAACAGGAGTGCTTTGGTAATGATAATTCATTTTTTCCTAAACAAGAAAAGTTGTATAGATCACACCTGGAAATGAGGAGCTTTTAAAAATATTTCTATTCCACCCATGTATGGCAAATTACATATCTTACCTATTTTCTGTGTTTCTTCATTTATAACTTATAAATAATGGTTTACAGTTAGAAGCAATTTGTAGATAGAAATGCTATTTGCAGTAAGAACTACTAAATATTTATTTTAATAGTGAGAATTAAGGACTCAAAACTTTGAAGTATAGTTTTAAATACAATAGTCTCTATTTTGTAAACACTGTGAAGTGTATAAAATGTGTATGTCCAAGATAACTTAAAGATAATACACAAAATGATTGTTGTACAGTTGCATTTGTGAATGCCACTTTTTAATTTATTAACTATGTAATATAATGTTTTGAATTTTAATAAAATATGTCAATACAATCAAGAAATATACATAAATGAAGCACAAAATCTTATATCTATCAATCATATCACTTCACTGTGAAGAATTTTCAGTTTCTGTTGATTAATTAGGAGAAAGTATAATTTATTAATATATTTCTATTATGTGAATTAAAATTCATGTTAATTCTTTTAGTTCTTCATTGTAGGCAGTTCTATACCTTATAACAGTGCTGCCCAGTAGAAATATATGAGCCATATGTATAATTTAAAATGTTCTAGTAGCCGCATTAAAAAAGCAAAAAGATACAGGTTAAGTATATTTTAATCAGATACTTTAACTCGTTATATCCAAAATGCTAATTTCAATTTGTAATCAATTTCTTTTGGCGGGGAGCGGGAGATGGAGCCTCTCTCTTTTGCCCAGGCTGGAGTGCAAAATGGCTCAATCATAGCTTACAACAGCCTTGAACTCCTGCCTCAACCATGCAAGTAGCTAGGACTACAGGCATGTACCACTGTGCCCAGCTCAGTTGTAAAAATTATTTTAAAATCTTAATAAGATAGTTTACATTCTTTTTTCATACTAAGTAGTTGAAATCAGATGTGTACCTTGGCACTTAAAGCACATTTTAGGGCCAGGCACTGTGGCTCACGCCTGTAATCCCAGCACTTTGAGAGGCCAAGGCGGGCAGATCACGAGGTCAGGAGATCAAGACCATCCTGGCTAACACAGTGAAACCGCGTCTCTACTAAAAATACAAAAAATTAGCCAGGCGTGGTGGTGGGCGCCTGTAGTCCCAGCTACTCGGGAGGCTGAGGCAGAATGCTGTGAACCCGGGAGGTGGAGCTTGCAGTGAGCCAAGAATGCGCCACTGCACTCTAGCCTGGGCGACAGACGGAGCAAGACTCCATCTCAAAAAGAAAAAAAAAAAAAAGCACATCTTAGTTCAAACCAACTGCATTTCAAGTGCTCATCAGCCACATATGGCTTGTGGTTTATTGGATAGTACAGGTTTTATTACTCTTAATGCATCTCATGTTATTTACACATTGTTTTGGTTTTCTTCAATCATTTCTTATTTCTAATGCTACTAAAGCTGGCTTTTGAGATTTTTGGTTGGTACTACTCATATCATAATTATAGTCAGCATTTTATAGGTCTTCTCCTTGAGTCACTAAATTGGCATTAAAAACAATTATGTTGGAGTTCCTTCTTGGAAATTAAGAGATTAATTCTAATCCATGCTGTGCTGCTGCTTATTGTATCACTTTGGGCAAGTCTGTTAACCTTTCTGTCACAGTCTCTATTTATAAAATGAAGTGGATAAAGAGTTTTGGCATTTCAAACTGGATAATTCTTATTTTAAAAAATTGTCTGTGTTTGTTATTCAAATACATTGATTGATTACACTCATATGCATTGTGTTACCCATAGTGCCAAAAAAGGTTTATCTACTAGGATCTATTTTTAGTGAACGATGGTGATAAGCCATGAAGAGGGAGAGAAGTATCCTTAACTGACTTTCAAGCACAGAATTATTAAAATCTTACATTATATCTGGGTACAAATTGGAGAGCCCTGAATTGGCACTTTGGGGCAAAGAAAAGGTGAGATCATTGAAGTTGTTGGTTTATTGTTTTCGTCAGTGCTAGCAACTAAGTATGTTTTACCTTTTTGTGAAAAGTTGAATTATTGGCGATAAGGAATTATCACTTTTTTTCCATGAGGTAGTTATTTCAAAATGACATTCTGCTTTTCCCCTTCGGCAAGAGGATAACTAACATACTATTTTAAAATACTGAATATTAGCTCTCTAGATTAGCCTCTCATAGCAGAATTTAATAATGATCATTGTACTTAATTAGCTTATAAGACAGCTTATGTTTAACACATGTAGACTTCATTTGTTGATTTAGCTCCTTTTAGATGTTTTATAAAATAGAAAAAAGATGGACTTTACCAAAATTACCACTTTGATTGATTGATGGTTGCCCTCAGGTTTAAATATATACCCTTAGCTTATCACAATCTACGTTCAAATAATATTTTACTACATCATTTATAGTGTAAGAACCTTGTAATTTTATATTTCCATTTCCTCTTCTTGTCCTTTGTGCTATTGTCAGTTTTTTGCATCAAGTGTAAACCCCAAAATATGTTATTATTTTTGCTTTAAATGTATATATATACTTTTTTTTTTTTTTTTTTGAGATGGAGTTTCGCTATTTTTGCCCAGGTTGGAGGGCAGTGGCGTGATCTCGGCTCACTGCAACCTTCCTCTCCTGGGTTCAAGCGATTCTCCTGCCGCAGCCTTCCAAGTAGCTGGGATTACAGTTGGGTGCCATCATGCCCAGCTAATTTTGTATTTTTAGTAGAGATGGGGTTTCTCCATCTTAGTCAGGCTGGTCTTGAGCTCCCAACCTCAGGTGATCTGCCTGCCTTGGCCTCCCAAAGTGCTGGGATTACAGGCGTGAGCCACCACGCCCAGCTGAACAATTATATTTTAATGGTGGCTCATGCCTGTAATGCCAGCACTTTGGGAGGCCAAGGCAGGCAGATCACAAGGTCAGAAGATCGAGACCATCCTGGCCAACATGGTGAAACCCCATCTCTACTAAAAATACAAAATTTAGCCAGGCATGGTGGCGTGTGCCTGTAATCCCAGCTACTTGGGAGGCTGAGGCAGGAGAATCGCTTGAACCAGGAAGTCAGAGGTTGCAATGAGTGGAGATCACGCCACTGCACTCCAGCCTGGTGACAGAGCAAGATTCTGTCTCAAAAAAAAAAAAAAAAGATTAAAAATTATATTTTATATATACCCACATGTTTGCCATTTCTGGTCCAATTCTTTTCTTTGTGTGTCATCTGGTACTCTGCTTTTTATCTAGTATTGTTTCTCTCCTGTTTAAAGATCTTTCTTTATTAGTCTTTGGAGTAGTGCTGGTATTGAGTTCACTCAGCTTTGTCTGAAAAGTCAACAAAAATCTAGGTTAAGAGTGTTTCAGTCTTTTGAGGTTATGTCTCCATTACACTCTGGCTTGCATCATTTCTGACAAGAAGTCGTCTGTCACTCTTTTCTTTGTTCTTGTATACAATATTGCTTCCAGCCCCCAGTTGCTTTTAAGATTTTCTCCTCATTACCTTGTTTTTTCAAAAAAAAAAAAAAAAGAAAAAGAAAAAAAGAAAAAAAAAGTAATTTGTTTGTGTACTTTGATGTGGCTTCTTTTGTTTATTCTGATGAAGGTTTATTGAATTTATTGAATCTGTGATTTATAGTTTTTGCCAAATTTGGGGTAAATTTAGCCATATTTTAGGGACTCTACTCATGTGTTAGTGTGCTTGGTGTGGTTCTGTTCTGTTCATTTTTATTATGAATGTTTTATTTCTCTTCGTTTCATTTTGGGTAGCTTCTGTTACTACTAGGTCTTCAAGTTCATCTCTAGAAGTTCCACTAGGTTCTTTTCAAATATCTTCTTTTGTTTTTTTTTTATCATGTTCATATTTTTTTAAACGCATAGACCACATGTACAATAGCTGGTTTTATGTCCTCGCCTGCTAATTCCATCATGTTTGTCATTTCTGACTGTGTTCCTATTGATTGATATTTTTTTTTTTCCCTCCTGGTCATAACCACACTGAGCCAGACTCAGTGGTGCATGCCTGTTGTCCCAGTACTCAGAAGGCTTAAGGCAGGAGGATTAAAAGTACGAACCCAGCCTGGGCAAAATAGTGAGGTTCTGTCTCCAAATATATAAATAAATAACCATAGTCAATAGTTTAGCCCACATCAGTACTCAGCCAGAGACTTGAGGGGAGCCCTCTTCTGATTTTTGGAGCTCCGTCTCCATAGACAGCCCTCTCCTCTATGATATTTAATCCTATCAATTATAACCTTCCAAACTCCAACCTCTGTCTCTTCAACTCAGAAAGGTCACTGGGCTCTGTTTGTTTTCCTACCTGTCTGTACTGTGACCTGGAAAATGCCTCCAGATAGTAATATGGGAACTCATGTTGCTCATCTCCTTTGTTTCTCTCAAGAATCACATTCCTTCACTGTGTTGTTTCTTGTCCAATTATTGTTGTCTCATATATTGTGTCAATTTTTCTAGTTGTTTACAGTAGTAGGGTAATTTCTATAACAGTTAATCCTTCATGTGTAGAAGTGGAAGTCCTCACAGTATGTCCTTTTTGAGACGGAGTCTCACTCTGTCGCCCAGCTGGAGGGCAGTGGCGTGATCTCAGCTCACTGCAACCTCCACCTCCCAGTTCAAGTGATTCTCCTGCCTCAGACTCCCAAGTAGCTGGGATTACAGGGGTGCACCACCATGCTGTGTTAATTTTTGTATTTTTAGTAGAGACAGGGTTTCCATGTTGGCCAGGCTGGTCTTGAACTCCTGACCTCAAGTGATCCACCCGCCACAGCCTCCCAAAGTGCCGGGATTATAGGCATGGGCCACTGTGCCTGGCCTGTCCTTTTAATTGTTTGTTATCATCAGTACGGTCAGAGTCAACAGTTTGTACTGGATATTACATATTCCTCTATAGAAGCAGACATGTTGGTAGTTATCATTTTGATTGGCATAATTTTGGTCAAGTTATAGAACTGGTTATTGATATATATGTTATTATAATGGTATTAAAATTACCTTTTGTTGACATTACCTGCAAATGTTTGTAGTGTTTTGTTCTTAGAAATTTTAAATTGAAGATGTAGCTGGTTATTAAATTCTTGCTAACTGGTATATCTGTCAGACCTTCCTATTCTGACTATTCTTCCTTTCCTCAGGGCTGAATCACTAGCTGCTTCTTAAAACTTTTAAACAGTATTTCTTTGTCCTAGAATTGCACTTTATTCTTTCATTATCTAGAAACAGTGCATATGTGCACACACACGTACACACACACACACACACACACACAACCTTTTTACTTAAGAATGTAACTATCTTCTCATCTCCTACATCCAACCTGTAAAAGGCACATAAGGCTATTTTAACTAACCCCTTTTGAGTATCCCTAATCCAAAAATCCAAAATCCAAAATGCTCTAAAATCTGAAACTTTTTTGAGTGCCAACATGACACTCAAAGGAAATGCTCATTGGAGAACTTTGGATTTTGTATTTTTAGATTAGGGATGTTTAGCTGCTACATATGATGCAAATTTTCCATAATTTGAAAAAAATCTGAAATCTAAAATCCCTCTGTCCCAAGCATTTTGGATAAAGGAATATTTACCTGTAGTTCAAAAGAATAAAGTGATCCAAATTATCATATTTATAATTATAGTTTCCAGGTTTTTGGGTAGTAGGTTCTTGAGGGTGAGCCTATTTTTCTATTCATTTTCCTACCTCATAGAGGCCCTATATCACATATTCTCATTTGTCCTATCTTCTGAAGCCAAAGCAGTGGTTCAAACGTTAAGACTCTGAGTTTGTGGCAAGTATTGGTTTGTTTGCTGGATTTCAACTTAAATAATGCTAAGTGAGAATCTGGGGCACAGTAGTAGTATTTAGACTCCGTTGGATGGAAAGAAATAAGAAAAGAAAAGAAATAAAAGACAAGCACCACTTTCTTTCCCTCTAGGTGATACCAACTAAAAACCATACATTGTTACTGGTCTGGGTTCCTTTTATTTATTTCTATTTACATTTGTGAGTGTTGTTTTGTATATTTTGGTCAATTATAGTAATAAATTTCCCCTCCAAATAAAGAATGAATGAAATTAATTTTGTTCTGAAAGACTGGACAGTTACATTATCTGTCATTTTTTTCCTGCCCCTTCTTATACAACGTATCTAGTGATTTGAGAATTTTGAAACTGCATTCAGTTTTCATGAGCATAAGTATGAAAATATCTTAAAGTGAAGTTATTGAGAGCTTTCACTGGCAAGTATAATATACATATTGCATAATTATTGGCTATGACAGTGCATTGTTTATCAACATGTCATCTTTGCTCTCTCAGCCCTGCCCTGTGAGCTTGAGCCCCTTATAACAACTTCCATTAACACTGGCTCCCATTGTACAATTCTTTCTCACCACGAAACTCTCACTCACTTCATTCTAACCACACTGACCTCTTTGTGGTTCCTTGGGAACTGCAGGCATACTCATACTGTGTCTTTGCACTTATATTCCCTCTGCTTCAAGGGCTCTTCCTTTAGATAGCAAATCTGCATGGCTTAGTACCTTGATTCATTCAGGTTTTGTGTCATTGTGAGTCTTCCTCAACTATTCCCTATCAAAAATAAGTGTCTTTTCCCAATCACTTCATCATTCTGGACTCAAAACATCTGCCCTCCTTGGCCTCCCAAAATGTTGGGATTACAGGGGTGAGCCAATACGGCTGGCCTTTAAATGCATTTTCAACTTACAATGGATTTACTGGGATGTAATCCAGTACCACAATCCATACCTTTTTTTTTTTTTTTTTTTTTGAGACAGAGTTTCACTCTTGTTGCCCAGGCTGGAGTTCAATGAGGCAATCTCGGCTCACTACAACCTCCACCTCCCGGGTTCAAGTGATTCTCCTGCTCAGCCTCCCGAGTAGCTGGGATTACAGGCATGCGCCACCACGCCCAGCTAATTTTCTATTTTTAGTAGAGACGGGGGTTTCTCCATGTTGGTCAGGCTGGTCTCCAACTCCTGACCTCAGGTGATCCGCCCACCTCAGCCTCCCAGAGTGCTGGGGTTACAGGCATGAGCCACTGCAACTGACCTCATCATCCATACCTTTTATCTTGCTTTTAAAATTTTTATTAGCACTTATTTTTACTTGACAATATGTTCTTTATCTCTTAGTTTATTGTCTGTTTCACTTGAATAGATTTCACGTGGGCAGAGACCTTATCTCTAAGGTTTAGAACAGTATCTGGTACATAATAGGTGTTCAACAATTACTTGCTAGAAGGAGTCAATGAATGAATGAATGAATGAATGAATGATGTTTTATTTGTATGAGGACACCTAAACTATATACCTGATATACCTTCAAACTGAACATATAATAATATAATAGAAAATAGAAAACTCTCTTTGCTGTTTAAGTACAGATGCTCCTCGACTTATGATGGGGTCACATCCCAGTAAACCCATTGTAAGTTGAAAATATAAGTTGAAAATGCATTTAAAGGCCAGGCTCATTGGCTCACACCTGTAATCTCAGCATTTTGGGAGGCCAAGGAGGACAGATTTTTTGAGTCCAGGAATTTGAGACCAGCCTGGGCAACATGGTGAAACCCTGTCTCTACAAAAAATACAAAAATTTGCCAGGTGTGGTGCCATGTACCTGTAGTTCCAGCTACCTGGGAGGCTGAGGTGGCAGGATCACTTGAGTCCAGGAGGTCAAGGCTGCAGTGACCCATGATCACACCACTGCATTGCAGCCTTGGTGACAGAGTAAGACCCTGTCTTAAAAACAAAACAAAACAAAAAAAGAAAGAAAAGAAAAAGAAAAAAGCATTTCATACACCCAACCTACTGATCATCATAGCTTAGCGTAGCCTACCTTAAACATGCTCAGAACACTTTTATTAGCCTACAGTTGGGCAAAATCATCTAATACAAAGCCTATTTTATAATATAGTGTTGAATATCTCATGCAATGTGTTGAATACTGTATTGAAAATGAAAAACAGAATGGTGTATGTTTACTGGAAGTATGGTTTCTACTGAATGCGTATCGCTTTCACACCGTCATAAAGTTGAAAAATCCTAAGTTGAGCCATTGTAAGTCGGGCATCATCTGTGCTTGTATAAGTTTTAAAGACAAAATTTTCTAATTTTAATTATAGAATTTCAGTTCTGTTTGACTGTACCTTGAGTGAAGGTCACTTTTTTTTTTTTTTTTTTTTTTAAAGAAACAAGGTCTTACTCTGTTGCCCTGGCTCTAGTGCAGTGGTGCAATCATAGCTCACTGTAACCTCAACTCCTGGGGTCTAGTGATCCTCCTGCCTGAGCCTCCCAAATAGCTAGAACTACAGGTGCACACTACCATGCCCAACTAATTTTTTTAGTTTTTGTAGAGATAGGGTCTTGCTCTGTTGCCCAGGCTGGTCTTGAACTCCTTAACTAAGGGAATCCTTTGTGCCTTGGCCTCCCAAAGAGCTGGGATTACAGGAATGAGCTACTATGCCTGGCCCAAAGGGAAAGACCTTTAGGACCAAAACATTAGTCATAAAAATTCTGTCCTTTAAAAATCTGAACTTTTATTTGTTCTTCATTCCATAATTGAGCTCAGTGGCTGAAATAATGAAAAATCCTTTGCTTTTTTACTTTTCTTTACCTTCTAAACTATTCTGTAGCTCTTTGTTAGTCTTGAAATCTCGATAAGTTTTTATCACCATTATCAACTGATTATTAATATTTTCTGAGAACAGTGTACTGCATTGCAGGCATCTAATGATTTTCTTCTTTCCTCTTCCTCCTCCTTTGTGTATCCATAATGTTTGGACTGCTAGCGTTGAGCCTGTTGTGATTTTTAAAGATAGAATTACACCTCTCTCGACATCCTGCTGAAACACAAGAGGACCTGTTCATAGACACTGCTGTCTGTATTTTCTCTAGGGGTATTAAAAATGCCCATATATGGAGCATAACATACTGTGGTATTAAGAGGATAAACTTAATCTGCTTCATTGAGGCTTATTACAGATTTTGGAGACTGGGGAGTCTGAAGCCTTGTTTTCAGAAAGTGTATCATCCTTTTATGGTATTTAGTTTGTTTTGAACTTTCCATTATTTCCAAATTCCTGCAGAAGTATGGAAATAAACAGTATTCTTTCTGATTATGACCTTTTGAAAGAAATAAGTTGTTTTTGTTTAGCAACAGCATTATCAATTTATGCCAACACATTTTTTCTATAACCAGTATAATTACAGATAGCAGTAAGGTCTGGAAATACCATCTCTTTGTTAACTCTCATTATTAAGGCAATAAAAAATAGTGTTAAAGTTTGTTTTCTGAGTATTGATCTGTCTGAACTTCTTTGTAACTAAAAAGAAAATCATACCTGTAAGTGAAAAGCTGGTTGCATTCAGTTGCTTTGCTGGCCAGCTGTTGTTGTAGGGTAATAAGGAACCCTAAGTGAGACTGCTAATCTTGTGTAGAAGTTAAGAGACTATGCAAGAAACTTTGCAACATTCAAGCTGCATTTCCATATTGTCCAAAGAATATTCATTTTGGTATTTCCTCATTGCCTAATACATAACCTCCTCCACTTTTGTGCACAATCTCTGTATGTGTGCGTGTGTTTGTATATGTGTGTTTATATGTATGTGTGTATATTTATGTGTCTGTGTAGGAGGTGCTTTTCAAATGTTAGCTGAAATATACTTAATCTGTGCATCTCTTTTTTTTACTGAAAGCGATCCCATCAAATATGATGATTGATGGAACCAAAATTCATTGAGGCCCTGCTGTTTGCTAGGCATCATGATAGGTCCTAGGCGTATGTGTTTTAGATTTTTGCAGATCTGCCTGGGAAATGCTTCTTTTCTCTCAGGGAAGACAAACCAATAATTATAACACACTGTATTAACAGAATTATGTACAAGAGGGTTGGAGGCACAGGAGAAGAGCATGTAAATTATTCTCAGTGGTCGCGAAAGTTTTCTGAAGAAGTATTTCTTGAGATGGAGTCTCATGCAGTCTCCCAGGCTGGAGTGGAGTGGTGCCATCTCAGTTTACTGCATCCCCCACCTCCCAGGTTCAAGCAATCCACCTGTCTCAGCCTCCCAGGTAGCTGGGACTACAGGCATGCACCACTGTGCCTGGCTAATTTTTGTATTTTTAGTAGAGACGAGGTTTCACCGTGTTGGCCAGGCTGGTCTTGAACTCCTGACCTCAAGTGATCCACTTGTCTCAGCCTCCCAAAGTGCTAGGATGGCAGGCACGAGCGCCCGGCCTCAAAGAGGTATTTTTTATGCAAAGAAGAGTAGAGGTCATTTTAGGCAGAGGAAACAGCATGGGCGTAAAGCATAGTGGCCGGAGCTATAGTGACTTCCCCTGGGAACTACAGGTAATTCAACCTCTGCCTCCTGGGTTCAAGTGATTCTCCTGCCTCAGCCTCCTGAGTAGCTGGGATTATAACCATGTGCCACCACGCCCGGCTAATTTTGTATTTTTAGTAGAGATGGGGTTTCTCCATGTTGGTCAGGCTGGTCTGGAACTCCCGACCTCAGGTGATCCGCCCGCCTTGGCCTCCCAAAGTGCTGAGATTACAGGCGTGAGCCACTGCACCCAGCGTAATTTCTGAATTCTCTAAGATTATTTTTTTAAGAAGAAAGAACCCCTAAAAATTTAATATGCACTGTGACCCTTAAAAGAAACAGCAGGAAGTAAAAGCTGATTAATTTAATGCATATTAAATAAATATAACATATATGTTTAATGTATTTTCCTTAGTGGGAGAATACAGGCTGGAACTGGATGGTGGAGAAAGACTCAAGGATAAAATTGAGAGGAAAAAACAAAGGATAGGAATGGAGAACAAAAGATGGGGAAGGGGCCAGACGCGGTGGCTCATGCCGGTAATCCCAGCACTTCGGGAGGCTGAGGTGGGCGGATCACCTGAGGTCAGCAGTTGGAGACTAGCCTGGCCACGTGGCGAAAGCCCGTCTTTACTAAAAATACAAAACTTAGCTGGGTATGGCATGGTGGTGTGCGCCTGTAATCCCAGCTACTCAGGAGGCTGAGGTAGGAGAATCACTTGAACCTCGGAGGCGGAGGTTACAGTGAGCCGAGATCGTGCCATTGCACTCCAGCCTGGGTGACAGAGTGAAACAGTCTCAGAAAAAAAAAAAAAGAAAAGAAAAGAAAAGATGGAGAGTGGAGAGCACACACCGGGTAGTGGGAGGTAGAGTTAGCAGATTTTCCAAGGATTTTTAAATGATGTGTACTTGATGTAGGTTTCCCTGCCATCCAGTGCTCTTTAACTATAGATCCCCATAATCATTATTTACAGTTTTTGTATGTTTGTGGTTATTTTTAGAGACTACTCATGAATAATTGAAACAACTTATCTTGAAAATTTTCCTCAAAGATAAAGCAGGAACTACTAGAGAAATGCTACTTCTTGACTAGATAAAATCAGTCTTCACCCATATTTTAATTCATTACAGTGAAGCTCATACATAGTTATAGTGAGCCATAATCTTTTGAAATTGAATTTTGGCAAAGTTTGATTTTTCAAAGAGGATTTTCTTTGTGGTGAGACTATTTTATTGAGGATATTATCCTTCTTTTATTATCAAACTTTTAGGTCTTCTACTTCCGTCTCCTGTCATCTCAGATTGCTATGGCGCAGAGATGGGAATCTAGCTGTTGGGGTTGCTGTTTATTCAGGGAAAAATGGCTTGTGTTTCATCTACAGGCTGGTCTGTAATTGCTTGGGTAAGATGATAATGGAATCTCATAGCTAAACTTAAGGCTTTTTTCCTGTACAGTGCATTTCATTCTTCCTAGTATTTGCTTTTCCTTTTACCAAAATTAATGCATCAAAAGGATGGTGGACGATCTGATGAACATAATGTTCATTTAAAAAGTTGGGTAGACTGAACAATTTTTGGGAAAACGAAAACAAGTCAGGTAGATGAACAATTTTAGAAAAAAGTAAAATCTTCCCTTGGATGCGTGAAAAAACCCTAATTTCTGTCTCCTACTTTCCTACCCCACCACTTTCTTTTTTTGCATGTATTTATTTTTACAGGCATGGAAGTTTTTAATGGGCATTCACTTCTCTTATCTTAGTTCTTCCTGCTTTTATCTCTTTTTCATTTTCTTTTTTTTTTTTTTTTTTTGAGACGGAGTCTTGCTCTGTCGCCCAGGCTGGAGTGCAGTGGCACGATCTCGGCTCACTGTAAGCTCCGCCTCCCAGGTTCACACCATTCTTCTGCCTCAGCCTCCCGAGTAGCTGGGACTACAGGCGCCCGCCACCATGCCCGGCTAATTTTTTGTATTTTTAGTAGAGACAGGGTTTCACCGTGTTAGCCAGGATGGTCTCGATCTCCTGACCTCGTGATCTGCCTGCCTCGGCCTCCCAAAGTGCTGGGATTACAAGCATGAGCCACTGCGCCCGCCCCCTCTTTTTCATTTTCATGTGTTTATTTTCCTGACATATACTTACCAAATTCCAAGTTATAGTGCAGACTGGGACTATCTTACTGAACCTGACATTGTGTCCATTTTAAGCTAGCCCAGCAGGCCCTTCATTTTGGTCTAAGGCTGTGTTCATGAAGACTGTCCCATTGTATCCCCACCACCAATAGGGATGGATGCAAAGGGTCCAGGACGTTAGTCAGTGTCCCCTTGCCAGCTCTTAGCTAATAGCCAGTTTAATGGTGAATCCATATCTATCGTGAGCTGGAAGAGCTGAAGGGCACACGGTAAGGGCCAAATAAAGGTTTGGATGAATTGAGAACTGAACGTGCAAAGAAATAAAGCTCATAACTGAAGTCCTTAAGAAATGAAGCTTTTTAGGCAAGCACTTCTGTCCGTAAGTCTAGCCAATTAAGTGTGCAGATATAAGCATGTGTCCCAATGTGTGTCCATGAGTGACTACTGAAGCCCTCAGGTGCTCTGGTGACTTCATATGCAAGCGTGGCCTGGCAGGAACTGCCTGTGCTATGACTAATCAGGAGACTTTCCAGGGAAAAGGATGTCAGGCATGGGGATTCCACATTTAGCGTCACTTTTAGTATGTAATGACTTCCATATCCTATTTGAAGGATCCATTCTCATTAGGATTCTTCATGCTTGAAATACACCCTTACAAAAGCTGAACTTTCTCACGTTGACTAAGAACAAGATCATCTTTGACAGATTTTTGAATTGAATTGGCAAAGCAAAATTCTCCTCAAGTCCAAGGGTTTCATTTTGCTCATGCTCTTTCGTTCCATTGTGTTTTAAACCAGGTTGCTATTATATAGAGTATTTTAGCAGCCTTGATCTTGGAAACATCAAGACCATTGTTCCTATTGTTGCTGATTTAGTGTTACAGCTGCTTCCTCTTTATGTGATTTAATTTGAGGTTTCAGCCCACCAGGGGGCTATTGGTCCCCACCTATGCAGCTTGAAGAGCTGGCTGCTGTTTCTCTATGGATGTTATTTCCATTCCTATTCATAGCGATTTTTCCCCTTCTATATTCATCTAGCAACAGCAAGGCACTGTTCCAGGAACCCACACTCTCTACATAAGGCATAACATGGAACCATTTGGATGGAAAAATTATAAATTAAAATTATTCTGTTCATTTTAAAATATTCATATTGTGTTGCTCAAATGCCAGTAACTGGAAAATCATGGATAATGTCCTGTTTTTATAACCTCTTTCAGAATGTTTTAAAATCTGTTTATGTTGTTACTTAGCCATCTCTTTTCCTGGAGTGGATTTTGTGATAAGATTTTGTTAAAAAAAAGATTGTATGAGTCCAGCGCCTAATGGCAGATATAATATTAAAGATGATACCACTAATTTCAGTCCACTTTTTAAATAGAAAAAGATTTATTCCGTGTACAGAGAATATTTATAAAATTGTACACCTCTAAAAATAGCCTATGGACATGCCAGACTATTTCTTTGGAGGATAAAGCTTTTTATTAAATGATTAAGATTAAGCAAAGGTTTATTATTTCTGGAAGTAGGTATTTAATTTAAACTATGAAAACCCATATATCCATAATACTACTAATTTTCAGATGCTAAAAATATCTTCAGCTTTTAAAATGTATTGAGCTTTTTATTTTTTAAAAAGCTTTTTAAGTGCTCTTTTTTCTATGTATTCTGTTCTCAATGCTAAGTTATTGATTCTTTAATTTGGGAAAACTAAAATCTTATTTCTATCCTTGTATTTTCCATGTTGTGTGGGTGTGGGTGAGGATGTGTATGTCTCAGAAAGATAGACAGGCAGGAAAAAGTGAAAATGTTTTCATATGGTTTAGTTTTTTGCTGAAGTAATTATATTTCTTATGCTAAAGGAAAGAATAGTGATTGGAAATCTTTTTGCTGTGTTTTTTTCTACCTCATGGAACATATTAAGAGGAGCGAAGATCTTTATTTTATGCTTTTTTATTCTGTGAGTTTTAAGTCCACGTTCACATAAAAGCCATGTGTTTTATTTGTTGTCTCTCTTGGCTAGGAATATTTAAATGTATTTTTGAAACTCTTCTGTTCTGTCAACTAAAGGTAATTTAAAATTATAATTTTAAGACACTTTCTAGAAACTTATACTTTGGTTCAGGCTAAAGTCTTCAGTTTGTGTGCCTGTGTGTGTGTGTTGAGGTTCTTCAGAAGCAACAAACCACTTGAGCGTGAGCAAATTTCACAGGCTCCCTTCATTGTTTGTTTTAGCCTCGTTAATCATTTGGCCTTTGAAAATAGGCTGATCATTTCATTGAATATGGATTGAGAAAAGTTCTGTGTGCCATGAAAGGCCTGAATGGCTCTTGCTGACTCTGTTTTATTCATTTTAAATAACATGAGGGGGATCCCAAAGTATTTCCTCTGGACTTTTGAAGCATTATCATTGCAGGGTATGATATTTGAAGTCAGGATTCTTTATAACAATAATAACGACAAGAATATATATACATTTTCCTAAAGTCTGATTTGTGGAAAATAGAAAGCAAACTGTCAGTAAACAGGTTTTCCAACACAAACACTCAGTTTAGGCAGCAACCAACTTTTTTGAATGCAGCAACAAAATGAATACTATTTTTAATTGAATAATGAAGACAGACTAGAATAGTTGCTATGAGAAAAATGGATACCTTATAATTAATAATATGTGAGCTAAACCTTAACTACACTTGACATTTTTCCTTAGGTTGGTGCCATACTGATTAATGAGTTAACTGCTGATGGTGCCTATTCTGTGGAGTGACTGTTTCAGTTCCAGGGCTTAGAGTGTTCAATAAAATAGGTATTCTCTGAGGTGGGACTGAGGCTTTAGTCTTGATCAAAGTGCTTTGGGGGAAGCACAGTTGAACTGATTGGCTGTGAATGTTAATCACTTCATAGGACACACTGATAATTTACAGCATTGTTGTAACTCTCTGGTGTTCGTAAAATGAACTTAATAACCCACTGGCACCATGGGATAAGCTGCTTTTTCTCTGCAATTGAATACCCAGACTGCCTGAATAATAGTGTTGAGAAATACTGCATTAAAAACAGTGAGCAGCTGTATGATGAAGGAAACAGCTCTGCCACAGATTTGTTAATTATCTCTTTTGATTCACAGAGGGTGTTTGTGAGATATGGTTGACCAGTGAAGACACGGGGGCTTATGGCAGAGATATTGGCACCAATCTCCCCACACTCCTGTGGAAACTGGTTGAAGTGATTCCTGAGGGAGCAATGCTGAGGCTTGGCATGACAAATCCGCCCTATATTTTAGAGCATCTGGAGGTAAGGAAAAGCACCCTATTTGCATGCTAACATAGACACTAACCAGTCCAGACAGTGTGGCAGCCTCAGTATCATCACATCAGCTTCATTTAAAACTCCTTCACATTTTTTTTTTGTAGTCCCGCATTTCCAAGAATGAATCAAGACTTTCAAATCCCCTTCTTTGGCAGGCAACACTTTTTTACTTCCTCATCATTAATTAACATTGCCCAAATTTTTCAATACTTGCCACCTTGCCACAGTTCTTTGTTTCTTGTTTGTAGTCCTTCAGTCTTCCAGCACATAAATTTGCCTCAGTTCCTCCATTTTGACCGCTCGTCTGATTCAGAACTGCTAATGTGTTGCATTAATTTCGCAACCCACAGTCAATATTGTGTTATCCAAACTACTGTTAGCCATATCAGAAAAGGGACTGTGCTTGAAGCTCGAGGATGAATTTTCAATTTCATCCCTTCATCTGGAGATACATAGGGGTGAAGTTGAATCAGAGGGACACAGAGCAAGGTACTCTTCCACTTGATTTGCACATGCATTACTGTGGCACCTGTATTCCCATTGTAAGGCCCATCCCTGAATACATGACATTTTCTTTCAGAGAATTTCCTTCCTTGTTTTTCACTTATCAACATAATGGTAATCACTGTGAACAAAGGTGATTCTGAGATCCCTGATTTTGTTTTTATACTTTTCCACAGATCGGGATGCTTACCCTTAAGTAGCTGTGTCAAACTAGGCAAATGGGCATATGTCCAGGTAACTGTGGTACCTGAAGGCAAATGACACAGTAAATATGAGCAAAGAATATGGACAGGAGAGCAACCATATAAATGAAGAAGTACTTGCTAGGATCCATGACTACTATTTGAGAAATAAAATAATTACTTTAGACCCATAGTTATGGAAATAAAATCTGATTAGTGCAATTGCAAAGTCATGTGTAAAGCATGAAAATGAATAACTTTTATTTTTTTCAAGTGTGTTCTTTGCAGTATGTTTGTGCAGAAAAATAACATCCCAAAAAGCTAAAAGCAACCACTGCTGCTGAAATTTAATGCAAATGCTAATGAATAGCTAAACATTTAAAAGATTATTTCGCTGATTTGATTTTAAGACTATACTTGTTGAGGTTTTTGTTGAATGGCTTCCTTAATATCAACAACCTATTTCAGAAATTCTGAAAACAGAGTTAATAATTTGGCTGCTAATTATAAATACATAATGAGGGAGTTTAGCAATTTTAATTTTATTATTTACATTTTTCTAGCTAGCTCTTTCTAGTAAGGGTATATGATTTATATGTTAAGTTTAGTGCTTTAGACAGTGTGGGATGATTATGATTTGCTATTTAAAAATAAGTTGCAGGCATGTCAACTTTTACTTAACACTTTGACTCAACACTTGATAAAGCAAAGTGATTCTCTGTAAAAAAAAAAAAAAAAAAAAAATCAAATATGCTAAGAGCTGTGACAGTCTTGCTGTGTTTGCAGTAAATGTGAGGCATACATCGTGAAGACCAGGAGATATACTAGACGTGTGGAGGGTAGGAAGGGAAACAGGCCCCATCAATATAAGGTTTATGATAACAGCCACTTTTTTTGGATTGGAAAAGATCTGATCAGGGATCCAGGGACCCACAAGAGATAGAGTCAGGTAAGTTCAAAAAGGAAGAAGCACAAGGAAGAAAAATCTTGTGTTGGCTCTGAGGTAACTAACCAAATACTCCTTGGAATAAATTCAGCATTTTAATTGATTGCAAGATTGCAGCAGCTAATACTGTGTGTATAGCAAATCCTAGTGCTCAGCACCTGAAGTAGTGCCAGACTTGGGGAGCGTCTAAAAATCAACAAAAGATCTGAAATATAACTTTATACTTTGCCTGGAAAACACCAGATGTTTAGTTCCTAGATCGTAGTTGGAGTGATAACAAGTTTTGATGGTCATGACATTATATTTTTTAAAATCCTCTGAAGTATGTATCATGTTGGCCTTTCCTCCTACATTGTCATCTTGAGGCAACAATCTTGTTATATCTGTCTGTGGATCTATCCCACCCAGTAGTGGCTCAATAAATGAGTGAATATGAGAATGAATACAGGAAGAGCTGCCCAGGCTCAGTGGCTCACACCTGTAATCCCAGCCCTTTGGGAGGCCGAGGCAGGTGGATCACTTGAGGTCAGGAGTTTGAGACCAGCCTGGCCCACATGGTGAAACCCCGTCTCTAGTAAAAACACAGAAATTAGCTGGGTGGAGTGATAGGTGCCTGTAATCCCAGCTACTCAGGAGGCTGAGGCAGGAGAATCGCTTGAGCCCAAGAGGCAGAGGTTACAGTGAGCCAAGATTGTGCCACTGCACTCCAGCCTGGGTGACAAAGCAAGATTATCTCAAAAAAAAAAAAAAAAAAAAAGGAAGAGCCTTCTTCATAAAATAAATTATAGAGCCCACACTGTAGTCTTGAACTTTGAAATCCTAACCCCTGGCCAGAAGAGGCAGCAAAAGATGATGAAGTAAATGAGCTTCAAGGGTGAGAATTGTTCCCCACAGAAAGCCACCCACTACTCTGCACTTTATGTGCAGGAGGTAATCCAGGCTGTGATACCACACCCAGGGAGAAAGCCATCCAAAAGAAACAGAGCAAAAGGAAACAAAGATATGCAAGAATCAAAGGTCTACACCATCTCAAAGTAAGAGGTTTTAAACTCTTCCTTTGTTTCCTGGACCAGACCTTCACACCTTGCTGTTTCTTCTCATCCTCCTCTGCATGGCAGAGCCCAGAACACTCAGGATTCCACAAACACATCGTATGTAACAGAAAAGGTGACTGAGCCCCAGAAGGCTTACATGGCTTCCCAGTGTCAAAACGGGCAGTAGGGAAGGGAGCCCAAATCTGGTGCTCCTCAGTCCTGTGCACAGCAATACCTTGTACATTTCCATTTTCCTCTCACTAGGCTTAGACCACTCTACAGAAATTACTTGACTTATCTCAAGGGTACTGAACAGAGTTCACCAATAAGAAAAAACAGAAGATGAAAACAGAAAAAAATAACAGCAAATGAAGGTGGTGATTTTTTAAACTATAGGGATTGAAGGAATCCACTCTTGAAATAACTACCCTGATGCTTTAAAACCTTCAGGGCAAGGATTTCTTGAGAATTTTATTGGGAAGACAGCCTTCTTGTGTTTTTAGAAGATGCTTCACACAACAGACTTTAATTAGAGAGTACTTGGCTGGTTTGTTTTCCTTCCTCTTCATTCTGTTCACTTCTTATTCACCTGACTCTCAGATTTTTTAAAAACAACTTTTACCAACTTAAAAGAAAAAAAACCAAACAGTTTAAAGGGAAAGTTATATAAAGGAAAGCACCAAAGTTTTTATCATTATTTAAAAGTATGCCGGGGAAAGATACATCTATTGAGAATACATTTTATTCAATCTCCATAGGAATAGAGGATGCACATTACACTTAACACAGGATCACTTTTAAGGTTTCTTCAAGAGTCTAGCATTGTGTGTGGCACTTTATATAGCAAATACTGAATACATGTGTACTGAATAAAAGGAAGGGAAGGAGAACTCTTTATCACTCATAGGCAGACAAGTAGTGAAGTGTGTGTTTGGGACATCTGCAAACTTTATTTTTAGTATCACTGCCCTTAAAAAACAATATAGGATTCATTTGAATTATGATATAGCTGACAAAAGATATCTCAAACATATATATTGTGAAAAAAACACTCTGGAATTGAAGAAATATACCTATGAGCTTATACAATGCTGTAGTAAACTTGCATATGATAATAGAATCAATAGATAAAACAATAAACATGCTTTATGTCACCTTAAAGTCCCTATTGCCTAAAGGATAAGAATAAGCCCTTGAGGACATTCAGGGTACTTATTTTTTTCTATTACATTCTTATTCATTTGTCCCTTGAGTAGTGCCCTAATGATATCTCCTCTATATCTTTTTTTTTTTTTACCATTTCATACTCCTGAAATGTTTACATTACCTTTTTCTCATGATATACTTACCATATGATGACAGTTGGTAGTAATGTGTTAATCAGACATACTAATATTTGCTACTACATGTGTTGGCTAATATATCGCCCCTGTAGTGGCAAATAAGATGTATTTTCCCTGTGTTTGCTTTCCTGTTGATATTGCTAATGTAATAACCTTTGCATATTCCTCTTTAATGAACTCTGACCTTGTAGAAAGTGAAGCGGTTTATGAATTTGATTACTCTTAAAACTACATTGCTTAGTTTTGTCCTCCTAGTGATAGGTAGCCTACAGCTAAAGTATTAATTCAGACTGAAAATAATACATGTGAACCCAACAAGGTTCACATGAGACCAGTGATAGTGGTATAATGGCTGCTGCTAATGAGGCACCTGAAATCACTGCTAACTGATAAAATCAGTACAATTTATCAAGTGCTTATTGTTTGCAAGAAACTGAGTGCTTTACATGTGTGATCTGTTTTTCCTCTTAGAACAGGCTAGCTATATAGATATTATTATCCTCAATTTTCTTTTGCCCACTTTTTTGAGATGGGGTTTTGCTTTGTTGCCCAGGCTGGAGTGCTGTGGCTATTTATAGGTGTGATCATAGCGCTCTACAGCCTTGAACTCCTGGGCTCAAGTGATCCTCCTGCCTTAGCTGGGACTACAAACATACACCACTGTGCCTGGCTGTTATTTTTGTTTTGTTAATTGAGAAGCCATGGGTTCGAAAGGTTAGATAACTGGCTAAACCGCATAGCCAGTTAGCCGCTGAACTGGTTTCTAATCTATTCTAATTCGCAAAT
This sequence comes from Homo sapiens, assembly GCF_000001405.40. Taxonomy (NCBI): domain Eukaryota; kingdom Metazoa; phylum Chordata; class Mammalia; order Primates; family Hominidae; genus Homo; species Homo sapiens. The sequence continues at coordinate 20,960,396 of NC_000006.12, forward strand.
GCTTTCTACTCTACTGCATCTTCAAGGAAGCCTTCCCAAACTCTTCCCACATATGTTCTGTGCTTCATAGTACCCCTGTACAACAGGTCTCTGTCTCTTTGGGCACTCATAATGGTGCATCATGATTACTTATTTATGTAGAAATCCAACATGACTGTTATCATAAGGGAGATGTTGTCTTATCCATCTTTGTATATCAGTGCCTGTGATAACACACACTTCATACACCTAATAAATGTTTACTGAATGATGTGATAGCTCAAAGTTTAGTTTATTAACTGTTCCTTGACTTCATGCCTCATGTACTGAAGTACCTTCATATCTGCTGAGCATCCAGTTTTGGAAGAGTTTGGGAACGGTTGTCATATATGTTTCTCATGAGTCACATTTCTGTGAAGATGTACTGGATGGTTAGGGATTCATCTAAGGGATGCGTTATGTTTATTTGCCCAGCTAAAATACTATAGCGATAGATAGTATCTTTAGGGCTGTCTAGAACAAATGAGCTTATTGTATGATTATCGAATTTGTAGATGATCCAGGCTCTTAACTTCTTTCTCCTCTTCCTGCTTGTTAACTTACACTGCTTTTTAAAATCTCCACTAGAGAGGATACATTAAAATCAGACAGTTTGTCTTGGTTTTAGTTTCGTGAATTGGCTGATAGGGAAAAGATGTTAAAGCTCTTGGGCAGTAAGGAAAAGAGTAAGTATCTGGATTTTATGTATTTAAGACACATGCATGCATATGTTCATTGCAGCACTATGCACAATCACAAAGACATGGAGTCAACTTAAATGCCCATCCACAGTAGACTGGATAAAGACAGTGTGGTATGTGTACACCATGGAATACTGTGCAGCCATAAAAAAGAACAAGATCATGTCCTTTGCAGGAACATAGATGGAACTAGAGGCCATTATCCTTAGCAAACTAACGCAGGAATAGAAAACCGAATACCACATGTTCTCACTTATAAGTGGGAGCTAAATAATGAGAACATGTGGACAGATAGAGGGGAACAACAGATACTGGGGCCTGCTTGAGGGAGATCAGGGGGAGGTGGGAGAGGTTCAGAAAAAGAAAATATCGGCTGGGCGCAGTGGCTCACGCCTGTAATCCCAGCACTTCGGGAGGCCGAGGCGGGTGGATCACGAGGTCAGGAGATCGAGACCATCCTGGCTAACACAGTGAAACCCCATCTCTACTAAAAATACAAAAAATTAGCCGGGTGTGGTGGCGGGTGCCTGTAGTCTCAGCTACTCTGGAGGCTGAGGCAGGAGAATGGCGTGAACCTGGGAGGTGGAGCTTGCAGTGAGCTGAGATCGCACCACCGCACTCCAGCCTGGGCAAAAGAGCAAGACTCCGTCTCAAAAAAAAAAAAGAAAAGAAAAACAAAAAAAAAACATCAAGTACTACGCTTAGTACCTGGATGACTAAATAATCTGTACACCAAACCCCCAAGTCATAAGTTTACATGTATAACAAGCCTGCACATGTACCCCTGAGCCTAAAATAAAAGTTAAAATGTTTATTTTAAAAAGTTATTCTGGTCCTCCCTCTGTCATGAATAGTTCAAAGTAACTTATCTCCCTTTAAGAGACTTGCGTGTCTCAAAATTGTATGAGAATTTTAGTGCATTACTTACAACCTGCGCCAGAGAGGGCAAACTGGTTAATCTAGATTGCAAGTGCTTATTAAGGACTATTCCTATATTCAAATTATAATAAAACAAGTTATATATTTTTAAACATATTACTTTGTAAAATATTGCCAAACAACATTGACACTAACATTCACATTGATATTATGCTACATTTTATTTAGCTTGAATTAAAATATATAGTATTGCTCAAGATTTATAGCTAGTATACTTATGGTACATGTCATCATAAGGTTAATTACAAATAGTGATATTTTAAATATCTCTTCTGTTTTTGGTTTGGAAATCTTTTAATCACCGTAACAAATCAGCTTCCTGCTACCCTAGATTTTTGTATGTTTACTTCTACTTCAATGACCTTATATTCTAACCTAATTCTGTATTTAGTGAAATAAATTCATCTGCTGAAAGACAGTAGATACCTGTCAAGGACTTTTGTTGCATGGTAATTTATGAACATTAATAATATGTTTGCCTTTGCCGAGTTTTAAAAAATGCCTCATAGTTTCAAAATAATAGCAAACTCAATACATGCTGTGCTTATGTTTCATCAAAGCAATACAGATTTTCCAAACTGAACTCAGCAGTTCAAGCTGTGTCTTTAAACATTTCTTTTCCTTAGGGTTTATACTTTCTGGAATAATAGAATAATATGTAAATATATTCTCTACTGTTGTATACAAAATATTTTTCCCCTTTTGATGAATAAAAAGACATGCTAGATTACTTATTTTCAGCAAGGAAATGGAAAGGAAAAATCTTTTATTTCAACCATCCACCTGTAGCTTTTGAGACATGTCAGTATGTGGTTTGATCTAACTGTTGGCACTGTTTTTTGCCATTTATAATCATCAGTGCTCTATTTGATTCTTACCCTGGCACTTGCGAATAAATTTTAAGAGGTCAGTGAAACACCTAAAACTAGAAACAGAAGTTTGTGTCTTTCTGAATATTAAAGAGAGAAAACTTTTATCAAATATTAAAAGGGCTCATATACATTTTCTTTTTAAGTTTATCAGGCTTCATTGGGAACCTAATTCTGAGAGCTGGGAACAGCCTCTCTGGAAGGGAGGATGTGGATGAAAGGAATGTCCTTTCTTGCCTGCCAAAGGATCTAATACTGATAAAAGATGAAATTGAAATGCTACTTCCCCTTAGCAAAATTATAGGCTCTACCTAACATTCTAACTCTTCAACTTCTCTGCTAGTCCTGGGTTTGAGCAGCAGGAAGCTTTAGTTAGGCCCTTCCACTAAAAAAAAAAAAGACTTGCATCTCTGCCCATACCTGGGTCTCGGCCTCTTTGTTCTGTGATACTACTTGCTTGTGCCCTTGTCCAGGCCTCAGCCCCTAATTCCAGCTCTGCCCAAGAAGCCAAAGCTTTTCTTGATCTCAACTACTCCTCAGAAAAATTTACCGAGCTTGTTGCTTCCTACTACTGAGCCTTTGTTTGTAATGTTAAGTCTGGGTGAGTAAGCCTCATGATTACATGTAGACCGAAGGACCCCAAAATAAATGAACTTATAAATAGACTTTATTTCAGAACAGATTGCACTTTGTTGCTGCTGAATGTTATTTTATCCTTATTGTGCCAGGTGTATTTTCTGGGTAAATGTTTCTCATGTTGAAAATACTGGGTACCTCTGTCTTCCTGAGGAACACAAGAACATGCCTAGATCATACTTAAAAATTCTCTTTATATGGCCATCAATAATTTATACAGAGACCTATCTTATGTGCTTCACTGGTATTCTCAGTTCCAGTGTCTATATTATGAGAAAGCAGGCATGAGAGAATAAATCTAGTGTGAGAATATAAACAGCCAAATCATTCATGTTTGTCCTGAAATGCTTTAATCCACATTGTGGTATAAACTTCTGAACTTCCCAAACTTAGATAAATTTACAAGAATAAAACAACCCCATTAAAAACTGGGCAAAAAACATGAACAGAAACTTTTCAGAAGACAACGTACATGTGGCCAACCATCATATGAAAAAAAAAACTCAACATCACCGATCATTAGAGAAATACAAATCAAAACCACAATGAAATACCATCTCACACCAGTCAGAAGGGCTATTATTAAAAAGTCAAAAAATAACAGATGCTGGCGAGGGTACGGAGAAAAAGGAATGCTTATACACTGTGGATGGAAGTGTAAATTAGTTCAACCATTGTGGAAGACTTTGTGGAGATTTCTCAAAGACCTGAAGACAGAAATACCATTTGTCCTAGCAATCCCATTACTGGGTACATACCCAAAGGAATATAAATCATTCTGTTATAAAGTCACATGCGTGGGTATGTTCATAGGAGCAGTATTCACAATAGCAGAGACATGGAATCAACCTAAATGCCCATCAGTGATAGACTAGATCAAGAAATGTGGTACACAGACTATGCAACCATAAAAAAAGAACGAAATCATGTCCTTTGCAGGGACATGGATGGAGCTGGAAGCCATTATCCTCAGCAAACTAACACACAAACAGAAAACCAAATACCACATGTTCTTGCTTATAAGTGGGAGCTGAATGGTGAGAACACGTGGACACATGGCGGGGAACAACACACACTGGGGCCTGTCACTGGGGCCATGTGGGGTGGGAGGAGGGAGAGCATCAGGAAGAATAACTAATGGATGCTGGGTAATGAAATAATCTGTACAACAAACCCCCATGACACAAGTTTACCTATGTCTCAGGGCTACCCATGTACCCCTGAACTTAAACAGAAGTTAAAAACAAAACAACAAAACTTCTGAACTTCTCAACCACTGTCATCATTTTTTCCCTCTTGCCATTGACCCAAATTATTGAATATTGTTTATAAAATGCAGTGACACACGGATATTTGTTCCCAAAAGAGACGGTTAATTTTCGTGAGAGGAAAAGAACATAGGGATACCATGGTTGTCAAGATGATGAGTGAAAAGGCCTTAGCAAATCCTTTATAAATAAACTGATGTTTGGCCAGGTGCAGTGCCTCACACCTGTAATTCCAGGTGTTTGGGAGGCCAAGACAGGAGGATTGCTTGAGGTCAGGAGTTTGAGACCAGCCTGTTCAATACAGTGAGATCCGTCTCTGCAAAAAGTTTTTTACAATTAGCTTGGTATGGTGGCACACATCTGTAGTCCCAGCTACTCAGGAGGCTGAGGCCAGATTATCACTTGGACCCAGGAGTTCAAGACTGTGGTGAGCTATGATCATATAACTGCACCCTGGCCTGAGCATTGAGACCCTGTATCTTGAGAAGAGAAGAGGAGGGGAGGGGAGGGGAGGGGAGGGAAGAGGGAAGACTGTAGTGAGCTATGATCATATAACTGCACTCTGGTCTGAGCATTGAGACACTGTATCGAGAGGGGAGGGGAGGGGAGGGGAGGGGGAACATTATAATCATAGTTGAATATCTATCCTGGGTCATGTCTCTCTCTATGTATATTTTTTGAGGAAAAATACTCTTTTAAAGTAAATATAAAGATCTCTCTCACTCTAACATACTTGAAAAACATAAAAATTTACATATTTCAACTGACACACATCTATTCCTTCTTCATCTTTTAGTATTCTAGTGTACACTTCCGTTTATATAGAAGAGCATTAGATATGTATATGGTTTAATTTACATCTTAAAAGGCATTTCACATTGCCAGTCCCCTGAATCCTTAATTTCACCCGGAGTAGCTGAGAAGGCTTTCATGTCACCTGTCAAAATTAGTGCAGTTCAAACTCCATAATACACCAGCTGTGGGCTTTATCTTCCTCATTAATTTAGGAAGTCAGTTATGCTCAAACCATTGAGAAAAGCTGCCTTTGACATTCCTTCAGAAGCACAGAGAATGGCTAACACATAAGGCAATCCACGTAGTTTCCTTTACACTTTTCTATTCTACGATCCTCTCGGTATTGACTTCTTTGCTTTAATAGCCTATGAAAGGCTACCTTAGGCACTTGCTAATTCAGCACTTAGTAAAATGAAATCCTCATATTTTACATCAGGTAGGTAATGGAATTTTCAGGTGATTCATGATCTAGAACAGACGGGGGTAATGAAGTTAATGGTTCATAGAATAGTTGAGGGACATTCTGCATATTTGTCAGAAAGCAAAGTCCGTTCCCTTCATCTGCTTCTGTTTATTTCTAAGATACTAAATTGTTGCTTTTAGGTCTGATGTACATCTGTTCTCTACATCTTCCTGACCCTACCACAGAAATGCTCCACTTGAAAATGTTAAGCTTTCAAAATTTAAGTTCAAAAATTCTTTAATATCATTTAACAGTAAATAATGATTATGTCCTAAGTTGGAAACATAAGGATTATTGTTATTATAGACTCCTACTGCTCAGAACTCTTTGATTTGCATATGTTGTATCAGAACTATCGAATATTAAATATGGGCACAATCCATGTTTAATAAATCACTTTTAGGATCAGAGGATGCTGCATGTAGGCCAGAGAAAATCAAACTGATTGTTTAGCATAATCCTGAAAGATCCCCAATTATTCATTAGTTTGAGGGGGGAAATGGTTTCTGTTTATAACATGTATTATTGTGTGTTTTTAAAAACTGTTGCAGAAAGTTTACTATCAATATAACATTGATTAGAGAAAATACTGTCATTAAGTCTGTTTCTAATATATGGTCATAAAAAAGTAGTCTTCATAGTTTAATGTTAAAATATTTTTAAAAGCATACTCTGTATCAGCTTTTATTTTGCAATGTCATGTGGAATATCAGGCTACCTTCTGATTGGTGGAAATTTCAGACATTAATCTTTTAGTTAAGTGGCTCCTACATTTTCAGTCTTTATTTTTCCTACCTCAGCAGACTCTTTTTATTTTTTTGTTGTTGTTTCTATATTCTTCCATTATTGCGTTTGTATTGGTTTATCTGTTGTAACAAAGTACCACAAACTGGGTATTTTGGGAACTCTGAGAGAGAATTTGTTCTGTTCTTGTCCCGCAGCTTCTAATGGTTACTGACAATACTTGGCATTCCTTGGCTTATAGACATATCACTCCAATTTTTGTCTCAGTCTTCACCTGGCATTCTTTCCTCTGCCTCTGTTTCCAGATGTCCTCATCTTATACACCAGTCATTGGATTAGGGTCCACCTTAATTCATTATGACCTCATTTTAACTTGATTATATCTATTAAGACCCTGTTTCCAAGTAATGTCACATTCACAGCTACTGGGGGTTAGGACTTACATTTACATCTTTTTAGGGGACACAGTTCAACTCATAACAGCCTCCTTTTGTAGTAAATAGAAATTCTTTAGTATGACATTTTAATTACTTTGTTGTTTCTTTTACTATATATATTTTAAGTCATTTTTATAGTGGTTACCATAGGGATTACAATTAATATTCTAATTTATAACACTCTTATTTTGATCAATATTAACTTAATTATAATAACATATGAAAACTTTGCTCCTATGTAGTTCCCTTCCCACCCCACTTCTTTTTGTTGTTACTGTCATAAACATTACATATATATGCAGTGTATGCTCAGTAGCACAGACTTATAATTAGCACTTTGTGCAGTTGTCTTTTAAATCAGATAATATAAAAACAAGAGTTACAAACAAAAACCACAATTATACTGTCTTTTATGTTTACATATGCAGTTACATTTACTGCTGCTCTTTATTTCTTCCTGTGGATTGGAGAGTCCTTTCATTTCAGCCTGAAGGGTTCCATTTAGCATTTCTTGAGAGGCAGATTTGCTAACAACTAATTCCTCTTGGTTTTCATTTATCTGGAAATGACTTAATTTCGTCTTCATTTTTGAAGAGCAGCTTCTCTGGATACAGAATTCCTGGTTGGCAGTCTTTTTCTTTCAGCATTTTATATCATCTCACTTCCCTCTCTTCCATATGGTTTCTTTGGAGAAACCAAATGTTAATCTTACTGAGGATCCCTTATCTATAAGTTGCTGATCTCTTGCTGCTGTCAGGATTCGCTTTTTGTCTTTGACTTTCAACTGTTTGATTATGATGTGTCTGGGTGTAGATCTCTTTGAGTCTATCCTACTTGAAGTTTCTAGAGCTTTTAGGATGTGTTGATTAATGTTCTTTTTTGTTCTGGGTTTTTTTTTTTGTTTTTTTTTTGGACCAGGGTCTCACTGTGTCACCCAGGCTAGAGTGCAGTGGTGCAGTCATGGCTCACTGCATCCTTGACTTCCTGGGCTCAAGCACTTCTCTCATGTCAGCATCCCAAGCAGCTGGGGCTACAGGTGTGTGCCACCACACCCAGCTAGTTTCTGTATTTTTTATAGAGACAGAGTCTCACTGTGTTTTCCAGGTTGGTCTTGAATAACTGGGCTCAAGTGATCCTCCCGCCTTGGCCTCCCAAAGTGCTGGGATTACAGGTGTGAGCCACCGCACCCAGCCAATTAGTGCTGTTTTTCAAATTAGAGAGGTTTTGGCCACTATTTGTTCAAATATTCTTTCTGCTCCTTTCTTTCCTTTCCTAGAACTCCCATTATGTGTTTGTTGGTGTGCTTGATGGTATCTAAGGCTCTGTTAATTTTTTCTTTCTATTCCCCCCATCAAGTCATCTGAATTGACCTGTCTTCAAGTTTGCTGATTGTTTCTTCTGCTTGTTCAGATCTCTTGCAGAGCCCTTCTAGTAATTTTTAAATTTTAGTTCTTATACATTCTATATCAGAATTTCTATATGGTTCTTTTTTATTATTTCTGTCTCATTATTGGTACTCTATTTGGTGAGACATCATTCTCTTGATTTTCCTTAATTCTTGGGACATGGTTTTCTTTAGTTTTTTGATCATATTTAAAGTGCTGATTTAAAGTCTTTGTCCAGTAAAGTCTAATATCTGGGCTTTCTCAGGGACAGTTTCTATTGTCTCCTTTTTTCCTGTGCACAAACCATATTTTCTTGTTTGTTTGGAGGGTTTTCTTATGGTTTATGATTTTTGTTATTGAATACTGGACATTTGAATAATATAACGTGGCAGCTCTGGAAATCGGATTCTTCTCACTCCCTACAGTTTGTTGTTGTTATT